>NC_000019.10:26212794-26538821 GCF_000001405.40 Homo sapiens
TTGTGTTCTGTGTTTTCAACTCACAGAGTTGAACGATGCTTTACACAGAGTAGACTTGAAACACTCTTGTGGAATTTGCAAGTGGAGATTTCATCCGCTTTGAGGTCAATGGTAGAATAGGAAATATCTTCCTATAGAAACTAGACAGAATGATTCTCAGAAACTCCTTTGAGATGTGTGCGTTCAACTCACAGAGTTTAACCTTTCTTTTCATAGAGCAGTTAGGAAACACTCTGTTTGTAAAGTCTGCAAGTGGATATTCAGACCTCTTTGAGGCCTTCGTTGGAAACGGGATTTCTTCATATTCTTCTAGAGAGAAGAATTCCCAGTAACTTCCTTGTGTTGTGTGTGTTCAACTCACAGAGTTGAACTTTCATTTACACAGAGCAGATTTGAAACACTCTTTTTGTGGAATTTGCAAGTGGAGATTTCAAGCGCTTTGAGGCCAAAAGCAGAAAAGGAAATATCTTCGTATAAAAACTAGACAGAAATCATTCTCAGAAACTGCTCTGCGATGTGTGCGTTCAACTCTCAGAGTTTAACTTTTCTTTTCATTCAGCAGTTTGGAAACACTCTGTTTGTAAAGTCTGCACGTGGATATTTTGACCACTTAGAGGCCTTCGTTGGAAACGGGTTTTTTTCCTGTAAGGCTAGACAGAAGAATTCCCAGTACCTTCCTTGTGTTGTGTACATTCCACTCACAGAGTTGAACGTTCCCTTAGACAGAGCAGATTTGAAACACTCTTTTTGTGCAATTGGCAAGTGGAGATTTCAAGCGCTTTAAGGTCAATGGCAGAAAAGGAAATATCTTCGTTTCAAAACTAGACAGAATCATTCCCACAAACTGCGTTCTGATGTGTTCGTTCAACTCACAGAGTTTAACCTTTCTGTTCATAGAGCAGTTAGGAAACACTCTGTTTGTAAAGTCTGTAAGTGGATATTCTGACATCTTGTGGCCTTCGTTGGAAACGGGATTTCTTCATATTCTGCTAGACAGAAGAATTCTCAGTAACTTCCCTTGTGTTGTGTGTATTCAACTCACAGAGTTGTACGATCCTTTACACAGAGCAGACTTGAAACACTCTTTTTGTGGAATTTGCAAGTGGAGATTTCAGCCGCTTTGAGGTCAATGGTAGAATAGGAAATATCTTCCTATAGAAACGAGACAGAATGATTCTCAGAAACTCCTTTGTGATGTGTGCGTTCAACTCACAGAGTTTAACCTTTCTTTTCATAGAGCAGTTAGGAAACACTCTGTTTGTAAAGTCTGCAAGTGGATATTCAGACATCCTTGAGGCTTTCGTTGGAAACGGGATTTCTTCATATTCTGCAAGAAAGAAGAATTCTCAGTAACTTCCGCGTGTTGTGTGTATTCAACTCAGAGAGTTGAACGATCCTTTACACAGAGCAGACTTGAAACACCCTTTTTGTGGAATTTGCAAGTGGAGATTTCAGCCGCTTTGTGGTCAATGGTACAAAAGGAAATATCTTCCTATAAAAACTAGACAGAATCATTCTCAGAAACTGCTGCGTGATGTGTGCGATCAACTCTCAGAGTTTAACTTTTCTTTTCATTCAGCGGTTTGGAAACACTCTGTTTGTAAAGTCTGCACGTGGAAATTTTGACAACTTAGAGACCTTCGTTGGAAACGGGATTTTTTCATGTAAGGCTAGACAGAAGAATTCCCAGTAACTTCCTTGTGTTGTGTGCATTCAACTCACAGAGTTGAACGTTCCCTTAGACAGAGCAGATTTGAAACACTCTATTTGTGCAATATGCAAGTGTAGTTTTCAAGCTCTTTAAGGTCAACGGCAGAAAAGGAAATATCTTGGTTTCAAAACTAGACAGAATGATTCTCAGAAACTCCTTTGTGATGTGTGCGTTCAACTCACAGAGTTTACCCTTTCTTTTCATAGAGCAGTTAGGAAACACTCTGTTTGTAAAGTCTGCAAGTGGATATTCAGACATCCTTGAGGCGTTCGTTGGAAACGGGATTTCTTCATATTCTGCCAGAAAGAAGAATTCTCAGTAACTTCCTTGTGTTGTGTGTATTCAACTCACAGAGTTGAACGATCCATTACACAGAGCAGACTTGAGACACTCTTTTTGTGGAATTTGCAAGTGGAGATTTCAGCCGCTTTGAGGTCAATGGTAGAAAAGGAAATATCTTCGTATAAAGACTAGACAGAATGATTCTCAGAAAATCTTTTGTGATGTGTGCGTTCAACTCACAGAGTTTAACTTTTCTTCTCATAGAGCAGTTAGGAAACACTCTGTTTGTAAAGTCTGCAAGTGGATATTAGACCTCTTTGAGGCCTTCGTTGGAAACGGGATTTCTTCATATTATGCTAGACAGAAGAAATCCCAGTAACTTCCTTGTGTTGTGTGTTTTTTAAGTCACAGAGTTGAACTTTCATTTACACAGAGCAGATTTGAAACACTCTTTTTGTGGAATTTGCAAGTGGAGATTTCAAGTGCTTTGAGGCCAATGGCAGAAAAGGAAATATCTTCGTATAAAAACTAGACAGAATCATTCTCAGAAACTGCTCTGTGATGTGTTCGTTCAACTCTCAGAGTTTAACTTTTCTTTTCATTCAGCAGTTTGGAAACACTCTGTTTGTAAAGTCTGCACGTGGATAATTTGACCACTTAGAGGCCTTCATTGGAAACGGGTTTTTTTCATGTAAGGCTAGACAGAAGAATTCCCAGTAACTTCTTTGTGTTGTGTACATTCAACTCACAGAGTTGAACGTTCCCTTAGACAGAGCAGACTTGTAACAGTCTTTTTGTGGAATTTGCAAGTGGAGATTTCAGCCGCTTTGAAGTCAAAGGTAGAAAAGGAAATATCTTCCTATAAAAACTAGACAGAATCATTCCCACAAACTGCGTTGTGATGTGTTCGTTCAACTCACAGAGTTTAACCTTTCTTTTCGTAGAGCAGTTAGGAAACACTCTGTTTGTAAAGTCTGCAAGTGGATATTCAGACCTCTTTGAGGCCTTCGTTGGAAACGGGATTTCTTCATATTCTGCTAGACAGAATAATTCTCAGTAACTTCCTTGTGTTGTGTGTATTCAACTCACAGAGTTGAACGATCCTTTACAGAGAGCAGACTTGAAACACTCTTTTTGTGGAATTTGCAAGTGGAGATTTCAGCCGCTTTGAGGTCAATAGTAGAATAGGAAATATCTTCGTAGAAAAACTAGACAGAATGTTTCTCAGAAACTCCTTTGAGATGTGTGTGTTCAACTCACAGAGTTTAACCTTTCTTTTCATAGAGCAGTTAGGAATCACTCTGTTTGTAAAGTCTGCAAGTGGATATTCAGACCTCTTTGAGGCCTTCGTTGGAAACGGGTTTTTTTCATATAAGGCTAGACAGAAGAATTCCCAGTAACTTCCTTGTGTTGTGTGTGTTCAACTCACAGAGCTGAACTTTCATTTAAACAGAGCAGATTTGAAACACTCTTTTTGTGGAATTTGCAAGTGGAGATTTCAAGCGCTTTAAGGCCAAAGGCAGAAAAGGAAATATCTTCGTATAAAAACTAGACAGAGTGATTCTCAGAAACTCCTTTGTGATGTGTGCGTTCAACTCACAGAGTTTAACCTTTCTTTTCATTCAGCGGTTTGGAAACACTCTGTTTGTAAAGTCTGCACGTGGATATTCAGACCTCTTTGAGGCCTTCGTTGGAAACGGGTTTTTTTCATGTAAGGCTAGACAGAAGAATTCCCAGTAACTTCCTTGTGTTGTGTGCATTCAACTCACAGAGTTGAACGTTCCTTAGAGAGAGCAGATTTGAAACACTCTATTTGTGCAATTTGCAAGTGTAGATTTCAAGCGCTTTAAGGTCAATGGCAGAAAAGGAAATATCTTCGTTTCAAAACTAGACAGAATGATTCTCAGAAACTCCTTTGTGATGTGTGCGTTTAACTCACAGAGTTTAACCTTTCTTTTCATAGAGCAGTTAGGAAACACTCTGTTTGTAAAGTCTGCAAGTGGATATTCAGACCTCCTTGAGGCCTTCGTTGGAAACGGGATTTCTTCATATTATGCTAGACAGAAGAATTCTCAGTAACTTCCTTGTGTTGTGTGTATTCAACTCACAGCAGTTGAACGATCCTTTACACAGAGCAGACTTGAAACACTCTTTTTGTGGAATTTGCAAGTGGAGATTTCAGCCGCTTTGAGTTCAATGGTAGAATAGGAAATATCTTCCTATAGAAACTAGACAGAATGATTCTCAGAAACTCCTTTGTGATGTGTGCGTTCAACTCACAGAGTTTAACCTTTCTTTTCATAGAGCAGTTAGGAAAAACTGTGTTTGTAATGTCTGCAAGTGGATATTCAGACATCTTTGAGGCTTTCGTTGGAAACGGGATTTCTTCATATTATGCTAGACAGAAGAATTCCCAGTAACTTCCTTGTATTGTGTGTGTTCAACTCACAGAGTTGAACTTTCATTTACCCAGAGCAGATTTGAAACACTCTTTTTGTGGAATTTGCAAGTGGAGATTTCAAGCGCTTTGAGGCCAAAGGCAGAAAAGGAAATATCTTCGTTTCAAAACTAGACAGAATCATTCTCAGAAACTGCTCTGCGATGTGTGCGTTCAACTCACAGAGTTTAACCTTTCTTTTCATAGAGCAGTTAGGAAACACTCTGTTTGTAAAGTCTGCAAGTGGATATTCAGACCTCTTTGAGGCCTTCGTTGGAAACGGGATTTCTTCATATAAGGCTAGACAGAAGAATTCTCAGTAACTTCCTTGTGTTGTGTACATTCAACTCACAGAGTTGAACGTTCCCTTAGACAGAGCAGACTTGTAACACTCTTTTTGTGGAATTTGCAAGTGGAGATTTCAGCCGCTTTCAAGTCAAAGGTAGAAAAGGAAATATCTTCCTATAAAAACTAGACAGAATCATTCCCACAAACTGCGTTGTGATGTGTTCGTTCAACTCACAGAGTTTAACCTTTCTTTTCATAGAGCAGTTAGGAAACACTCTGTTGGTAAATTCTGTAAGTGGATATTCTGACATCTTGTGGCCTTCGTTGGAAACGGG
This sequence comes from Homo sapiens, assembly GCF_000001405.40. Lineage (NCBI taxonomy): Eukaryota > Metazoa > Chordata > Mammalia > Primates > Hominidae > Homo > Homo sapiens. The sequence goes on from NC_000019.10 coordinate 26,217,848, forward strand.
ATTTCTTCATATTCTGCTAGACAGAAGAATTCTCAGTAACTTCCTTGTGTTGTGTGTATTCAACTCACAGAGTTGAACGATCCTTTACACAGAGCAGACTTGAAACACTCTTTTTGTAGAATTTGCAAGTGGAGATTTCAGCCGCTTTGAGGTCAATGGTAGAAAAGGAAACTATCTTCATATAAAGACTAGACAGAATGATTCTCAGAAACTCATTTGTGATGTGTGCGTTCAACTCACAGAGTTTAACCTTTCTTTTCATAGAGCAGTTAGGAAACACTCTGTTTTTAAAGTCTGCAAGTGGATATTCAGACCTTTTTGAGGCCTTCGTTGGAAACGGGATTTCTTCATATGATGCTAGACAGAAGAATTCCCAGTAACTTCCTTGTGTTGTGTGTATTCAACTCACAGAGTTGAACTTTCATTTACACAGAGCAGATTTGAAACACTCTTTTTGTGGAATTTTCAAATGGAGATTTCAAGCGCTTTGAGGCCAAAGGCAGAAAAGGAAATATCTTCGTATAAAAACTAGACAGAATCATTCTCAGAAACTGCTCTGCGATGTGTGCGTTCAACTCTCAGAGTTTAACTTTTCTTTTCATTCAGCAGTTTGGAAACACTCTGTTTGTAAAGTCTGCACGTGGATATTTTGACCACTTAGAGGCCTTCGTTGGAAACGGGTTTTTTTCATGGAAGGCTAGACAGAAGAATTCTCAGTAACTTCCTTGTGTTGTGTGTATTCAACTCACAGAGTTGAACGATCCTTTACACAGAGCAGACTTGTAACACTCTTTTTGTGGAATTTGCAAGTGGAGATTTCAGCCGCTTTGAAGTCAAATGTAGAAAAGGAAATATCTTCCTTTAAAAACTAGACAGAATCATTCCCACAAAGTGCGTTGTGATGTGTTCGTTCAACTCACAGAGTTTAACCTTTCTGTTCATAGAGCAGTTAGGAAACACTCTGTGTGTAAAGTCTGCAAGTGGATATTCAGACCTCTTTGAGGCCTTCGTTGGAAACGGGATTTCTTCATATTCTGCTAGACAGAAGAATTCTCAGAAACTTCCTTGTGTTGTGTGTTTTCAACTCACAGAGTTCAACGATCCTTTACACAGAGCAGACTTGAAACACTCTTTTTGTGGAATTTGCAAGTGGAGATTTCAGCCGCTTTGAGGTCAATGGTAGAATAGGAAATATCTTCCTATAGAACCTAGACAGAATGATTCTCAGAAAATCTTTTGTGATGTGTGCGTTCAACTCACAGAGTTTAACTTTTCTTCTCATAGAGCAGTTAGGAAACACTCTGTTTGTAAAGTCTGCAAGTGGATATTCAGACCTCTTTGAGGCCTTCGTTGGAAACGGGATTTCTTCATATTTTGCTAGACAGAAGAATTCCCAGTAACTTCCTTGTGTTGTGTGTGTTCAACTCACAGAGTTGAACTTTCATTTACACAGAGCAGATTTGAAACACTCTTTTTGTGGAATTTGCAAGTGGAGATTTCAAGCGCTGTGAAGCCAAAGGCAGAAAAGGAAATATCTTCGTATAAAAACTAGACAGAAATCATTCTCAGAAACTGCTCTGCGATGTGTGCGTTCAACTCTCAGAGTTTAACTTTTCTTTTCATTCAGCAGTTTGGAAACACTCTGTTTGTAAAGTCTGCACGTGGATATTTTGACCACTTAGAGTCCTTCGTTGGAAACGGGTTTTTTTCATGTAAGGCTAGACAGAAGAATTCCCAGTAACTTCCCTTGTGTTGTGTACATTCAACTCACAGAGTTGAACGTTCCCTTAGACAGAGCAGATTTGAAACACTCTTTTTGTGCAATTGGCAAGTGGAGATTTCAAGCGCTTTAAGGTCAATGGCAGAAAAGGAAATATCTTCGTTTCAAAACTAGAGAGAATGATTCTCAGAAACTCCTTTGTGATGTGTGCGTTCAACACACAGAGTTTAACTTTTCTTTTCATAGAGCAGTTAGGAAACACTCTGTTTGTAAAGTCTGCAAGTGGATATTCAGACCTCCTTGACGCCTTCGTTGGAAACGGGATTTCTTCATATTCTGCTAGACAGAAGAATTCTCAGTAACTTCCTTGTGTTGTGTGTATTCAACTCACAGACTTGAACGATCCTTTACACAGAGCAGACTTGAAACACTCTTTTTGTGGAATTTGCAAGTGGAGATTTCAGCCGCTTTGAGGTCAATAGTAGAAAAGGAAATATCTTCGTAGAAAAACTAGACAGAATGATTCTCAGAAACTCCTTTGTGATGTGTGCGTTCAACTCACAGAGTTTAAACTTTCTTTTCATAGAGCAGTTAGGAAACACTCTGTTTGTAAAGTCTGCAAGTGGATATTCAGACCTCCTTGAGGCCTTCGTTGGAAACGGGATTTCTTCATATTATGCTAGACAGAAGAATTCTCAGTAACTTCCTTGTGTTCTGTGTATTCAACTGACAGAGTTGAACTTTCATTTAGAGAGAGCAGATTTGAAACACTGTTTTTGTGGAATTTGCAAGTGGAGATTTCAAGCGCTTTGGGGCCAAAGGCAGAAAAGGAAATATCTTCGTATAAAAACTAGACAGAATCATTCTCAGAAACTGCTCTGCGATGTGTGCGTTCAACTCTCAGAGTTTAACTTTTCTTTTCATTCAGCAGTTTGGAAACACTCTGTTTGTAAAGTCTGCACGTGGATATTTTGATCACTTAGAGGCCTTCGTTGGAAACGGGTTTTTTTCCTGTAAGGCTAGACAGAAGAATTACCAGTAACTTCCTTGTGTTGTGTACATTCAACTCACAGAGTTGAACGTTCCCTTAGACAGAGCAGATTTGAAACACTCTTTTTGTGCAATTGGCAAGTGGTGATTTCAGCCGCTTTGAGGTCAATGGTAGAAAAGGAAATATCTTCGTATAAAAACTAGACAGAATCATTCCCACAAACTGCGTTGTGATGTGTTCGTTCAACTCACAGAGTTTAACCTTTCTGTTCATAGAGCAGTTAGGAAACACTGTGTAAAGTCTGTTAGTGGATATTCTGACATCTTGTGGCCTTCGTTGGAAACGGGATTTCTTCATATTCTGCTAGACAGAAGAATTCTCAGTAACTTCCTTGTGTTGTGTGTATTCAACTCACAGAGTTGAACGATCCTTTACACAGAGCAGACTTGAAACACTCTTTTTGTGGAATTTGCAAGTGGAGATTTCAGCCACTTTGAGGTCAATGGTAGAAAAGGAAATATCTTCGTATAAAGACTAGACAGAATGATTCTCAGAAACTCCTTTGTGATGTGTACGTTCAACTCACAGAGTTTAACCTTTCTTTTCATAGAGCAGTGAGGAAACACTCTGTTTGTAAAGTCTGCAAGTGGATATTGAGACCTCTTTGAGGCCTTCGTTGGAAACGGGTTTTTTTCATATAAGGCTAGACAGAAGAATTCCCAGTAACTTCCTTGTGTTGTGTGTGTTCAACTCACAGGAGTTGAACTTTCATTTACCCAGAGCAGATTTGAAACACTCTTTTTGTGGAATTTGCAAGTGGAGATTTCAAGCGCTTTGAGGCCAAAGGCAGAAAAGGAAATATCTTCGTTTCAAAACTAGACAGAATCATTCTCAGAAACTGCTGCGTGATGTGTGCGTTCAACTCTCAGACTTTAACTTTTCTTTTCATTCAGCGGTTTGGAAACACTCTGTTTGTAAAGTCTGCATGTGGATATTTTGACCACTTAGAGGCCTTCGTTGGAAACGGGTTTTTTTCATGTAAGGCAAGACAGAAGAATTCCCAGTAACTTCCTTGTGTTGTGTACATTCAACTCACAGAGTTGAACGTTTCCTTAGACACAGCAGATTTGAAACACTGTTTTTGTGCAATTGGCAAGTGGTGATTTCAGCCGCTTTGAGGTCAATGGTATAAAAGGAAATATCTTCATATAAAAACTAGACAGAATGATTCTCAGAAACTCCTTTGTGATGTGTGCGTTCAACTCACAGAGTTTAACCTTTCTTTTCATAGAGCAGTTAGGAAACACTCTGTTTATAAAGTCTGCAAGTGGATATTCAGACCCCTTTGAGGCCTTCGTTGGAAACGGGATTTCTTCATATTATGCTAGACAGAAGAATTCTCAATAACTTCCTTGTGTTGTGTGTATTCAACTCACAGAGTTCAACGATCCTTTACACAGAGCAGACTTGAAACACTCTTGTTGTGGAATTTGCAAGTGGAGATTTCAGCCGCTTTGAGGTCAATGGTAGAATAGGAAATATCTTCCTATAAAAACTAGACAGAATGATTCTCAGAAACTGCTTTGTGATGTGTGTGTTCAACTCACAGAGTTTAACGTTTCTTTTCATAGAGCAGTTAGTAAACACTCTGTTTATAAAGTCTGCAAGTGGATATTCAGACCCCTTTGAGGCCTTCGTTGGAAACGGGATTTCTTCATATTATGCTAGACAGAAGAATTCTCAGTAACTTCCTTGTGTTGTGTGTATTCAACTGACAGAGTTAAACTTTCATTTAGAGAGAGCAGATTTGAAACACTGTTTTTGTGGAATTTGCAAGTGGAGATTTCAAGCGCTTTGGGGCCAAAGGCAGAAAAGGAAATATCTTCGTATAAAAACTAGACAGAATCATTCTCAGAAACTGCTCTGCGATGTGTGCGTTCAACTCTCAGAGTTTAACTTTTCTTTTCATTCAGCAGTTTGGAAACAGTCTGTTTGTAAAGTCTGCACGTGGATATTTTGACCACTTAGAGGCCTTCGTTGGAAACGGGTTTCTTTCATGTAAGGCTAGACAGAAGAATTCCCAGTAACTTCCTTGTGTTGTGTGCATTCAACTCACAGAGATGAACGTTCCCTTAGACAGAGCAGATTTGAAACACTCTATTTGTGCAATTTGCAAGTGTAGATTTCAAGCGCTTTAAGGTCAATGGCTGAAAAGGAAATATCTTCGTTTCAAAACTAGACAGAATCATTCCCACAGACTGCGTTGTGATGTGTTCGTTCAACTCACAGAGTTTAACCTTTCTTTTCATAGAGCAGTTAGGAAACACTCTGTTGGTAAATTCTGTAAGTGGATATTCTGACATCTTGTGGCCTCCGTTGGAAACGGGATCTCTTCATATTCTGCTAGACAGAAGAATTCTCAGTAACTTCCTTGTGTTGTGTGTATTCAACTCACAGAGTTGAACGATCCTTTACACAGAGCGGACTTGAAACACTCGTTTTGTGGAATTTGCAAGTGGAGATTCCAGCCGCGTTGAGGTCAATGGTAGAAAAGGAAATATCTTCGTATAAAAACTAGACAGAATGATTCTCAGAAACTCCTTTGTGATGTGTGGGTTCAACTCACAGAGTTTAACCTTTCTTTTCATAGAGCAGTTAGGAAACACTCTGTTTGTAAAGTCTGCATGTGGATATTTGGACTTCTTTGAGGCCTTCGTTGGAAACGGGTTTTTTTCATGTAAGGCTAGACAGAAGAATTCTCAGTAACTTCCTTGTGTTGTGTGTATTCAACTGACAGAGTTCAACTTTCATTTAGAGAGAGCAGATTTGAAACACTGTTTTTGTGGAATTTGCAAGTGGAGATTTCAAGCGCTTTGGGGCCAAAGGCAGAAAAGGAAATATCTTCGTATAAAAACTAGACAGAATCATTCTCAGAAACTGCTCTGCGATGTGTGCGTTCAACTCTCAGAGTTTAACTTTTCTTTTCATTCAGCAGTTTGGAAACACTCTGTTTGTAAAGTCTGCACGTGGATAACTTGACCACTTAGAGGCCTTCGTTGGAAACGGGTTTTTTTCCTGTAAGGCTAGACAGAAGAATTCCCAGTAACTTCCTTGTGTTGTGTACATTGAACTCACAGAGTTGAACGTTCCCTTAGACAGAGCAGATTTGAAACACTCTTTTTGTGCAATTGGCAAGTGGAGATTTCAAGCGCTTTAAGGTCAATGGCAGAAAACGAAATATCTTCGTTTCAAAACTAGACAGAATCATTCCCACAAACTGCGTTGTGATGTGTTCGTTCCACTCACAGAGTTTAACCTTTCTGTTCATAGAGCAGTTAGGAAACACTCTGTTTGTAAAGTCTGTAAGTGGATATTCTGACATCTTGTGGCCTTCGTTGGAAACGGGATTTCTTCATATTCTGCTAGACAGAAGAATTCTCAGTAACTTCCTTGTGTTGTGTTTATTCAACTCACAGAGTTGAACGATCCTTTACACAGAGCAGACTTGAAACACTCTTTTTGTGGAATTTGCAAGTGGAGATTTCAGCCGCTTTGAGGTCAATGGTAGAAAAGGAAATATCTTCGTAGAAAAACTAGACAGAATGATTCTCAGAAACTCCTTTGTGATGTGTGCGTTCAACTCACAGAGTTTAACCTTTCTTTTCATAGAGAAGTTAGGAAACACTCTGTTTGTAAAGTCTGCAAGTGGATATTCAGACCTCTTTGAGGCCTTCGTTGGAAACGGGATTTCTTCATATTCTGCTAGAGAGAAGAATTCTCAGTAACTTCCTTGTGTTGTGTGTATTCAACTGACAGAGTTGAACTTTCATTTAGAGAGAGCAGATTTGAAACACTGTTTTTGTGGAATTTGCAAGTGGAAATTTCAAGCGCTTTGGGGTCAAAGGCAGAAAAGGAAATATCTTCGTATAAAAACTAGACAGAATCATTCTCAGAAACTGGTGCGTGATGTGTGCGTTCAACTCTCAGAGTTTAACTTTTCTTTTCATTCAGCGGTTTGGAAACACTCTGTTTGTAAAGTCTGCACGTGGAAATTTTGACCACTTAGAGGCCTTCGTTGGAAACGGGTTTTTTTCATGTAAGGCTAGACAGAAGAATTCTCAGTAACTTCCTTGTGTTGTGTGTATTCAACTCACAGAGTTGAACGATCCTTTACACAGAGCAGACTTGGAACACTCTTTTTGTGGAATTTGCAAGTGGAGATTTCAGCCGCTTTGAAGTCAAATGTAGAAAAGGAAATATCTTCCTATAAAAACTAGACAGAATCATTCCCACAAACTGCGTTGTGATGTGTGCGTTCAACTCAAAGAGTTTAACCTTTCTTTTCATAGAGCAGTTAGGAAACACTCTGTTTGTAAATTCTGCAAGTGGATATTCAGACCTCCTTGAGGCCTTCGTTGGAAACGGGATTTCTTCATATTCTGCTAGACAGAGAATTCTCAGTAACTTCCTTGTGTTGTGTGTATTCAACTCACAGAGTTGAACGATCCTTTACACAGAGCAGACTTGAAACACTCTTTTTGTGGAATTTGCAAGTGGAGATTTCAGCCGCTTTGAGGTCAATGGTAGAAAAGGAAATATCTTCGTATAAAGACTAGACAGAATGATTCTCAGAAACTCCTTTGTGATGTTTGCGTTCAACTCACAGAGTTTAACTTTTCTTTTCATAGAGCAGTTAGGAAACACTCTGTTTGTAAAGTCTGCAAGTGGATATTCAGACCTCTTTGAGGCCTTCGTTGGAAACGGGATTTCTTCATATTATGCTAGACAGAAGAATTCTCAGTCACTTCCTTGTGTTGTGTGTATTCAACTGACAGAGTTGAACTTTCATTTAGAGAGAGCAGATTTGAAACACTGTTTTTGTGGAATTTGCAAGTGGAGATTTCAAGCGCTTTGGGGCCAAAGGCAGAAAAGGATATATCTTCGTATAAAAACTAGACAGAATGATTCTCAGAAACTCCTTTGTGATGTGTGCGTTCAACTCACAGAGTTTAACCTTTCTTTTCATAGAGCAGTTAGGAAACACTCTGTAAAGTCTGCAAGTGGATATTCAGACCTCCTTGAGGCCTTCTTTGGAAACCGGATTTCTTCATATTCTGCTATACAGAAGAATTCTCAGAAACTTCCTTGTGTTGTGTGTTTTCAACTCACAGAGTTCAACGATCCTTTACACAGAGCAGACTTGAAACACTCTTTTTGTGGAATTTGCAAGTGGAGAATTCAGCCGCTTTGAGGTCAATGGTAGAATAGGAAATATCTTCCTATAGAAACTAGACAGAATGATTCTCAGAAACTCCTTTGTGATGTGTGCGTTCAACTCACAGAGTTTAACCTTTCTTTTCATAGAGCAGTTAGGAAACACTCTGTTTGTTAAGTCTGCAAGTGGATATTCAGACCTCCTTGAGGCCTTCGTTGGAAACGGGATTTCTTCATATTATGCTAGACAGAAGAATTCTCAGTAAGTTCCTTGTGTTGTGTGTATTCAACTCACAGAGTTGAATGATCCTTTACACAGAGCAGACTTGAAACACTCTTTTTGTGGAATTTGCAAGTGGAGATTTCATCCGATTTGAGGTCAATGGTAGAATAGGAAATATCTTCCTATAGAAACTAGACAGAATGATTCTCAGAAACTCCTTTGTGATGTGTGTGTTCAACTCACAGAGTTTAACCTTTCTTTTCATAGAGGAGTTAGGAAACACTCTGTTTGTAAAGTCTGCAAGTGGATATTCAGACCTCTTTGAGGCCTTCGTTGGAAACGGGTTTTTTTCATGTAAGGCTAGACAGAAGAATTCCCAGTAACTTCCTTGTGTTGTGTGTATTCAACTCACAGAGTTGAACTTTCATTTACACAGAGCAGATTTGAAACACTCTTTTTGTGGAATTTGCAAATGGAGATTTCAAGCCCTTTCAGGCCAAAGGTAGAAAAGGAAATATCTTCGTATAAAAACTAGACAGAATCATTCTCAGAAACTGCTGCGTGATGTGTGCGTTCAACTCTCAGACTTTAACTTTTCTTTTCATTCAGCCGTTTGGAAACACTCTGTTTGTAAAGTCTGCACGTGGATATTTTGACCACTTAGAGGCCTTCGTTGGAAACGGGTTTTTTTCATGTAAGGCTAGACAGAAGAATTCCCAGTAACTTCCTTGTGTTGTGTGCATTCAACTCACAGAGTTGAACGTTCCCTTAGACAGAGCAGATTTGAAACACTCTATTTGTGCAATTTGCAAGTGTAGATTTCAAGCGCTTTAAGGTCAATGGCAGAAAAGGAAATATCTTCGTTTCAAAACTAGACAGAAATCATTCCCACAAACTGCGTTGTGATGTGTTCGTTCAACTCACAGAGTTTAACCTTTCTGTTCATAGAGCAGTTAGGAAACACTCTGTTTGTAAAGTCTGTAAGTGGATATTCTGACATCTTGTGGCCTTCGTTGGAAACGGGATTTCTTCATATTCTGCTAGACAGAAGAATTCTCAGTAACTTCCTTGTGTTGTGTTTATTCAACTCACAGAGTTGAATGATCCTTTACACAGAGCAGACTTGAAACACTCTTTTTGTGGAATTTGCAAGTGGAGATTTCAGCCGCTTTGAGGTCAATGGTAGAAAAGTAAATATCTTCCTATAAAGACTAGACAGAATGATTCTCAGAAACTCCTTTGTGATGTGTGCGTTGAACTCACAGAGTTTAACCTTTCTTTTCATAGAGCAGTTAGGAAACACTCTGTTTGTAAAGTCTGCAAGTGGATATTCAGACATCTTTGAGGCTTTCGTTGGAAACGGGAGTTCATCATATTCTGCTAGACAGAAGAATTCTCAGTAACTGCCTTGTGTTGTGTGTATTCAACTCACAGAGTTGAACGATCCTTTACACAGAGCAGACTTGAAACACTCTTTTTGTGGAATATGCAAGTGGAGATTTCAGCCGCTTTGAGGTCAATGGTAGAATAGGAAATATCTTCCTATAGAAACTAGACAGAATCATTCTCAGAAACTGCTGCGTGATGTGTGCGTTCAACTCTCAGAGTTTAACTTTTCTTTTCATTCAGCGGTTTGGAAACACTCTGTTTGTAAAGTCTGCACGTGGAAATTTTGACCACTTAGAGGCCTTCGTTGGAAACGGGATTTTTTCATGTAAGGCTATACAGAAGAATTCCCAGTAACTTCCTTGTGTTGTGTGCATTCAACTCACAGAGTTGAACGTTCCCTTAGACAGAGCAGATTTGAAACACTATATTTGTGTAATTTGCAAGTGTAGATTTCAAGCGCTTTAAGGTCAACGGCAGAAAAGGAAATATCTTCGTTTCAAAACTAGACAGAATCATTCCCACAAACTGCGTTGTGATGTGTTCGTTCAACTCACAGAGTTTAACCTTTCTTTTCATAGAGCAGTTAGGAAACAGTCTGTTTGTCAATTCTGTAACTGGATATTCTGACATCTTGTGGCCTTCGTTGGAAACGGGATTTCTTCATATTCTGCTAGACAGAAGAATTCTCAGAAACTTCCTTGTGTTGTGTGTATTCAACTCACAGAGTTGAACGATCCTTTACTCTGAGCAGGCTTGAAACACTCCTTTTGTGGAACTTGCAATTGGAGATTTCAGCCGCTTTGAGGTCAATGGTAGAATAGGAAATATCTTCCTATAGAAACTAGATAGAATGATTCTCAGAAACTCCTTTGTGATGTGTGTGTTCAACTCACAGAGTTTAACCTTTCTTTTCATAGAGCAGTTAGGAAACACTCTGTTTGTAAAGTCTGCAAGTGGATATTCAGACCCCTTTGAGGCCTTCGTTGGAAACGGGATTTCTTCATATTCTGCTAGACAGAAGAATTCTCAGTAACTTCCTTGTGTTGTGTGTATTCAACTGACAGAGTTGAACTTTCATTTAGAGAGAGCAGATTTGTAACACTGTTTTTGTGGAATTTGCAAGTGGAGATTTCAAGCGCTTTGGGGCCAAAGGCAGAAAAGGAAATATCTTCGTATAAAAACTAGACAGAATCATTCTCAGAAACTGCTGCGTGATGTGTGCGTTCAACTCTCAGAGTTTAACTTTTCTTTTCATTCAGCGGTTTCGAAACACTCTGTTTGTAAAGTCTGCACGTGGATATTTTGACCACTTAGAGGCCTTCGTTGGAAACGAGTTTTTTTCATGTAAGGCTAGACAGAAGAATTCCCAGTAACTTCCTTGTGTTGTGTGCATTCAACTCACAGGAGTTGAACGTTCCCTTAGACAGAGCAGATTTGAAACACTCTATTTGTGCAATTTGCAAGTGTAGATTTCAAGCGCTTTAAGGTCAATGGCAGAAAAGGAAATACCTTCGTTTCAAAACTAGACAGAATCATTCCCACAAACTGCGTTGTGATGTGTTCGTTCAACTCACAGAGTTTAACTTTTCTTTTCATAGAGCAGTTAGGAAACACTCTGTTTGTAAAGTCTGCAAGTGGATATTCAGACCTCCTTGAGGCCTTCGTTGGAAACGGGATTTCTTCATATTCTGCTAGACAGAAGAATTCTCAGTAACTTCCTTGTGTTGTGTGCATTCAACTCACAGATTTGAACGATCCTTTACACAGAGCAGACTTAAAACACACTTTTTGTGGAATTTGCAAGTGGAGATTTCAGCCGCTTTGAGGTCAATAGTAGAAAAGGAAATATCTTCGTAGAAAAACTAGACAGAATGATTCTCAGAAACTCCTTTGTGATGTGTGTGTTCAACCTCACAGAGTTTAACCTTTCTTTTCATAGAGCAGTTAGTAAACACTCTGTTTATAAAGTCTGCAAGTGGATATTCAGACCCCTTTGAGGCCTTCGTTGGAAACGGGATTTCTTCATATTATGCTAGACAGAAGAATTCTCAGTAACTTCCTTGTGTTGTGTGTATTCAACGGACAGAGTTGAACTTTCATTTAGAGAGAGCAGATTTGAAACACTGTTTTTGTGGAATTTGCAAGTGGAGATTTCAAGCACTTTGGGGCCAAAGGCAGAAAAGGAAATATCTTCGTATAAAAACTAGACAGAATCATTCTCAGAAACTGCTGCGTGGTGTGTGCGTTCAAATCTCAGAGTTTAACTTTTCTTTTCATTCAGCGGTTTGGAAACACTCTGTTTGTAAAGTCTACACGTGGATATTTTGACCACTTAGAGGCCTTCGTTGGAAACTGGTTTTCTTCATGTAAGGCTAGACAGAAGAATTCCCAGTAACTTCCTTGTGTTGTGTACATTCAACTCACAGAGTTGAACGTTCCCTTAGACAGAGCAGATTTGAAACACACTTTTTGTGCAATTGGCAAGTGGTGATTTCAGCCGCTTTGAGGTCAATGGTAGAAAAGGAAATATCTTCGTATAAAAACTAGACAGAATCATTCCCACAAACTGCGTTGTGATGTGCTCGTTCAACTCACAGAGTTTAACCTTTCTGTTCATAGAGCAGTTAGGAAACACTCTGTTTGTAAAGTCTGAAAGTGGATAATCTGACATCTTGTGGCCTTCGTTGGAAACGGGATTTCTTCATATTCTGCTAGACAGAAGAATTCTCAGTAACTTCCTTGTGTTGTGTGTATTCAACTCACAGAGTTGAAGGATCCTTTACAGAGAGCAGGCTTGAAACACTCTTTTTGTCGAATTTGAAAGTGGAGATTTCAGCCGCTTTGAGGTCAATGGTAGAATAGGAAATATCTTCTAATAGAAACTAGACAGAATGATTCTCAGAAACTCCTTTGTGATGTGTGCGTTCAACTCACAGAGTTTAACCTTTCTTTTCATGGAGCAGTTAGGAAACACTCTGTTTGTAAAGTCTGCAAGTGGATATTCAGACCTCCTAGAGGCCTTCTTTGGAAACAGGCTTTCTTCATATTATGCTAGACAGAAGAATTCCCAGTAACTTCCTTGTGTTGTGTGTGTTCAACTCACAGAGTTGAACTTTCTTTTACACAGAGCAGATTTGAAACACTCTTTTTGTGGAATTTGCAAATGGAGATTTCAAGCGCTTTGAGGCCAAAGGCAGAAAAGGAAATATCTTCGTATAAAAACTAGACAGAATCATTCTCAGAAACTGCTCTGCGATGTGTGCGTTCAACTCTCAGAGTTTAACTTTTCTTTTCATTCAGCAGTTTGGAAACACTCTGTTTGTAAAGTCTGCACGTGGATACTTTGACCACTTAGAGACCTTCGTTGGAAACGGGTTTTTTTCCTGTAAGGCTAGACAGAAGAATTCCCAGTAACTTCCTTGTGTTGTGTACATTCAACTCACAGAGTTGAACGTTCCCTTAGACAGAGCAGATTTGAAACACTCTTTTTGTGCAATTGGCAAATGGAGATTTCAAGCGCTTTAAGTTCAATGGCAGAAAAGGAAATATCTTCGTTTCAAAACTAGACAGAATCATTTCCACATACTGCGATGTGATGTGTTCGTTCAACTCACAGAATTTAACCTTTCTGTTCCTAGAGCAGTTAGGAAACACTCTGTTTGTAAAGACTGTAAGTGGATATTATGACATCATGTGGCCTTCGTTGGAAACGGGATTTCTTCATATTCTGCTGGACAGAAGAATTCTCAGTAACTTCCTTGTGTTGTGTGTATTTAACTCACAGAGTTGAATGATCCTTTACACAGAGCAGACTTGAAACACTCTTTTTGTGGAAATTGCAAGTGGAGATTTCAGCCGCTTTGAGGTCAATGGTAGAAAAGTAAATATCTTCGTATAAAGACTAGACAGAATGATTCTCAGAAACTCCTTTGTGATGTGTGCGTTCAACTCACAGAGTTTAACCTTTCTTTTCATAGAGCAGTTAGGAAACACTCTGTTTGTAAAGTCTGCAAGTGGATATTCAGACCTCTTTGAGGCCTTCGTTGGAAACGGGTTTTTTTCATATAAGGCTACACAGAAGAATTCTCAGTAACTTCCTTGTGTTGTGTGTATTCAACTGACAGAGTTGAACTATCATTTAGAGAGAGCAGATTTGAAACACTGTTTTTGTGGAATTTGCAAGTGGAGATTTCAAGCGCTTTGGGGCCAAAGGCAGAAAAGGAAATATCTTCGTATAAAAACTACACAGAATCATTCTCAGAAACTGCTGCGTGATGTGTGCGTTCAACTCTCAGAGTTTAACTTTTCTTTTCATTCAGCGGTTTGGAAACACTCTGTTTGTAAAGTCTGCACGTGGATATTTTGACCACTTAGAGGCCTTCGTTGGAAACGGCTTTTTTTCATGTAAGGCTAGACAGAAGAATTCCCAGTAACTTCCTTGTGTTGTGTGCATTCAACTCACAGAGTTGAACGTTCCCTTAGACAGAGCAGATTTGAAACACTCTATTTGTGCAATTTGCAAGTGTAGTTTTCAAGCTCTTTAAGGTCAACGGCAGAAAAGGAAATATCTTCGTTTCAAAACTAGACAGAATGATTCTCAGAAACTCCTTTGTGATGTGTGCGTTCAACTCACAGAGTTTAACCTTTCTTTTCATAGAGCAGTTAGGAAACACTCTGTTTGTAAAGTCTGCATGTGGATATTCAGACCTCTTTGAGGCCTTCGTTGGAAACGGGGTTTCTTCATATTATGCTAGACAGAAGAATTCTCAGTAACTTCCTTGTGTTGTGTGTATTCAACTCACAGAGTTGAACGATCCTTTACACAGAGCAGACTGGAAACACTCTTTTTGTGGAAATTGCAAGTGGAGATTTCAGCCGCTTTGAGGTCAATGGTAGAAAAGGAAATATCTTCGTATAAAAACTAGACAGAATGATTCTCAGAAACTCCTTTGTGATGTGTGCGTTCAAATCACAGAGTTTAACTTTTCTTTTCATATAGCAGTTAGGAAACACTCTGTTTGTAAAGTCTGCAAGTGGATATTCAGACCTCTTTGAGGCCTTCGTTGGAAACGGGATTTCTTCATATTATGCTAGACAGAAGAATTGTCAGTAACTTCCTTGTGTTGTGTGTATTCAACTGACAGAGTTGAACTTTCATTTCGAGAGAGCAGATTTGAAACACTGTTTTTGTGGAATTTGCAAGTGGAGATTTCAAGCGCTTTGGGGCCAAAGGCAGAAAAGGAAATATCTTCGTATAAAAACTAGACAGAATCATTCTCAGAAACTGCTGTGTGATGTGTGCGTTCAACTCTCAGAGTTTAACTTTTCTTTTCATTCAGCGGTTTGGAAACACTCTGTTTGTAAAGTCTGCACGTGGATATTTTGACCACTTAGAGGCCTTCGTTGGAAACGGGTTTTTTTCATGTAAGGCTAGACAGAAGAATTCCCAGTAACTTCCTTGTGTTGTGTGCATTCAACTCACAGAGTTGAACGTTCCCTTAGACAGAGCAGATTTGAAACACTCTATTTGTGCAATTTGCAAGTGTAGATTTCAAGCGCTTTAAGGTCAATGGCAGAAAAGGAAATATCTTCGTTTTAAAACTAGACAGAATCATTCCCACAAACTGCGTTGTGATGTGTTCGTTCAACTCACAGAGTTTAACCTTTCTTTTCATAGAGCAGTTAGGAAACAGTCTGTTTGTAAATTCTGTAAGTGGATATTCTGACATCTTGTGACCTTCGTTGGAAACGGGATTTCTTCATATTCTGCTAGACAGAAGAGTTCTCAGTAACTTCCTTCTGTTGTGTGTATTCAACTCACAGAGTTGAACGATCCTTTACACAGAGCAGACTTGAAACACTCTTTTTGTGGAATTTGCAAGTGGAGATTTCAGCCGCTTTTAGGTCAATAGTAGAAAAGGAAATATCTTCGTAGAAAAACTAGACAGAATGATTCTCAGAAACTCCTTTGTGATGTGTGCGTTCAACTCACAGAGTTCAACCTTTCTTTTCATAGAGCAGTTGGGAAACACTCTGTTTGTAAAGTCTGCAAGTGGATATTCAGACTTCTTTGAGGCCTTCTTTGGAAGCGGGATTTCTTCATATTCTGCTAGACAGAAGAATTCTCAGTAACTTCCTTGTGTTGTGTGTATTCAACTCACAGAGTTGAACTTTCATTTAGAGAGAGCAGATTTGAAGCACTGTTTTTGTGGAATTTGCAAGTGGAGACTTCAAGCGCTTTGGGGCCAAAGGCAGAAAAGGAAATACCTTCGTATAAAAACTAGACAGAATCATTCTCAGAAACTGCTGCGTGATGTGTGCGTTCAACTCTCAGAGTTTAAGTTTTCTTTTCATTCAGCGGTTTGGAAACACTCTGTTTGTAAAGTCTGCACGTGGATATTTTGACCACTTAGAGGCCTTCGTTGGAAACGGGTTTTTTCATGTAAGGCTAGACAGAAGAATTCCCAGTAACTTCCTTGTGTTGTGTGCATTCAACTCACAGAGTGGAACGTTCCCTTAGACAGAGCAGATTTGAAACACTCTATTTGTGCAATTTGCAAGTGTAGATTTCAAGCGCTTTAAGGTCAACGGCAGAAAAGGAAATATCTTCTTTTCAAAACTAGACAGAATCATTCCCACAAACTGCGTTGTGACGTGTTCGTTCAACTCACAGAGTTTAACCTTTCTGTTCATAGAGGAGTTAGGAAACACTCTGTTTGTAAAGTCTGTAAGTGGATATTCTGACATCTTGTGGCCTTCGTTGGAAACGGGATTTCTTTATATTCTGCTAGACAGAAGAATTCTCAGTAACTTCCTTGTGTTGTGTGTATTCAACTCACAGAGTTGAACGATCCTTTACACAGAGCAGACTTGTAACACTCTTTTTGTGGAATTTGCATGTGGAGATTTCAGCCACTTTGAAGTCAAAGGTAGAAAAGGAAATAACTTCCTATAAAAACTAGACAGAATGATTCTCAGAAACTCCTTTGTGATGTGTGCATTCAACTCACAGAGTTTAACTTTTCTTTTCATAGAGCAGTTGGGAAACACTCTGTTTGTAAAGTCTGCAACTGGATATTCAGACCTCTTTGAGGCCTTCGTTGGAAACGGGATTTCTTCATATTCTGCTAGACAGAAGAATTCCCAGTAACTTCATTGTGTTGTGTGTGTTCAACTCACAGAGTTGAACTTCCATTTACACAGAGCAGATTTGAAACACTCTTTTTGTGGAATTTGCAAGTGGAGATTTCAAGCGATTTGAGGCCAAAGGCAGAAAAGGAAATATACTTCGTTTCAAAACTAGACAGAATCATTCTCAGAAACTGCTCTGCGATGTGTGCACGTTCAACTCTCAGAGTTTAACTTTTCTTTTCATTCAGCAGTTTGGAAACACTCTGTTTGTAAAGTCTGCACGTGGATATTTTGACCACTTAGAGGCCTTCGTTGGAAATGGGTTTTTTTTCCTGTAAGGCTAGACAGAAGAATTCCCAGTAACTTCCTTGTGTTGTGTGCATTCAACTCACAGCAGTTGAACGTTCCCTTAGACAGAGCAGATTTGAAACACTCTATTTGTGCAATTTGCAAGTGTAGATTTCAAGCGCTTTAAGGTCAACGGCAGAAAAGGAAATATCTTCGTTTCAAAACTAGACAGAATCATTCCCACAAACTGCGTTGTGATGTGTGCGTTCAACTCAAAGAGTTTAACCTTTCTTTTCATAGAGCAGTTAGGAAACACTCTGTTTGTAAAGTCTGCAAGTGGATATTCAGACCTCCTTGAGGCCTTCGTTGGAAACGGGATTTCTTCATATTCTGCTAGACAGGAATAATTCTCAGTAACTTCCTTGTGTTGTGTGTATTCAACTCACAGAGTTGAAAGATCCTTTACAGAGAGCAGGCTTGAAACACTCTTTTTGTCGAATTTGCAAGTGGAGATTTCAGCCGCTTTGAGGTCAATGGTAGAATAGGAAATATCTTCTTATAGAAACTAGACAGAATGATTCTCAGAAAATCCTTTGTGATGTGTGCGTTCAACTCACAGAGTTTAACCTTTCTTTTCATAGAGCAGTTAGGAAACACTCTGTTTGTAAAGTCTGCAAGTAGATATTCAGACATTCTTTGAGGCCTTCGTTGGAAACGGGATTTCTTCATGTTCTGCTAGAAAGAAGAATTCTCAGTAACTTCCTTGTGTTGTGTGTATTCAACTCACAGAGTTGAACGATCCTTTACACAGAGCAGACTTGAAACACTCTTTTTGTGGAATTTGCAAGTGGAGATTTCAACCGCTTTGAGGTCAATGGTAGAAAAGTAAATATCTTCGTATAAAAACTAGACAGAGAATCATTCTCAGTAAACTGCTGCGTGATGTGTGCGTTCAACTCTCAGAGTTTAACTTTTCTTTTCATTCAGCGGTTTGGAAACACTCTGTTTGTAAAGTCTGCACGTGGATATTTTGACCACTTAGAGGCCTTCGTTGGAAACGGGTTTTTTTCATGTAAGGCTAGACAGAAGAATTCCCAGTAACTTCCTTGTGTTGTGTGCTTTCAACTCACAGAGTTGAACGTTCCCTTAGACAGAGCAGATTTGAAACACTCTATTTGTGCAATTTGCAAGTGTAGATTTCAAGCGCTTTAAGGTCAATGGCAGAAAAGGAAATATCTTCGTTTCAAAACTAGAAAGAATCATTCCCACAAACTGCGTTGTGATGTGTTCGTTCAACTCACAGAGTTTAACCTTTCTGTTCATAGAGCAGTTAGGAAACACTCTGTAAAGTCTGTAAGTGGATATTCTGACATCTTGTGGCCTTCGTTGGAAACGGGATTTCTTCATATTCTGCTAGACAGAATAATTCTCAATAACTTCCTTGTGTTGTGTGTATTCAACTCACAGAGTTGAAGGATCCTTTACAGAGAGCAGGCTTGAAACACTCTTTTTGTCGAATTTGCAAGTGGAGATTTCAGCCGCTTTGAGGTCAATGGTAGAATAGGAAATGTCTTCTTATAGAAACTAGACAAAATGATTCTCAGAAACTCCTTTGTGATGTGGGCGTTCAACTCACAGAGTTTAACCTTTCTTTTCATAGAGCAGTTAGGAAACACTCTGTTTGTAAGTCTGCACGTGGATATTTGGACTTCTTTGAGGCCTTCGTTGGAAACGGGTTTTTTTCATGTAAGGCTAGACAGAAGAATTCCCAGTAACTTCCTTGTGTTGTGTGTGTTCTACTCACAGAGTTGAACTTTGATTTACACAGAGCAGATTTGAAACACTCTTTTTGTGGAATTTGCAAGTGGAGATTTCAAGCGCTTTGAGGCCAAAGGCAGAAAAAGAAATATCTTCGTATAAAAACTAGACAGAATCATTCTCAGAAACTGCTCTGCGATGTGTGCGTTCAACTCTCAGAGTTTAACTTTTCTTTTCATTCAGCAGTTTGGAAAAACTCTGTTTGTAAAGTCTGCACGTGGATATTTTGACCACTTAGAGGCCTTCGTTGGAAACGGGTTTCTTTCCTGTAAGGCTACACAGAAGAATTCCCAGTAACTTCTTGTGTTGTGTGCATTCAACTCACAGAGTTGAACGTTCCCTTAGACAGAGCAGATTTGAAACACTCTATTTGTGCAATTTGCAAGTGTAGATTTCAAGCGCTTTAAGGTCAACGGCAGAAAAGGAAATATCTTCGTTTCAAAACTAGACAGAATCATTCCCACAAACTGCGTTGTGATGGGTTCGTTCAACTCACAGAGTTTAACCTTTCTGTTCATAGAGCAGTTAGGAAACACTCTGTTTGTAAAGTCTGTAAGTGGATATTCTGACATCTTGTGGCCTTCGTTGGAAACGGGATTTCTTCATATTCTGCTAGACAGAACAATTCTCAGTAACTTCCTTGTGTTGTGTGTATTCAACTCACAGAGTTGAACGATCCTTTACACAGAGCAGACTTGAAACACTCTTTTTGTGGAATTTGCAAGTGGAGATTTCAGCCGCTTTGAGTTCAATGGTAGAATAGGAAATATCTTCCTATAGAAACTAGACAGAATGATTCTCAGAAACTCCTTTGTGATGTGTGCCTTCAACTCACAGAGTTTAACCTTTCTTTTCATAGAGCAGTTAGGAAACACTCTGTTTGTAAAGTCTGCAAGTGGATATTCAGACCTCTTTGAGACCTTCGTTGGAAACGGGATTTCTTCATATTCTGCTAGACAGAATCATTCTCAGAAACTGCTCTGCGATGTGTGCGTTCAACTCTCAGAGTTTAACTTTTCTTTTCATTCAGCAGTTTGGAAACACTCTGTTTGTAAAGTCTGCACGTGGATATTTTGACCACTTAGAGGCCTTCGTTGGAAACGGGTTTTTTTCCTTTAAGGCTAGAGAGAAAAATTCCCAGTAACTTCCTTGTGTTGTGTGTATTCAACTCACAGAGTTGAACGTTCCCTTTGACAGAGCAGATTTGAAACACTCTTTTTCTGCAATTTGGAAGTGTAGATTTGAAGCGCTTTAAGGTCAATGGCAGAAAAGGAAATATCTTCGTTTCAAAACTAGACAGAACGATTCTCAGAAACTCCTTTGTGATGTGTGCGTTCAACTCACAGAGTTTAACCTTTCTTTTCATAGAGCAGTTAGGAAACACTCTGTTTGTAAAGTCTGTAAGTGGATATTCAGACCTGCTTTGAGGCCTTCGTTGGAAACGGGATTTCTTCATATTATGCTAGACAGAAGAATTCTCAGCAACTTCCTTGTGTTGTGTGTATTCAACTCAAGGAGTTGAACGATCCTTTACACAGAGCAGACTTGAAACACTCTTTTTGTGGAATTTGTAAGTGGAGATTTCAGCCGCTTTGAGGTTAATGGTAGAAAATGAAATATATTCGTATAGAAACTAGACAGAATGATTCTCAGAAACTCCTTTGTGATGTGTGCGTTCAACTCACAGAGTTTAACCTTTCTTTTCATAGAGCAGTTAGGAAACACTCTGTTTGTAATGTCTGCAAGTGGATATTCAGACATCTTTGAGGCTTTCGTTGGAAACGGGATTTCTTCATATTCTGCTATACAGAAGAATTCCCAGTAACTTCCTTGTGTTGTGTGTGTTCAACTCACCGAGTTGAACTTTCATTTACACAGAGCAGATTTGAAACACTCTTTTTGTGGTATTTGCAAGTGGAGATTTCAAGCGCTTTGAGGCCAAAGGCAGAAAAGGAAATATCTTCGTTTCAAAACTAGACAGAATCATTCTCAGAAACTGCTCTGCGATGTGTGCGTTCAACTCTCAGAGTTTAACTTTTCTTTTCATTCAGCAGTTTGGAAACACTCTGTTTGTAAAGTCTGCACGTGGATATTTTGACCACTTAGAGGCCTTCGTTGGAAAAGGGCTTTTCCCTGTAAGGCTAGACAGAAGAATTCCCAGTAACTTCCTTGTGTTGTGTGCATTCAACTCACAGAGTTGAACGTTCCCTTAGACAGAGCAGGTTTGAAACACTCTATTTGTGCAATTTGCAAGTGTAGATTTCAAGCGCATTAAGGTCAATGGCAGAAAAGGAAATATCTTCGTTTCAAAACTAGACAGAATCATTCCCACAAACAGCGTTGTGATGTGTTCGTTCAACTCACAGAGTTTAACCTTTCTTTTCATAGAGCAGTTAGGAAACAGTCTGTTTGTCAATTCTGTAAGTGGATATTCTGACATCTTGTGGCCTTCGTTGGAAACGGGATTTCTTCATATTCTGCTAGACAGAAGAAATCTCAGTAACTTCCTTGTGTTGTGTGTATTCAACTCACACAGTTGAACGATCCTTTTCAGAGAGCAGACTTGAAACACTCTTTTTGTGGAATTTGCAAGTGGAGATTTCAGCCGCTTTGAGGTCAATGGTAGAAAAGGAAATATCTTCGTATAAAGACTAGACAGAATGATTCTCAGAAACTCCTTTGTGATGTGTGTGTTCAACTCACAGAGTTTAACCTTTCTTTTCATACAGCAGTTAGGAAACACTCTGTTTGTAAATTCTGCAAGTGGATATTTTGACCGCTTTGAGGCCTTCGTTGGAAACAAGTTTTTTTCATGTAAGGCTAGACAGAAGAATTCTCAGTAACTGCCTTGTGTTGTGTGTATTCAACTCACAGAGTTGAACGATCCTTTACACAGAGCAGACTTGAAACACTCTTTTTGTGGAATTTGCAAGTGGAGATTTCAGCCGCTTTGAGGTCAATGGTAGAATAGGAAATATCTTCCTATAGAAACTAGAGAGAATCATTCTCAGAAACTGCTCTGCGATGTGTGCGTTCAACTCTCAGAGTTTTACTTTTCTTTTCATTCAGCAGTTTGGAAACACTCTGTTTGTAAAGTCTGCACGTGGATATTTTGACCATTTAGAGGCCTTCGTTGGAAACGGGTTTTTTTCCTGTAAGGCTAGACAGAAGAATTCTCAGTAACTTCCTTGTGTTGTGTGTATTCAACTCACACAGTTGAACGATCCTTTACACAGAGCAGACTTGTAACACTCTTTTTGTGGAATTTGCAAGTGGAGATTTCAGCCGCTTTGAAGTCAAATGTAGAAAAGGAAATATCTTCCTATAAAAACTAGACATAGTGATTCTCAGAAACTCCTTTGTGATGTCTGCGTTCAACTCACAGAGTTTAACCTTTCTTTTCATAGAGCAGTTAGGAAACACTCTGTTTGTAAAGTCTGCAAGTGGATATAGAGACCTCCTTTAGGCCTTCGTTGGAAATGGGATTTCTTCATATTCTGCTATACAGAAGAATTCTCAGAAACTTCCCTTGTGTTGTGTGTATTCAACTCACAGAGTTGAACGATCGTTTACACAGAGCAGACTTGAGACACTCTTTTTGTGGAATTTGTAAGTGGAGATTTCAGCCGCTTTGAGGTCAATGGTAGAAAAGGAAATATCTTCATATAAAAACTAGACAGAATGATTCTCAGAAACTTCTTTGTGATGTGTGCGTTCAACTCACAGAGTTTAACCTTTCTTTTCATAGAGCAGTTAGGAAACACTCTGTTTGTAAACTCTGCAAGTCGATATTCAGACCTCTTTGAGGCCTTCGTTGGAAACGGGATTTCTTCATACTATGCTAGACAGAAGAATTCCCAGTAACTTCCTTTTGTTGTGTGTGTTCAACTCACAGAGTTGAACTTTCATTTACACAGAGCAGATTTGAAACACTCTTTTTGTGAAATTTGCAAGTGGAGATTTCAAGCGCTTTGAGGCCAAAGGCAGAAAAGGAAATATCTTCGTTTCAAAACTAGACAGAATCATTCTCAGAAACTGCTGCGTGATGTGTGCGTTCAACTCTCAGAGTTTAACTTTTCTTTTCATTCAGCGGTTTGGAAACACTCTGTTTGTAAAGTCTGCACGTGGAAATTTTGACCACTTAGAGGCCTTCATTGGAAACGGGTTTTTTTCATGTAAGGCTAGACAGAAGAATTCCCAGTAACTTCCTTGTGTTGTGTGCATTCAACTCACAGAGTTGAACGTTCCCTTAGACAGAGCAGATTTGAAACAATCTATTTGTGCAATTTGCAAGTGTAGATTTCAAGCGCTTTAAGGTCAATGGCAGAAAAGGAAATATCTTCGTTTCAAAACTAGACAGAATGATTCCCACAAACTGCGTTGTGATGTGTTCGTTCAACTCACAGAGTTTAACCTTTCTGTTCATAGAGCAGTTAGGAAACACTCTGTTTGTAAAGTCTGTAAGTGGATATTCTGACATCTTGTGGCCTTCGTTGGAAACGGGATTTCTTCATATTATGCTAGACAGAAGAATTCTCAGTAACTTCCGCGTGTTGTGTGTATTCAACTCACAGAGTTGAACGATCCTTTACACAGAGCAGACTTGAAACACTCTTTTTGTGGAATTTGCCAGTGGAGATTTCAGCCGCTTTGAGGTCAATGGTAGAAAAGGAAATATCTTCCTGTAAAAACTAGACAGAATGATTCTCAGAAACTCCTTCGTGATGTGTGCGTTGAACTCACAGAGTTTAACCTTTCTTTTCATAGAGCAGTTAGGAAACACTCTGTTTGTAAAGTCTGCAAGTGGATATTCAGACCTCTTTGAGGCGTTCGTTGGAAACGGGTTTTTTTCATATAAGGCTAGAGAGAAGAATTCTCAGTAACTTCCATGTGTTGTGAGTATTCAACTCACAGAGTTGAACGATCCTTTACACAGAGCAGACTTGTAACAATCATTTTGTGGAATTTGCAATTGGAGATTTCAGCCGCTTTGAAGTCAAAGGTAGAAAAGGAAATATCTTCGTATAAAAACTAGACAGAATCATTCTCAGAAACTGCTGCGTGATGTGTGCGTTCAACTTCTCAGAGTTTAACTTTGCTTTTCATTCAGCGGTTTGGAAACACTCTGTTTGTAAAGTCTGCACGTGGATATTTTGACCACTTAGTGGCCTTCGTTGGAAACGGGTTTTTTTCATGTAAGGCTAGACAGAAGAATTCCCAGTAACTTCCTTGTGTTGTGTGCATTCAACTCACAGAGATGAACGTTCCCTTAGACAGAGCAGATTTGAAACACTCTATTTGTGCAATTTGCAAGTGTAGATTTCAAGCGCTTTAAGGTCAATGGCAGAAAAGGAAATATCTTCGTTTCAAAAGTAGACAGAATCATTCCCACAAACTGCGTTGTGATGTGTTCGTTCAACTCACAGAGTTTAACCTTTCTTTTCATAGAGCAGTTAGGAAACACTCTGTTGGTAAATTCTGTAAGTGGATATTCTGACATCTTGTGGCCTTCGTTGGAAACAGGATTTCTTCATATTCTGCTACACAGAAGAATTCTCAGAATCTTCCTTGTGTTGTGTGTATTCAACTCACAGAGTTGAACGATCCTTTACACAGAGCAGACTTGAAACACTCTTTTTGTGGAATTTGCAAGTGGAGATTTCAGCCGCTTTGAGGTCAAAGGTAGAAAATGAAGTATCTTCGTATAAAAACTAGACAGAATGATTCTCAGAAACTCCTTTGTGATGTGTGTGTTCAACTCACAGAGTTTAACCTTTCTTTTCATAGAGCAGTTAGGAAACACTCTGTTTGTAAAGTCTGCAAGTGGATATTCAGACCTCTTTGAGGCCTTCGTTGGAAACGGGTTTTTTCATATAAGGCTAGACAAAAAGAATTCTCAGTAACTTCCTTGTGTTGTGTGTATTCAACTGACAGAGTTGAACTTTCATTTAGACAGAGCAGATTTGAAACACTCTTTTTCTGGAATTTGCAAGTGGAGATTTCAAGCGCTTTGAGGCCAAAGGCAGAAAAGGAAATATCTTCGTATAAAAACTACACAGAATCATTCTCAGAAACTGCTCTGCGATGTGTGCGTTCTACTCTCAGAGTTTAACTTTTCTTTTCATTCAGCAGTTTGGAAACACTCTGTTTGTAAAGTCTGCACGTGGATAACTTGACCACTTAGAGGCCTTCATTGGAAACGGGTTTTTTTCATGTAAGGCTAGACAGAAGAATTCTCAGTAACTTCCTTGTGTTGTGTGTATTCAACTCACAGAGTTGAACGATCCTTTACACAGGGCAGACTTGAAACACTCTTTTTGTGGAATTTGCAAGTGGAGATTTCAGCCTCTTTGAGGTTAATGGTAGAAAATGAAATATCTTCCTATAGAAACTAGACAGATTGATTCTCAGAAACTCCTTTGTGATGTGTGCGTTCAAGTCACAGAGTTTAACCTTTCTTTTCATACAGCAGTTAGGAAACACTCTGTTTGTAAAGTCTGCAAGTGGATATTCAGACCTCTTTGTGGCCTTCGTTGGAAACGGGATTTCTTCATATTCTGCTAGACAGAAGAATTCTCAGTAACTTCCTTGTGTTGTGTGTATTCAACTCACAGAGTTGAACGATCCTTTACACAGAGCAGACTTGAAACACTCTTTTTGTGGAATTTGCAAGTGGAGATTTCAGCCGCTTTGAGGTCAATGGTAGAAAAGGGAATATCTTCGTATAGAAACTAGACAGAATGATTCTCAGAAACTCCTTTGTGATGTGTGTGTTCAACTCACAGGAGTTTAACCTTTCTTTTCATAGAGCAGTTAGGAAACACTCTGTTTGTAAAGTCTGCAAGTGGATATTCAGACCTCGTTGAGGCCTTCGTTGGAAACGGGATTTCTTCATATTCTGCTAGACAGAAGAATTCTCAGTAACTTCCTTGTGTTGTGTGTATTCAAACTGACAGAGTTGAACTTTCATTTAGAGAGAGCAGATTTGAAACACTGTTTTTGTGGAATTTGCAAGTGGAGATTTCAAGCGCTTTGGGGCCAAAGGCAGAAAAGGAAATATCTTCGTATAAAAACTAGACAGAATCATTCTCTGAAACTGCTCTGTGATGTGTGCGTTCAACTCTCAGAGTTTAACTTTTCTTTTCATTCAGCAGTTTGGAAACACTCTGTTTGTAAAGTCTGCACGTGGATATTTTGAACACTTAGAGGCCTTCGTTGGAAACGGGTTTTTTTCATGTAAGGCTAGACAGAAGAATTCCCAGTAACTTCCTTGTGTTGTGTGCATTCAACTCACAGAGTTGAACGTTCCCTTAGACAGAGCAGATTTGAAACACTCTATTTGTCCAATTTGCAAGTGTAGATTTCAAGCGCTTTAAGGTCAACGGCAGAAAAGGAAATATCTTCGTTTCAAAACTAGACAGAATCATTCCCACAAACTGCGTTGTGATGTGTTCGTTCAACACACAGAGTTTAACCTTTCTTTTCATAGAGCAGTTAGGAAACAGTCTGTTTGTAAATTCTGTAAGTGGATATTCTGACATCTTGTGGCCTTCGTTGGAAACGGGATTTCTTCATATTCTGCTAGACAGAAGAATTCTCAGTAACTTCCTTGTGTTGTGTGTATTCAACTCACAGAGTTGAACGATCCTTTACACAGAGCGGACTTGAAACACTCTTTTTGTGGAATTTGCAAGTGGAGATTTCAGCCGCGTTGAGGTCAATGGTAGAAAAGGAAATATCTTCGTATAGAAACTAGACAGAATGATTCTCAGAAACTCTTTTGTGATGTGTGCGTTCAACTCACAGAGTTCAACCTTTCTTTTCATAGAGCAGTTGGGAAACACTCTGTTTGTAAAGTCTGCAAGTGGATATTCAGACTTCTTTGAGGCCTTCGTTGGAAGCGGGATTTCTTCATATTCTGCTTGACAGAAGAATTCCCAGTAACTTCCTTGTGTTGTGTGTGTTCAACTCACAGAGTTGAACTTTCATTTACACAGAGCAGATTTGAAACACTCTTTTTGTGGAATTTGCAAGTGGAGATTTCAAGCAGTTTGAGGCCAAAGGTAGAAAAGGAAATATCTTCGTTTCAAAACTAGACAGAATCATTCTCAGAAACTGCTCTGCGATGTGTGCGTTCAACTCTCAGAGTTTAACTTTTCTTTTCATTCAGCAGTTTGGAAACACTTTGTTTGTAAAGTCTGCACGTGGATATTTTGACCACTTAGAGGCCTTCGTTGGAAACGGGTTTTTTTCCTGTAAGGCTAGACAGAAGAATTCCCAGTAACTTCCTTGTGTTGTGTACATTCAACTCACATAGTTGAACGTTCCCTTAGACAGAGCAGATTTGAAACACTCTTTTTGTGCAATTGGCAAATGGAGATTTCAAGCGCTTTAAGGTCAATGGCAGAAAAGGAAATATCTTCGTTTCAAAACTAGACAGAATCATTCCCACAAACTGCGTTGTGATGTGTTCATTCAACTCACAGAGTTTAACCTTTCTGTTCATAGAGCAGTTAGGAAACACTCTGTTTGTAAAGTCTGTAAGTGGATATTCTGACATCTTGTGGCCTTCGTTGGAAACGGGATTTCTTCATATTCTGCTAGACAGAAGAATTCTCAGAAACTTCCTTGTGTTGTGTGTTTTCAACTCACAGAGTTGAACGATCCTTTACACAGAGCAGACTTGCAACACTCCTTTTGTGGAATTTGCAAGTGGAGATTTCATCCGCTTTGAGGTCAATGGTAGAATAGGAAATATCTTCCTATAGAAAGTAGACAGAATGATTCTCAGAAACTCCTTTGTGATGTGTACGTTCAACTCACAGAGTTTAACTTTTCTTTTCATAGAGCAGTTAGGAAACACTCTGTTTGTAAAGTCTGCAAGTGGATATTCAGACCTCTTTGAGGCCTTCGTTGGAAACGGGTTTTTTTCATATAAGGCTAGACAGAAGAATTCCCAGTAACTTTCCTTGTGTTGTGTGTGTTCAACTCACAGAGTTGAACTTTCATTTACACAGAGCAGATTTGAAGCACTCTTTTTGTGGAATTTGCAAGTGGAGATTTCAAGCGCTTTGAGGCCAAAGGCAGAAAAGGAAATATCTTCGTTTCAAAACTAGACAGAATCATTCTCAGAAACTGCTCTGTGATGTGTGCGTTCAACTCTCAGAGTTTAACTTTTCTTTTCATTCAGCAGTTTGGAAACACTCTGTTTGTAAAGTCTGCACGTGGATATTTTGACCACTTAGAGGCCTTCGTTGGAAACGGGTTTTTTTCATGTAAGGCTAGACAGGAGAATTCCCAGTAACTTCCTTGTGTTGTGTACATTCAACTCACAGAGTTGAACGTTCCCTTAGACAGAGCAGATTTGAAACACTCTTTTTGGGCAATTGGCAAGTGGAGATTACAAGCGCTTTAAGGTCAATGGCAGAAAAGGAAATATCTTCGTATCAAAACTAGACAGAATCATTCCCACAAACTGCGTTGTGATGTGTTCGTTCAACTCACAGAGTTTAACCTTTCTGTTCATAGAGCAGTTAGGAATCACTCTGTTTGTAAACTCTGCAAGTGGATATTCAGACCTCTTTGAGGCCTTCGTTGGAAACGGGATTTCTTCATATTATGCTAGACAGAAGAATTCTCAGTAACTTCCTTGTGTTGTGTGTATTCAACTCACAGAGTTGAACGATCCTTTACACAGAGCAGACTTGTAACACTCTTTTTGTGGAATTTGCAAGTGGAGATTTCAAGCGCTTTGAGGCCAAAGGCAGAAAAGGAAATATCTTCGTTTCAAAACTAGACAGAATGATTCTCAGAAACTCCTTTGTGATGTGTGCGTTCAACTCACAGAGTTTTACCTTTCTTTTCATAGAGCAGTTAGGAAACACTCTGTTTCTAAAGTCTGCAAGTGAATATTCAGACCTCTTTGAGGCCTTCGTTGGAAACGGGTTTTTTCATATAAGGCTAGACAGAAGAATTCCCAGTAACTTCCTTGTGTTGTGTGTGTTCAACTCACAGAGTTCTACATTCATTTACACAGAGCAGATTTGAAACACTCTTTTTGTGGAATTTGCAAGTGGAGATTTCAAGCGCTTTGAGGCCAAAGGCAGAAAAGGAAATATCTTCGTATAAAAACTAGACAGAATCATGCTGAGAAACTGCTCTGCGATGTGTGCGTTCAACTCTCAGAAGTTTAACTTTTCTTTTCATTCAGCAGTTTGGAAACACTCTGTTTGTAAAGTCTGCACGTGGATAACTTGACCACTTAGAGGCCTTCGTTGGAAACGGGTTTTTTTCATGTAAGGCTAGACAGAGGAATTCCCAGTAACTTCCTTGTGTTGTGTACATTCAACTCACAGAGTTGAACGTTCCCTTAGACAGAGCAGATTTGAAACACTCTTTTTGTGCAATTGGCAAGTGGAGATTTCAAGCGCTTTAAAGTCAATGGCAGAAAAGGAAATATCTTCGTTTCAAAACTAGACAGAATCATTCCCACAAACTGCGTTGTGATGTGTTCGTTCAACTCACAGAGTTTAACATTTCTTTTCATAGAGCAGTTAGGAAACAGTCTGTTTGTCAATTCTGTAAGTGGATATTCTGACATCTTGTGGCCTTCGATGGAAACGGGATTTCTTCATATTCTGCTAGAGAGAAGAATTCTCAGTAACTTCCTTGTGTTGTGTGTATTCAACTCACAGAGTTGAACGATCCTTTACAGAGAGCAGACTTGAAACACTCTTTTTGTGGAATTCGCAAGTGGAGATTTCAGCCGCTTTGAGGTCAATGATAGAATAGGAAATATCTTCCTATAGAAACTAGACAGAATGATTCTCAGAAACTCCTTTGTGATGTGTGCGTTAAACTCACAGAGTTTAACCTTTCTGTTCATAGAGCAGTTAGGAAACACTCTGTTTGTAAAGTCTGCAAGTGGATATTCAGACCTCCTTGAGGCCTTCGTTGGAAACGGGATTTCTTCCTATTCTGCTAGACAGAAGAATTCTCAGTAACTTCCTTGTGTTGTGTGTATTCAACTGACAGAGTTGAACTTTCATTTAGAGAGAGCAGATTTGAAACACTGTTTTTGTGGAATTTGCAAGTGGAGATTTCAAGCGCTTTGCGGCCAAAGGCAGAAAAGGAAATATCTTCGTATAAAAACTAGACAGAATCATTCTCAGAAACTGCTGCGTGATGTGTGCGTTCAACTCTCAGACTTTAACTTTTCTTTTCATTCAGCCGTTTGGAAACACTCTGTTTGTAAAGTCTGCACGTGGATATTTTGACCACTTAGAGGCCTTCGTTGGAAACGGGTTTTTTTCCTGTAAGGCTAGACAGAAGAATTCCCAGTAACTTCCTTGTGTTGTGTGCATTCAACTCACAGAGTTGAACGTTCCCTTAGACAGAGCAGATTTGAAACACTCTATTTGTGCAATTTGTAGTGTAGATTTCAAGCGCTTTAAGGTCAATGGCAGAAAAGGAAATTTCTTCGTTTCAAAACTAGACAGAATCATTCCCACAAACTGCGTTGTGATGTTTTCGTTCAACTCACAGAGTTTAACCTTTCTGTTCATAGAGCAGTTAGGAAACACTCTGTTTGTAAAGTCTGTAAGTGGATATTCTGACATCTTGTGGCCTTCGTTGGAAACGGGATTTCTTCATATTCTGCTAGACAGAAGAATTCTCAGTAACTTCCTTGTGTTGTGTGTATTCAAATCACAGAGTGGAATGATCCTTTACACAGAGCAGACTTGAAACACTCTTTTTGTGGAATTTGCAAGTGGAGATTTCAGCCGCTTTGAGGTCAATGGTAGAAAAGGAAATATCTACGTATAAAGATTAGACAGAATGATTCTCAGAAACTCCTTTGTGATGTGTGCGTTCAACTCACAGAGTTTAACCTTTCTTTTCATAGAGCAGTTAGGAAACACTCTGTTTATAAAGTCTGCAAGTGGATATTCAGACCTCTTTGAGGCCTTCGTTGGAAACGGGATTTCTTCATATTCTGCTAGACAGAAGAATTCTCAGTAACTTCCTTGTGTTGTGTGTATTCAACTGACAGAGTTGAACTTTCATTTAGAGAGAGCAGATTTGAAACACTGTTTTTGTGGAATTTGCAAGTGGAGATTTCAAGCGCTTTGGGGCCAAAGGCAGAAAACGAAATATCTTCGTATATAAACTAGACAGAATCATTCTCAGAAACTGCTGCGTGATGTGTGCGTTCAACTCTCAGAGTTTAACTTTTCTTTTCATTCAGCGGTTTGGAGACACTCTGTTTGTAAAGTCTGCACGTGGATATTTTGACCACTTAGAGGCCTTCGTTGGAAACGGGTTTTTTTCATGTAAGGCTAGACAGAAGAATTCCCAGTAACTTCCTTCTGTTGCTTACATTCAGCTCACAGAGTTGAACGTTCCCTTAGACAGAGCAGATTTGAAACACTCTTTTTGTGCAATTGGCAAGTGGAGATTTCAAGCGCTTTAAGGTCAGTGGCAGAAAAGGAAATATCTTCGTTTCAAAACTAGACAGAATCATTCCCAAAAACTGCGTTGTGATGTGTTCGTTCAACTCACAGAGTTTAACCTTTCTGTTCATAGAGCAGTTAGGAAACACTCTGTTTGTAAAGTCTGTAAGTGGATATTCTGACATCTTGTGGCCTTCGTTGGAAACGGGATTTCTTCATATTCTGCTAGACAGAAGAATTCTCAGTAACTTCCTTGTGTTGTGTGTATTCAACTCACAGAGTTGAACGATTCTTTACACAGAGCAGACTTGAAACACTCTTTTTGTGAAATTTGCAAGTGGAGATTTCAGCCGCTTTGAGTTCAATGGTAGAATAGGAAATATCTTCCTATAGAAACTAGACAGAATGATTCTCAGAAACTCCTTTGTGATGTGTGCGTTCAACTCACAGAGTTCAACCTTTCTTTTCATAGAGCAGTTGGGAAACACTCTGTTCGTAAAGTCTGCAAGTGGATATTCAGACTTCTTTGAGGCCTTCGTTGGAAGCGGGATTTCTTCAAATTCTGCTAGACAGAAGAATTCCCAGTAACTTCCTTCTGTTGTGTGTGTTCAACTCACAGAGTTGAACTTTCATTTACACAGAGCAGATTTGAAACACTCTTTTTGTGGAATTTGCAAGTGGAGATTTCAAGCGCTTTGAGGCCAAAGGCAGAAAAGGAAATATCTTCGTATAAAAACTAGACAGAATCATTCTCAGAAACCGCTCTGTGATGTGTGCGTTCAACTCTCAGAGTTTAACTTTTCTTTTCATTTAGCAGTTTGGAAACACTCTGTTTGTAAAGTCTGCACGTGGATATTTTGAACACTTAGAGGCCTTCGTTGGAAACGGGTTTTTTTCATGTAAGGCTAGACAGAAGAATTCCCAGTAACTTCCTTGTGTTGTGTGCATTCAACTCACAGAGTTGAACCGTTCCCTTAGACAGAGCAGATTTGAAACACTCTATTTGTGCAATTTGCAAGTGTAGATTTCAAGCGCTTTAAGGTCAACGGCAGAAAAGGAAATATCTTCGTTTCAAAACTAGACAGAATCATTCCCACAAACTGCGTTGTGATGTGTTCGTTCAACTCACAGAGTTTAACCTTTCTGTTCATAGAGCAGTTAGGAAACACTCTGTTTGTAAAGTCTGTGAGTGGATATTCTGACATCTTGTGGCCTTCGTTGGAAACGGGATTTCTTCATATTCTGCTAGACAGAAGAATTCTCAGTAACTTCCTTGTGTTGTGTGTATTCAACTCACAGAGTTGAACGATCCTTTACACAGAGCAGACTTGAATCACTCTTTTTGTGGAATTTGCAAGTGGAGATTTCAGCCGCTTTGAGTTCAATGGTAGAATAGGAAATATCTTCCTATAGAAACTACACAGAATGATTCTCAGAAACTCCTTTGTGATGTGTGCGTTCAACTCACAGAGTTTAACCTTTCTTTTCATAGAGCAGTTAGGAAACACTCTGTTTGGAAAGTCTGCAAGTGGATATTCAGACCTCTTTGAGGCCTTCGTTGGAAACGGGTTTTTTTCATATAAGGCTAGACAGAAGAATTCTCAGTAACTTCCTTGTGTTGTGTGTATTCAACTCACAGAGTTGAACGATCCTTTACACAGAGCAGACTTGTAACACTCTTTTTGTGGAATTTGCAAGTGGAGATTTCAAGCGCTTTGAGGCCAAAGGCAGAAAAGGAAATATCTTCGTATAAAAACTAGACAGAATCATTCTCAGAAACTGCTCTGCGATGTGTGCGTTCAACTCTCAGAGTTTAACTTTTCTTTTCATTCAGCAGTTTGGAAACACTCTGTTTGTAAAGTCTGCACGTGGATATTTTGACCACTTAGAGGCCTTCGTTGGAAACGGGTTTTTTTCATTTAAGGCTAGACAGAAGAATTCCCAGTAACTTCCTTGTGTTGTGTGCATTCAAGTCACAGAGTTGAACGTTCCCTTAGACAGAGCAGATTTGAAACACTCTATTTGTGCAATCTCCAAGTGTAGATTTCAAGCGGTTTAAGGTCAACGGCAGAAAAGGAAATATCTTCGTTTCAAAACTAGACAGAATCATTCTCAGAAACTCCTTTGTGATGTGTGCGTTCAACTCACAGAGTTTAACTTTTCTTTTCATAGAGCCGTTAGGAAACACTCTGTTTGTAAAGTCTGCAAGTGGATATTCAGACCTCTTTGAGGCCTTCGTTGGAAACGGGATTTCTTCATATTATGCTAGACAGAAGAATTCTCAGTAACTTCCTTGTGTTGTGTGTATTCAACTCACAGAGTTGAACGATCCTTTACACAGAGCAGACTTGAAACATTCTTTCTGTGGAATTTGCAAGTGGAGATTTCAGCCGCTTTGAGGTCAATGGTAGAATAGGAAATATTTTCCTATAGAAACTAGACAGAATGATTCTCAGAAACTTCTTTGTGATGTGTGCGTTCAACTCACAGAGTTTAACTTTTCTTTTCATAGAGCAGTTAGGAAACACTCTGCTTGTAATCTCTGCAAGTGGATATTCAGTCCTCTTTGAGGCCTTCGTTGGAAACGGGATTTCATCATACTATGCTAGACAGAAGAATTCTCAGTAACTTCCTTGTGTTGTGTGTATTCAACTGACAGAGTTGAACTTTCATTTAGAGAGAGCAGATTTGAAACACTCTTTTTGTGGAATTTGCAAGTGGAGATTTCAAGCGCTTTGGGGCCAAAGGCAGAAAAGGAAATATCTTCGTATAAAAACTAGACAGAATCATTCTCAGAAACTGCTCTGCGATGTGTGCCTTCAGCGCTCAGAGTTTAACTTTTCTTTTCATTCAGCAGTTTGGAAACACTCTGTTTGTAAAGTCTGCACGTGTATATTTTGACCACTTAGAGGCCTTCGTTGGAAGCGGGTTTTTGTCATGTAAGGTTAGACAGAATAATTCCCAGTAACTTCCTTGTGTTGTGTACATTCAACTTACAGAGTTGAACGTTCCCTTGGACAGAGCAGATTTGAAACACTCTTTTTGTGCAATTGGCAAGTGGAGATTTCAAGCGCTTAAGGTCAATGGCAGAAAAGGAAATATCTTCGTTTCAAAACTAGACAGAATGATTCTCAGAAACTCCTTTGTGATGTGTGCGTTCAACTCACAGAGTTTAACCTTTCTTTTCATAGAGCAGTTAGGAAACACTCTGTTTGCAAAGTCTGCAAGTGGATATTCAGACCTCTTTGAGGCCTTCTTTGGAAACGGGATTTCTTCATATTATGCTATACACAAGAATTCTCAGTAACTTCCTTGTGTTGTGTGTATTCAACTCACAGAGTTGAACGATCTCTTACACAGAGCAGAGTTGAAACACTCTTTTTCTGGAATTTGCAAGTGGAGATTTCAGCCGCTTTGAGGTCAAAGGTAGAATAGGAAATATCTTCCTATAGAAACTAGACAGAATGATTCTCAGAAACTCCTTTGTGATGTGTGCGTTCAACACACAGAGTTTAACCTTTCTTTTCATAGAGCAGTTAGGGAACACTCTGTTTGTAAAGTCTGCAAGTGGATATTCAGACCTCTTTGAGGCCGTCGTTGGAAACGGGATTTCTTCATATTATGCTAGACAGAAGAATTCCCAGTAACTTCCTTGTGTTGTGTGTATTCAACTCACAGAGTTGAACTTTCATTTACACAGAGCAGATTTGAAACACTCTTTTTGTGGAATTTGCAAATGGAGATTTCAAGCGCTTTGAGGCCAAAGGCAGAAAAGGAAATATCTTCGTATAAAAACTAGACAGAATCATTCTCAGAAACTGCTCTGCGATGTGTGCGTTCAACTCTCCGAGTTTAACTTTTCTTTTCATTCAGCAGTTTGGAAACACTCTGTTTGTAAAGTCTGCACGTGGATAATTTGACCACTTAGAGGCCTTCGTTGGAAACGGGTTTTTTTTCATGTAAGGCTAGACAGAAGAATTCCCAGTAACTTCCTTGTGTTGTGTACATTCAACTCACAGAGTTGAACGTTCCCTTAGACAGAGCAGATTTGAAACACTCTTTTTGTGCAATTGGCAAGTGGTGATTTCAGCCGCTTTGAGGTCAATGGTAGAAAAGGAAATATCTTCGTATAAAAACTAGACAGAATGATTCTCATAAACTCCTTTGTGATGTGTGCGTTCAACTCACAGAGTTTAACCTTTCTGTTCATAGAGCAGTTAGGAAACACTCTGTTTGTAAAGTCTGTAAGTGGATATTCTGACATCTTGTGGCCTTCGTTGGAAACGGGATTTCTTCATATTCTGCTAGACAGAAGAATTCTCAGAATCTTCCTTGTGTTGTGTGTATTCAACTCACAGAGTTGAACGATCCTTTACACAGAGCAGACTTGAAACACTCTTTTTGTGGAATTTGCAAGTGGAGATTTCAGCCGCTTTGAGGTCCATGGTAGAAAAGGAAATATCTTCGTCTAAAAACTAGACAGAATGATTCTCATAAACTCCTTTGTGATGTGTGCGTTCAACTCACAGAGTTTAACTTTTCTTTTCATAGAGGAGTTAGGAAACACTCTGTTTGTAAAGTCTGCAAGTGGATATTCAGACCTCTTTGAGGCCTTCGTTGGAAACGGGATTTCTTCATATTCTGCTAGACAGAAGAATTCTCAGTAACTTCCTTGTGTTGTGTGTATTCAACTCACAGAGTTGAACGATCCTTTACACAGAGCAGACTTGAAACACTCTTTTTGTGGAATTTGCAAGTGGAGATTTCAGCCTCTTTGAGGTCAATAGTAGAAAAGGAAATATCTTCGTAGAAAAACTAGACAGAATCATTCTCAAAAACTGCTGCGTGATGTGTGCGTTCAACTCTCAGACTTTAACTTTTCTTTTCATTCAGCCGTTTGGAAACACTCTGTTTGTAAAGTCTGCACGTGGATATTTTGACCACTTAGAGGCCTTCGTTGGAAACGGGTTTTTTTCATGTAAGGCTAGACAGAAGAATTCTCAGTAACTTCCTTGTGTTGTGTGTATTCAACTCACAGAGTTGAACGATCCTTTACTCAGAGCAGGCTTGAAACACTCCTTTTGTGGAACTTGCAATTGGAGATTTCAGCCGCTTTGAGGTCAATGGTAGAATAGGAAATATCTTCCTATAGAAACTAGACAGAATGATTCTCAGAAACTCCTTTGTGCTGTGTGCGTTCAGCTCACAGAGTTTAACCTTTCTTTTCATAGAGCCGTTAGGAAACACTCTGTTTGTAAAGTCTGCAAGTGGATATTCAGACGTCTTTGAGGCCTTCGTTGGAAACGGGATTTCTTCATATTCTGCTAGACAGAAGAATTCTCAGAAACTTCCTTGTGTTGTGTGTTTTCAACTCACGGAGTTGAACGATGCTTTACACAGAGTAGACTTGAAACACTCTTTTTGTGTAATTTGCAAGTGGAGATTTCAGCCGCTTTGAGGTCAATGGTAGAAAAGGAAATATCTTCGTATAAAAACTAGACAGAATGATTCTCAGAAACTCCTTTGTGATGTGTGTGTTCAACTCACAGAGTTTAACCTATCTTTTCATAGAGCAGTTAGTAAACACTCTGTTTATAAAGTCTGCAAGTGGATATTCAGACCCCTTTGAGGCCTTCGTTGGAAACGGGATTTCTTCATATTATGCTAGACAGAAGAATTCTCAGTAACTTCCTTGTGTTGTGTGTATTCAACTGACAGAGTTGAACTTTCATTTAGAGAGAGCAGATTTGAAACACTGTTTTTGTGGAATTTGCAAATGGAGATTTCAAGCGCTTTGGTGCCAAAGGCAGAAAAGGAAATATCTTCGTATAAAAACTAGACAGAATCATTCTCAGAAACTGCTCTGCGATGTGTGCGTTCAACTCTCAGAGTTTAACTTTTCTTTTCATTCAGCAGTTTGGAAACACTCTGTTTGTAAAGTCTGCACGTGGATAATTTGACCTCTTAGAGGCCTTCATTTGAAACGGGTTTTTTTCATGTAAGGCTAGACAGAAGAATTCCCAGTAACTTCCTTGTGTTGTGTGCATTCAAGTCACAGAGTTGAACGTTTCCTTAGACAGAGCAGAATTGAAACACTCTATTTGTGCAATTTGCAAGTGTAGATTTCAACCGCTTTAAGGTCAACGGCAGAAAAGGAAATATCTTCGTTTCAAAACTAGACAGAATCATTCCCACAAACTGCGTTGTGATGCGTTTGTTCAACTCACAGAGTTTAACCTTTCTTTTCATAGAGCAGTTAGGAAACAGTCTGTTTGTAAATTCTGTAAGTGGATATTCTGACATCTTGTGGCCTCGCTGGAAACGGGATTACTTCATATTCTGCTAGACAGAAGAATTCTCAGTAACTTCCTTGTGTTGTGTGTATTCAACTCTCAGAGTTGAACGATCCTTTACACAGAGCAGACTTGAAACACTCTTTTTGTGGAATTTGCAAGTGGAGATTTCAGCCGCTTTGAGGTCAATAGTAGAAAAGGAAATATCTTCGTAGAAACACTAGACAGAATGATTCTCAGAAACTTCTTTGTGATGTGTGCGTTCAACTCACAGAGTTTAACCTTTCTTTTCATAGGGCAGTTAGGAAACACTCTGTTTGTAAACTCTGCAAGTGGATATTCAGACCTCTTTGAGGCCTTCGTTGGAAACGGGATTTCTTCATACTATGCTAGACAGAAGAATTCTCAGTAACTTCCTTGTGTTGTGCTTATTCAACTGACAGAGTTGAACATTCATTTAGAGAGAGCAGATTTGAAACACTGTTTTTGTGGAATTTGCAAGTGGAGATTTCAAGCGCTTTGGGGCCAAAGGCAGAAAACGAAATATCTTCGTATAAAAACTAGACAGAATCATTCTCAGAAACTGCTGCGTGATGTGTGCGTTCAACTCTCAGAGTTTAACTTTTCTTTTCATTCACCGGTTTGGAAACACTCTGTTTGTAAAGTCTGCACGTGGACATTTTGACCACTTAGAGGTCTTCTTTGGAAACGGGTTTTTTTCATGTAAGGCTAGACAGAAGAATTCCCAGTAACTTCCTTGTGTTGTGTGCATTCAACTCACAGAGATGAACGTTCCCTTAGACAGAGCAGATTTCAAACACTCTATTTGTGCAATTTGCAAGTGTAGATTTCAAGCGCTTTAAGGTCAATGGCAGAAAAGGAAATATCTTCGTTTCAAAACTAGACAGAATCATTCCCACAAACTGCGTTGTGAAGTGCTCGTTCAACTCACAGAGTTTAACCTTTCTGTTCATAGAGCAGTTAGGAAACACTCTGTTTGTAAAGTCTGTAAGTGGATATTCTGACATCTTGTGGCCTTCGTTGGAAACGGAATTTCTTCATATTCTGCTAGACAGAAGAATTCTCAGTAACTTCCTTGTGTTGTGTGTATTCAACTCACAGAGTTGAACGATCCTTTACACAGAGCAGACTTGAAACACTCTTTTTGTGGAATTTGCAAGTGGAGATTTCAGCCGCTTTGAGTTCAATGGTAGAATAGGAAATATCTTCCTGTAGAAACTAGACAGAATGATTCTCAGAAACTCCTTTGTGATGTGTGCGTTCAACTCACAGAGTTCAACCTTTCTTTTCATAGAGCAGTTGGGAAACACTCTGTTTGTAAAGTGTGCAAGTGGATATTCAGACTTCTTTGAGGCCTTCGTTGGAAGCGGGATTTCTTCATGTTCTGCTAGAAAGAAGAATTCTCAGTAACTTCCTTGTGTTGTGTGTTTTCAACTGACAGAGTTGAACTTTCATTTAGAGAGAGCAGATTTGTAACACTGTTTTTGTGGAATTTGCAAGTGGAGATTTCAAGCGCTTTGGGGCCAAAGGCAGAAAAGGAAATATCTTCGTATAAAAACTAGACAAAATCATTCTCAGAAACTGCTCTGCGATGTGTGCGCTCAACTCTCAGAGTTTAACTTTTCTTTTCATTCAGCAGTTTGGAAACACTCTGTTTGTAAAGTCTGCACGTGGATATTTTGACCACTTAGAGGCCTTCGTTGGAAACGGGTTTTTTTCCTGTAAGGCTAGACAGAAGAATTCCCAGGAACTTCCTTGTGTTGTGTACATTCAACTCACAGAGTTGAACGTTCCCTTAGACAGAGCAGATTTGAAACACTCTTTTTGTGCAATTGGCAAATGGAGATTTCAAGCGCTTTAAGTTCAATGGCAGAAAAGGAAATATCTTCGTTTCAAAACTAGACAGAATCAATCCCACAAACTGCGTTGTGATGTGTTCGTTCAACTCACAGAGTTTAACCTTTCTGTTCATAGAGCAGTTAGGAAACACTCTGTTTGTAAAGTCTGTAAGTGGATATTCTGACATTTTGTGGCCTTGGTTGGAAATGGCATTTCTTCATATACTCCAAGACAGAAGAATTCTCAGTAACTTCCTTGTGTTGTGTGTATTCAACTCACAGAGTTGAACGATCCTTTACACAGAGCGGACTTGTAACACTCTTTTTGTGGAATTTGCAAGTGGAGATTTCAGCCGCTTTGAAGTCAAAGGTAGAAAAGGAAATATCTTCCTATAAAAACTAGACAGAATGATTCTCAGAAACTCCTTTGTGATGTGTGCGTTCAACACACAGAGTTTAACTTTTCTTTTCATAGAGCAGTTAGGAAACACTCTGTTTGTAAAGTCTGCAAGTGGATATTCAGACCTCTTTGAGGCCTTCGTTGGAAACGGAATTTCTTCATATTATGCTAGACAGAAGAATTCCCAGTAACTTCCTTGTGTTGTGTGTATTCAACTCACAGAGTTGAACTTTCATTTACACAGAGCAGATTTGAAACACTCTTTTTGTGGAATTTGCAAGTGGAGATTTCAAGCGCTTTGAGGCCAAAGGCAGAAAAGGAAATATCTTCGTATAAAAACTAGACAGAATCATTCTCAGAAACTGCTCTGCGATGTGTGCGTTCAACTCTCAGAGTTTAACTTTTCTTTTCATTCAGCAGTTTGGAAACAATCTGTTTGTAAAGTCTGCACGTGGATAATTTGACCACTTAGAGGCCTTCGTTGGAAACGGGTTTTTTTCCTGTAAGGCTAGACAGAAGAATTCCCAGTAACTTCCTTGTGTTGTGTACATTCAACTCACAGAGTTGAACGTTCCCTTAGACAGAGCAGATTTGAAATACTCTTTTTGTGCAATTGGCAAGTGGAGATTTCAAGCGCTTTAAGGTCAATGGCAGAAAAGGAAATATCTGCGTTTCAAAACTAGACAGAATCATTCCCACAAACTGCGTTGTGATGTGTTCGTTCAACTCACAGAGTTTAACCTTTCTTTTCATAGAGCAGTTAGGAAACACTCTGTTTGTAAATTCTGTAAGTGGATATTCTGACATCTTGTGGCCTTCGTTTGAAACGGGATTTCTTCATATTCTGCTAGACAGAAGAATTCTCAGTAACTTTCCTTGTGTTGTGTGTATTCAACTCACAGAGTTGAACGATCCTTTACACAGAGCAGACTTGTAACACTCTTTTTGTGGAATTTCCAAGTGGAGATTTCAGCCGCTTTGAAGTCAAAGGTAGAAAAGGAAATATCTTCCTATAAAAACTAGACAGAATGATTCTCAGAAACTCCTTTGTGATGTGTACGTTCAACTCACAGAGTTTAACCTTTCTTTTCATAGAGTAGTTAGGAAACACTCTGTTTGTAAAGTCTGCAAGTGGATATTGAGACCTCTTTGAGGCCTTCGTTGGAAACGGGTTTTTTTCATATAAGGCTAGACAGAAGAATTCCCAGTAGCTTCCTTGTGTTGTGTGTGTTCAACTCACAGAGTTGAACTTTCATTTACACAGAGCAGATTTGAAACACTCTTTTTGTGGAAGTTGCAAGTGGAGATTTCAAGCGCTTTGAGGCCAAAGGCAGAAAAGGAAATATCTTCGTTTCAAAACTAGACAGAATCATTCTCAGAAACTGCTCTGTGATGTGTGCGTTCAACTCTCAGAGTTTAACTTTTCTTTTCATTCAGCAGTTTGGAAACTCTCTGTTTGTAAAGTCTGCACGTGCATATTTTGAACACTTAGAGGCCTTCGTTGGAAACGGGTTTTTTTCATGTAAGGCTAGACAGAAGAATTCCCAGTAACTTCCTTGTGTTGTTTGCATTCAACTCACAGAGTTGAACGTTCCCTTAGACAGAGCAGATTTGAAACACTGTATTTGTGCAATTTGCAAGTGTAGATTTCAAGCGCTTTAAGGTCAATGGCAGAAAAGGAAATATCTTCGTTTCAAAACTAGACAGAATCATTCCCACAAACTGCGTTGTGATGTGTTCGTTCAACTCACAGAGTTTAACCTTTCTGTTCATAGAGCAGTTAGGAAACACTCTGTTTGTAAAGTCTGTAAGTGGATATTCTGACATCTAGTGGCCTTCGTTGGAAACGGGATTTCTTCATATTCTGCTAGACAGAAGAATTCTCAGTAACTTCCGCGTGTTGTGTGTATTCAACTCACAGAGTTGAACGATCCTTTACACAGAGCAGACTTGTAACACTCTTTTTGTGGAATTTGCAAGTGGAGATTTCAGCCGCTTTGAAGTCAAAGGTAGAAAAGGAAATATGTTCCTATAAAAACTAGACAGAATGATTCTCAGAAACTCCTTTGTGATGTGTGCGTTCAACTCACAGAGTTTAACCTTTCTTTTCATAGAGCAGTTAGGAAACACTCTGTTTGTAAAGTCTGCAAGTGGATATTCAGACCTCTTAGAGGCCTTCGTTGGAAACGGTTTTTTTTCATATAAGGCTAGACAGAAGAATTCTCAGTAACTTTCCTTGTGTTGTGTGTATTCAACTCACAGAGTTGAACGATCCTTTACACAGAGCAGACTTGTAAAACTCTTTTTGTGGAATTTGCAAGTGGAGATTTCAGCCGCTTTGAAGTCAAAGGTAGAAAAGGAAATAACTTCCTATAAAAACTGGACAGAAATCATTCTCAGAAACTGCTCTGCGATGTGTGCGTTCAACTCTCAGCAGTTTAACTTTTCTTTTCATTCAGCAGTTTGGAAACACTCTGTTTGTAAAGTCTGCACGTGGATAATTTGACCACTTAGAGGTCTTCGTTGGAAACGGGTTTTTTTCATGTAAGGCTAGACAGAAGAATTCCCAGTAACTTCCTTGTGTTGTGCGCATTCAACTCACAGAGTTGAACGTTCCCTTAGACAGAGCAGATTTGAAACACTCTATTTGTGCAATTTGCAAGTGTAGATTTCAAGCGCTTTAAGGTCAACGCCAGAAAAGGAAATATCTTCATTTCAAAACTAGACAGAATCATTCCCACAAACTGCGTTGTGATGTGTTCGTTCAACTCACAGAGTTTAACTTTTCTTTTCATAGAGCAGTTAGGAAACACTCTGTTTGTAAAGTCTGTAAGTGGATATTCTGACATCTTGTGGCCTTCGTTGGAAACGAGGATTTTCTTCATATTCTGCTAGACAGAAGAATTCTCATTAACTTCCTTGTGTTGTGTGTATTCAACTCACAGAGTTGAACGATCCTTTACACAGAGCAGACTTGTAACACTCTTTTTGTGGAATTTGCAAGTGGAGATTTCAGCCGCTTTGAAATCAAAGGTAGAAAAGGAAATATCTTCCTATAAAAACTAGACAGAATGATTCTCAGAAACTCCTTTGTGATGCGTGCGTTCAACTCACAGAGTTTAACCTTTCTTTTCATAGAGCAGTTAGGAAACACTCTGTTTGTAAAGTCTGCAAGTGGATATTCAGACCTCTTTGAGGCCTTCGTTGGAAACGGGTTTTTTTCATAGAAGGCTAGACAGAAGAATTCTCAGTAACTTCCTTGTGTTGTGTGTATTCAACTGACAGAGTTGAACTTTCATTTAGAGAGAGCTGATTTGAAACACTGTTTTTGTGGAATTTGCAAGTGGAGATTTCAAGCGCTTTGGGGCCAAAGGCAGAAAAGGAAATATCTTCGTATAAAAACTAGACAGAATCATTCTCAGAAACTGCTGCGTGATGTGTGCGTTCAACTCTTAGAGTTTAACTTTTCTTTTCATTCAGCGGTTTGGAAACACTCTGTTTGTAAAGTCTGCACGTGGATATTTTGACCACTTAGAGGCCTTCGTTGGAAACGGGTTTTTTGCATGTAAGGCTAGACAGAAGAATTCCCAGTAACTTCCTTGTGTTGTGTGCATTCAACTCACAGAGTTGAA
Organism: Homo sapiens; assembly: GCF_000001405.40. Lineage (NCBI taxonomy): Eukaryota > Metazoa > Chordata > Mammalia > Primates > Hominidae > Homo > Homo sapiens. The sequence goes on from NC_000019.10 coordinate 26,261,258, forward strand.
CGTTCCCTTAGACAGAGCAGATTTGAAACACTCTATTTGTGCAATTTGCAAGTGTAGATCTCAAGCGCTTTAAGGTCAATGGCAGAAAAGGAAATATCTTCGTTTCAAAACTAGACAGAATGATTCTCATAAACTCCTTTGTGATGTGTGCGTTCAACACACAGAGTTTAACCTTTCTGTTCATAGAGCAGTTAGGAAACACTCTGTTTGTAAAGTCTGCAAGTGGATATTCAGACCTCCTTGAGGCCTTCGGTGGAAACGGGATTTCTTCATATTCTGCTAGACAGAATAATTCTCAGTAACTTCCTTGTGTTGTGTGTATTCAACTCACAGAGTTGTACGATCCTTTACAGAGAGCAGACTTGAAACACTCTTTTTGTGGAATTTGCAAGTGGAGATTTCAGCAGCTTTGAGGTCAACGGTAGAATAGGAAATATCTTCCTATAGAAACTAGACAGAATGATTCTCAGAAACTCCTTTGTGATGTGTGCGTTCAACTCACAGAGTTTAACCTTTCTTTTCATAGAGCAGTTAGGAAACACTCTGTTTGTAAAGTCTGCAAGTGGATATTCAGACCTCTTTGAGGCCTTCGTTGGAAACGGGTTTTTTCATATAAGGCTAGACAGAAGAATTCCCAGTAACTTCTTTGTGTTGTGTGTGTTCAACTCACAGAGTTGAACTTTCATTTACACAGAGCAGATTTGAAACACTCTTTTTGTGGAATTTGCAAATGGAGATTTCAAGCGCTTTGAGGCCAAAGGCAGAAAAGGAAATATCTTCGTATAAAAACTAGACAGAATCATTCTCAGAAACTGCTCTGCAATGTGTGCGTTCAACTCTCAGAGTTTAACTTTTCTTTTCATTCAGCAGTTTGGAAACACTCTGTTTGTAAAGTCTGCACGTGGATAATTTGACCACTTAGAGGCCTTCGTTGGAAACGGGTTTTTTTCATGTAAGGCTAGACAGAAGAATTCTCAGTAACTTCCTTGTGTTGTGTGTATTCAACTCACAGAGTTGAACGATCCTTTACACAGAGCAGACTTGTAACACTCTTTTTGTGGAATTTGCAAGTGGAGATTTCAGCCGCTTTGAAGTCAAAGGTAGAAAAGGAAATGTCTTCCTATAAAAACTAGACAGAATCATTCCCACAAACTGCATTGTGATGTGTTCGTTCAACTCACAGAGTTTAACCTTTCTTTTCATAGAGCAGTTAGGAAACACTCTGTTGGTAAATTCTGTAAGTGGATATTCTGACATCTTGTGGCCTTCGTTGGAAACGGGATTTCTTCATATTCTGCTACACAGAAGAATTCTCAGTAACTTCCTTGTGTTGTGTGTGTTCAACTCACAGAGTTGAACGATCCTTTACACAGAGCAGACTTGAAACACTCTTTTTGTGGAATTTGCAAGTGGAGATTTCAGCCGCTTTGAGTTCAATGGTAGAATAGGAAATATCTTCCTATAGAAACTAGACAGAATGATTCTCACAAAATCTTTTGTGATGTGTGCGTTCAACTCACAGAGTTTAACTTTTCTTCTCATAGAGCAGTTAGGAAACACTCTGTTTGTAAAGTCTGCAAGTGGATATTCAGACCTCTTTGAGGCCTTCGTTGGAAACGGGATTTCTTCATATTCTGCTAGACAGAAGAATTCCCAGTAACTTCCTTGTGTTGTGTGTGTTCAACTCACAGAGTTGAACTTTCATTTACACAGAGCAGATTTGAAACACTCTTTTTGTGGAATTTGCAAATGGAGATTTCAAGCGCTTTGACGCCAAAGGCAGAAAAGGAAATATCTTCGTATAAAAACTAGACAGAATCATTCTCAGAAACTGCTCTGCGATGTGTGCGTTCAACTCTCAGAGTTTAACTTTTCTTTTCATTCAGCAGTTTGGAAACACTCTGTTTGTAAAGTCTGCACGTGGATATTTTGACCACTTAGAGGCCTTCGTTGGAAACGGGTTTTTTTCCTGCAAGGCTAGACAGAAAAATTCCCAGTAACTTCCCGTGTGTTGTGTGCATTCAACTCACAGAGTTGAACGTTCCCTTAGACAGAGCAGATTTGAAAAACTCCTTTTGTGCAATTTGGAATTGGAGATTTCAAGCGCTTTAATGTCAATGGCAGAAAAGAAAATACCTTCGTTTCAAAACTAGACAGAATCATTCCCACAAACTGCGTTGTGATGTGTTCGTTCAACTCACAGAGTTTAACCTTTCTTTTCATAGAGCAGTTAGGAAACAGTCTGTTTGTCAATTCTGTAAGTGGATATTCTGACATCTTGTGGTCTTCGTTGGAAACGGGATTTCTTCATATTCTGCTAGACAGAAGAATTCTCAGTAACTTCCTTGTGTTGTGTGTATTCAACTCACAGAGTTGAACGATCCTTTACACTGAGCAGACTTGAAACATTCTTTTTGTGGAATTTGCAAGTGGAGATTTCAGCCGCTTTGAGGTCAATGGTAGAATAGGAAATATCTTCCTATAGAAATTAGACAGAATGATTCTCAGAAACTCCTTTGTGATGTGTGTGTTCAACTCACAGAGTTTAACCTTTCTTTTCATAGAGCAGTTAGTAAACACTCTGTTTATAAAGTCTGCAAGTGGATATTCAGACCCCTTTGAGGCCTTCGTTGGAAACGGCATTTCTTCATATTATGCTAGACAGAAGAATTCTCAGTAACTTCCTTGTGTTGTGTGTATTCAAGTGACAGAGTTGAACTTTCATTTAGAGAGAGCAGATTTGAAACAGTGTTTTTGTGGAATTTGCAAGTGGAGATTTCAAGCGCTTTGGGGCCAAAGGCAGAAAAGGAAATATCTTCGTATAAAAACTAGACAGAATCATTCTCAGAAACTGCTCTGCGATGTGTGCGTTCAACTCTCAGAGTTTAACTTTTCTTTTCATTCAGCAGTTTGGAAACACTCTGTTTGTAAAGTCTGCACGTGGATATTTTGACCATTTAGAGGCCTTCGTTGGAAACGGGTTTTTTTCTTGTAAGGCTAGACAGAAGAATTCCCAGTAACTTCCTTGTGTTGTGTACATTCAACTCACAGGGTTGAACGTTCCCTTAGACAGAGCAGATTTGAAACACTCTTTTTGTGCAATTGGCAAGTGGAGATTTCAAGCGCTTTAAGGTCAATGGCAGAAAAGGAAATATCTTCGTTTCAAAACTAGACAGAATCATTCCCACAAACTGCGTTGTGATGTGTTCGTTCAACTCACAGAGTTTAACCTTTCTTTTCATAGAGCAGTTAGGAAACAGTCTGTTTGAAAATTCTGTAAGTAGATATTCTGACAGCTTGTGGCCTTCGTTGGAAACGGGATTTCTTTATATTCTGCTAGACAGAAGAATTCTCAGTAACTTCCTTGTGTTGTGTGTATTCAACTCACAGAGTTGAACGATCCTTTACACAGACCAGACTTGTAACACTCTTTTTGTGGAATTTGCAAGTGGAGATTTCAGCCGCTTTGAAGTCATAGGTAGAAAAGGAAATATCTTCGTATAAAAACTAGACAGAATGATTCTCAGAAACTCGTTTGTGATGTGTGCGTTCAACTCACAGAGTTTAACCTTTCTTTTCATAGAGCAGTTAGGAAACACTCTGTTTGTAAAGTCTGCAAGTGGATATTCAGACCTCTTTGAGGCCTTCGTTGGAAACGGGGTTTTTTCATATAAGGCTAGACAGAAGAATTCCCAGTAACTTCCTTGTGTTGTGTGTGTTCAACTCACAGAGTTGAACTTTCAGTTACACAGAGCAGATTTGAAACACTCTTTTTGTGGAATTTGCAAGTGGAGATTTCAAGCGCTTTGAGGCCAAAGGCAGAAAAGGAAATATCTTCGTTTCAAAACTAGACAGAATGATTCTCAGAATCTCCTTTGTGATGTGTGCGTTCAACTCTCAGAGTTTAACTTTTCTTTTCATTCAGCGGTTTGGAAACACTCTGTTTGTTAAGTCTGCACGTGGATATTTTGACCACTTAGAGGCCTTCGTTGGAAACGGGTATTTTTCATGTAAGGCTAGACAGAAGAATTCCCAGTAACTTCCTTGTGTTGTGTGCATTCAACTCACAGAGTTGAACGTTCCCTTAGACAGAGCAGATTTGAAACACTCTATTTGTGCAATTGGCAAGTGGAGATTTCAAGCGCTTTAAGGTCAATGGCAGAAAAGGAAATATCTTCGTTTCAAAACTAGACAGAATCATTCCCACAAACTGCGTTGTGATGTGTTCGTTCAACTCACAGAGTTTAACATTTCTGTTCATAGAGCAGTTAGGAAACACTCTGTTTGTAAAGTCTGTAAGTGGATATTCAGACATCTTGTGGCCTTCGTTGGAAACGGGATTTCTTCCTATTCTGCTAGACAGAAGAATTCTCAGTAACTTCCTTGTGTTGTGTGTATTCAACTCACAGAGTTGAAGGATCCTTTACAGAGAGCAGGCTTGAAACACTCTTTTTGTCGAATTTGCAAGTGGAGATTTCAGCCGCTTTGAGGTCAATGGTAGAATAGGAAATATCTTCTTATAGAAACTAGACAGAAATGATTCTCAGAAACTCCTTTGTGATGTGTGTGTTCAACTCACAGAGTTTAACCTTTCTTTTCATAGAGCAGTTAGGAAACACTCTGTTTGTAAAGTCTGCAAGTGGATATTCAGACCTCTTTGAGGCCTTCGTTGGAAACGGGTTGTTTTCATATAAGGCTAGACAGAAGAATTCTCAGTAACTTCCTTGTGTTGTGTGTGTTCAATTCACAGAGTTGAACTTTCATTTACACAGAGCAGATTTGAAACACTCTTTTTGTGGAATTTGCAAGTGGAGATTTCACGCGCTTTGAGGCCAAAGGCAGAAAAGGAAATATCTTCGTTTCAAAACTAGACAGAATCATTCTCAGAAACTGCTCTGCGATGTGTGCGTTCCACTCTCAGAGTTTAACTTTTCTTTTCATTCAGCAGTTTGGAAACACTCTGTTTGTAAAGTCTGCACGTGGATATTTTGACCACTTAGAGGCCTTCGTTGGAAACGGGTTTTTTTCCTGTAAGGCTAGACAGAAGATTTCCCAGTAACTTCCTTGTGTTGTGTGCATTCAACTCACAGAGTTGAACGTTCCGTTAGACAGAGCAGATTTGAAACACTCTATTTGTGCAATTTGCAAGTGTAGATTTCAAGCGCTTTAAGGTCAATGGCAGAAAAGGAAATATCTTCGTTTCAAAACTAGACAGAACGATTCTCAGAAACTCCTTTGTGATGTGTGCGTTCAACTCACAGAGTTTAACCTTTCTTTTCATAGAGCAGTTAAGAAACACTCTGTTTGTAAAGTCTGCAAGTGGATATTCAGACCACTTTGAGGCCTTCGTTGGAAACGGGATTTCTTCATATTCTGCTAGACAGAAGAATTCTCAGTAACTTCCTTGTGTTGTGTGAATTCAACTCACAGAGTTGAACGATCCTTTACACAGAGCAGACTTGAAACACTCGTTTTGTGGAACTTGCAAGTGGAGATTTCAGCCGCTTTGTGGTCAATAGTAGAATAGGAAATATCTTCCTATAGAAACTAGACAGAATGATTCTCAGAAAATCCTTTGTGATGTGTGCGTTCAACTCACAGAGTTTAACATTTCTTTTCATAGAGCAGTTAGGAAACACTCTCTTTGTAAAGTCTGCAAGTGGATATTCAGACCTCTTTGAGGCCTTCGTTGGAAACGGGATTTCTTCATATTCTGCTAGACAGAAGAATTCTCAGTAACTTCCTTGTGTTGTGTGTATTCAACTGACAGAGTTGAACTTTCATTTAGAGAGAGCAGATTTGAAACACGGTTTTTGCGGAATTTGCAAGTGGAGATTTCAAGCGCTTTGGGGCCAAAGGCAGAAAAGGAAATATCTTCGTATAAAAACTAGACAGAATCATTCTCAGAAACTGCTCTGCGATGTGTGCGTTCAACTCTCAGAGTTTAACTTTTCTTTTCATTCAGCAGTTTGGAAACACTCTGTTTGTAAAGTCTGCACGTGGATAACTTGACCACTTAGAGGCCTTCGTTGGAAACGGGTTTTTTTCCTGTAAGGCTAGACAGAAGAATTCCCAGTAACTTCCTTGTGTTGTGTACATTCAACTCACAGAGTTGAACGTTCCCTTAGAGCAGATTTGAAACACTCTTTTTGTGCAATTGGCAAGTGGAGATTTCAAGCGCTTTAAGGTCAATGGCAGTAAAAGAAATATCTTCGTTTCAAAACTAGACAGAATGATTCTCATAAACTCCTTTGTGATGTGTGCGTTCAACACACAGAGTTTAACCTTTCTGTTCATAGAGCAGTTAGGAAACACTCTGTTTGTAAAGTCTGTAAGTGGATATTCTGACATCTTGTTGCCTTCGCTGGAAACGGGATTTCTTCATATTCTGCTAGACAGAAGAATTCTCAGTAACTTCCTTGTGTTGTGTGTATTCAACTCACAGAGTTGAACGATCCTTTACACAGAGCATACTTGAAACACTCTTCTTGTGGAATGTGCAAGTGGAGATTTCAGCCGCTTTGAGGTCCATGGTAGAATAGGAAATATCTTCCTATAGAAACTAGACAGAATGATTCTCATGAACTCCTTTGTGATGTGTGCGTTCAACTCACAGAGTTTAACCTTTCTTTTCATAGAGCAGTTAGGAAACACTCTGTTTGTAAAGTCTGCAAGTGGATATTCAGACCTCCTTGAGGCCTTCGTTGGAAACGGGATTTCTTCATATTCTGCTAGACAGAAGAATTCCCAGTAACTTCCTTGTGTTGTGTGTGTTCAACTCACAGAGTTGAACTTTCCTTTACACAGAGCAGATTTGAAACACTCTTTTTGTGGAATTTGCAAGTGGAGATTTCAAGCGCTTTGAGGCCAAAGGCAGAAAAGGAAATATCTTCGTATAAAAACTAGACAGAATCATTCTCAGAAACTGCTCTGCGATGTGTGCGTTCAACTCTCAGAGTTTAACTTTTCTTTTCATTCAGCAGTTTGGACACACTCTGTTTGTAAAGTCTGCACGTGGATAATTTGACCACTTAGAGGCCTTCGTTGGAAACGGGTTTTTTTCATGTAAGGCTAGACAGAAGAATTCCCAGTAACTTCCTTGTGTTGTGTACGGTTCAACTCACAGAGTTGAACGTTCCCTTAGACAGAGCAGATTTGAAACACTCTTTTTGTGCAATTGGCAAGTGGAGATTTCAAGCGCTTTAAGGTCAATGGCAGAAAAGGAAATATCTTCGTTTCAAAACTAGACAGAATCATTCCCACAAACTGCGTTGTGATGTGTTCGTTCAACTCACAGAGTTTAACCTTTCTGTTCATAGAGCAGTTAGGAAATACTCTGTAAAGTCTGTAAGTGGATATTCTGACATCTTGTGGCCTTCGTTGGAAACGGGATTTCTTCATATTCTGCTAGACAGAAGAATTCTCAGTAACTTCCTTGTGTTGTGTGTATTCAACTCACAGAGCTGAACGATCCTTTACACAGAGCAGACTTGAAACACTCTTTTTGTGGAATTTGCAAGTGGAGATTTCAGCCGCTTTGAGGTCAATGGTAGAAAAGGAAATATCTTCGTATAAAGACTAGACAGAATGATTCTCAGAAACTCCTTTGTGATGTGTGCGTTCAACTCACAGAGTTTAACTTTTCTTTTCATAGAGCAGTTAGGAAACACTCTGTTTGTAATGTCTGCAAGTGGATATTCAGACCTCTTTGAGGCCTTCGTTGGAAACGGGAATTCTTCATATTATGCTAGACAGAAGAATTCTCAGTAACTTCCTTGTGTTGTGTTTATTCAACTCACAGAGTTGAATGATCCTTTACACAGAGCAGTCTTGAAACACTCTTTTTGTGGAATTTGCAAGTGGAGATTTCAGCCGCTTTGAGGTCAATGGTAGAATAGGAAATATCTTCCTATAGAAAATAGACAGAATCATTCTCAGAAACTGCTGCGTGATGTGTGCGTTCAACTCTCAGAGTTTAACTTTTCTTTTCATTCAGCGGTTTGGAAACACTCTGTTTGTAAAGTCTGCACGTGGATATTTTGACCACTTAGAGGCCTTCGTTGGAAACGGGTTTTTTTTCATGTAAGGCTAGACAGAAGAATTCCCAGTAACTTCCCTTGTGTTGTGTGCATTCAACTCACAGAGTTGAACGTTCCCTTAGACAGAGCAGATTTGAAACACTCTATTTGTGCAATTTGAAAGTGTAGATTTCAAGCGCTTTAAGGTCAACGGCAGAAAAGGAAATATCTTCGTTTCAAAACTAGACAGAATCACTCCCACAAACTGCGTTGTGATGTTTTCGTTCAACTCACAGAGTTTAACCTTTCTTTTCATAGAGCAGTTAGGAAACAGTCTGTTTGAAAATTCTGTAAGTGGATATTCTGACATCTTGTGGCCTTCGTTGGAAACGGGATTTCTTCATATTCTGCTAGACAGAAGAATTCTCAGTAACATTCCTTGTGTTGTGTGTATTCAACTCACAGAGTTGAACGATCCTTTACACAGAGCAGACTTGAAACACTCTTTTTGTGGAATTTGCAAGTGGAGATTTCAGCCGCTTTGAGGTCAATGGTAGAATAGGAAATATCTTCCTATAGAAACTAGACAAAATGATTCTCATAAACTCCTTTGTGATGTGTGCGTTCAACTCACAGAGTTTAACCTTTCTTTTCTTAGAGCAGTTAGGAAACACTCTGTTTGTAAAGTCTGCAAGTGGATATTCAGACCTCTTTGAGGCCTTCGTTGGAAACGGGATTTCTTCATATTCTGCTAGACAGAAGAATTCTCAGTAACTTCCTTGTGTTGTGTGTATTCAACTGACAGAGTTGAACTTTCATTTAGAGACAGCAGATTTGAAACACTGTTTTTGTGGAATTTGCAAGTGGAGATTTCAAGCGCTTTGGGGCCAAAGGCAGAAAAGGAAATATCTTCGTATAAAAACTAGACAGAATCATTCTCAGAAACTGCTGCGTGATGTGTGCGTTCAACTCTCAGAGTTTAACTTTTCTTTTCATTCAGCGGTTTGGAAACACTCTGTTTGTAAAGTCTACACGTGGATATTCTGACCACTTAGAGGCCTTCGTTGGAAACGGGTTTTTTGCATGTAAGGCTAGACAGAAGAATTCCCAGTAACTTCCTTGTGTTGTGTGCATTCAACTCACAGAGTTGAACGTTCCCTTAGACAGAGCAGATTTGAAACACTCTATTTGTGCAATTTGCAAGTGTAGATTTCAAGCGCTTTAAGGTCAATGGCAGAAAAGGAAATATCTTCGTTTCAAAACTAGACAGAATCATTCCCACAAACTGTGTTGTGATGTGTTCGTTCATCTCACAGAGTTTAACCTTTCTTTTCATAGAGCAGTTAGGAAACACTATGTTTGTAAATTCTGTAAGTGGATATTCTGACATCTTGTGGCCTTCGTTGGAAACGGGATTTCTTCATATTCTGCTAGACAGAAGAATTCTCAAGTAACTTCCTTGTGTTGTGTGTATTCAACTCACAGAGTTGAACGATCCTTTACACAGAGCAGACTTGAAACATTCTTTTTGTGGAATTGGCAAGTGGAGATTTCAGCCGCTTTGAGGTCAATGGTAGAATAGGAAATATCTTCCTATAGAAACTAGACAGAATGATTCTCAGAAACTCCTTTGAGATGTGTGCTCTCAACTCACAGAGTTTAACCTTTCTTTTCATAGAGCAGTTAGGAAACACTCTGTTTGTAAAGTCTGCAAGTGGATATTCAGACCTCTTTGAGGCCTTCGTTGGAAACGGGTTTTTTTCATATAAGGCTAGACAGAAGAATTCTCAAGTAACTTCCTTGTGTTGTGTGTATTCAACTGACAGAGTTGAACTTTCATTTAGAGAGAGCAGATTTGAAACACTGTTTTTGTGGAATTTGCAAGTGGAGATTTCAAGCGCTTTGGGGCCAAAGGCAGAAAAGGAAATATCTTCGTATAAAAACTAGACAGAATCATTCTCAGAAACTGCTCTGCGATGTGTGCGTTCAACTCTCAGAGTTTAACTTTTCTTTTCATTCAGCAGTTTGGAAACACTCTGTTTGTAAAGTCTGCACGTGGATATTTTGACCACTTAGAGGCCTTCGTTGGAAACGGGTTTCTTTCCTGTAAGGCTAGACAGAAGAATTCCCAGTAAATTCCTTGTGTTGTGTGCATTCAACTCACAGAGTTGAACGTTCCCTTAGACAGAGCAGATTTGAAACACTCTATTTGTGCAATTTGCAAGTGTAGATTTCAAGCGCTTTAAAGGTCAATGGCAGAAAAGGGAATATCTTCGTTTCAAAACTAGACAGAATCATTCCCACAAACTGCGTTGTGATGTGTTCGTTCAACTCACAGAGTTTAACCTTTCTGTTCATAGAGCAGTTAGGAAACACTCTGTTTGTAAAGTCTGCAAGTGGATATTCAGACCTCTTGAAGGCCTTCGTTGGAAACGGGATTTCTTCATATTCTGCTAGACAGAAGAATACCTAGTAACTTCCTTGTGTTGTGTGCATTCAACTCACAGAGTTGAACGATCCTTTACAGAGAGCAGGCTTGAAACACTCTTTTTGTGGAATTTGCAAGTGGAGATTTCAGCCGCTTTGAGGTCAATGGTAGAATAGGAAATATCTTCCTATAGAAACTAGACAGAATGATTCTCAGAAACTCCTTTGTGATGTGTGCGTTCAACTCACAGAGTTTAACCTTTCTTTTCATAGAGCAGTTAGGAAACACCCTGTTTGTAAAGTCTGCAAGTGGATATTCAGACATCCTTGAGGCTTTCGTTGGAAACGGGATTTCTTCATATTATGCTAGACAGAAGAATTCCCAGTAACTCCCTTGTGTTGTGTGTGTTCAACTCACAGAGTTGAACTTTCATTTACACAGAGCAGATTTGAAACACTCTTTTTGTGGAATTTGCAAATGGAGGTTTCAAGCGCTTTGAGGCCAAAGGCAGAAAAGGAAATATCTTCGTATAAAAACTAGACAGAATCATTCTCAGAAACTGCTCTGCGATGTGTGCGTTCAACTCTCAGAGTTTAACTTTTCTTCTCATTCAGAAGTTTGGAAACACTCTGTTTGTAAAGTCTGCACGTGGATAACTTGACCACTTAGAGGCCTTCGTTGGAAACGGGTTTTTTTCATGTAAGGCTAGACAGAAGAATTCCCAGTAACTTCCTTGTGTTGTGTGCATTCAACTCACAGAGTTGAACGTTCCCTTAGACAGAGCAGATTTGAAACACTCTATTTGTGCAATTTGCAAGTGTAGATTTCAAGCGCTTTTAAGGTCAACGGCAGAAAAGGAAATATCTTCGTTTCAAAACTAGACAGAATCATTCCCACAAACTGCGTTGTGATGTGTTCGTTCAACTCACGGACTTTAACCTTTCTGTTCATAGAGCAGTTAAGAAACACTCTGTTTGTAAAGTCTGCAAGTGGATATTCAGACCTCCTAGAGGCCTTCATTGGAAACGGGATTTCTTCATATTCTGCTAGACAGAAGAATTCTCAGTAACTTCCTTGTGTTGTGTGTATTCAACTCACAGAGTTGAACGATCCTTTACACAGAGCAGACCTGTAACACTCTTTTTGTGGAATTTGCAAGTGGAGATTTCAGCCGCTTTGAAGTCAAAGGTAGAAAAGGAAATATCTTCCTATAAAAACTAGACAGAATGATTCTCAGAAACTCCTTTGTGATGTGTGCGTTCAACTCACAGAGTTCAACCTTTCTTTTCATAGAGCAGTTGGGAAACACTCTGTTTGTAAACTCTGCAAGTGGATATTCAGACTTCTTTGAGGCCTTCGTTGGAAGCGGGATTTCTTCATATTCTGCTAGACAGAAGAATTCTCAGTAACTTTCCTTGTGTTGTGTGTATTCAACTCACAGAGTTGAACGATCCTTTACACAGAGCAGACTTGAAACACTCTTTTTGTGGAATTTGCAAGTGGAGATTTCAAGCGCTTTGGGGCCAAAGGCAGAAAAGGAAATATCTTCGTATAAAAACTAGACAGAATCATTCTCAGAAACTGCTCTGCGATGTGTGCGTTCAACTCTCAGAGTTTAACGTTTCTTTTCATTCAGCAGTTTGGAAACACTCTGTTTGTAAAGTCTGCACGTGGATATTTTGACCACTTAGAGGCCTTCGTTGGAAACGGGTTTTTTTCCTGTAAGGCTAGACAGAAGAATTCCCAGTAACTTCCTTGTGTTGTGTACATTCAACTCACAGAGTTGAACGTTCCCTTAGACAGAGCAGATTTGAAACACACTTTTTGTGCAATTGGCAAGTGGAGATTTCAAGCGCTTTAAGGTCAATGGCATAAAAGGAAATATCTTCGTTTCAAAACTAGACAGAATCATTCCCACAAACTGCGTTGTGATGTGTTCGTTCAACTCACAGAGTTTAACCTTTCTTTTCATAGAGCAGTTAGGAAACAGTCTGTTTGTCAATTCTGTAAGTGGATATTCTGACATCTTGTGACCTTCGTTGGAAACGGGATTTCTTCATATTCTGCTAGACAGAAGAATTCTCAGTAACTTCCTTGTGTTGTGTGTATTCAACTCACAGAGTTGAACGATCCTTTACACAGAGCAGACTTGAAACACTCTTTTTGTGGAATTTGCAAGTGGAGATTTCAGCCGCTTTGAGGTCAATAGTAGAAAAGTAAATATCTTCGTAGAAAAACTAGACAGAATGATTCTCAGAAACTCCTTTGTGATGTGTGCGTTCAACTCACAGAGTTTAACCTTTCTGTTCATAGAGCAGTTAGGAAACACTCTGTTTGTAAAGTCTGCAAGTGGATATTCAGACCTCTTTGAGGCCTTCGTTGGAAACGGGAATTCTTCATATTCTGCTAGACAGAAGAATTCTCTGTAACTTCCTTGTGTTGTGTGTATTCAACTGACAGAGTTGAACTTTCATTTAGAGAGAGCAGATTTGAAACACTGTTTTTGTGGAATTTGCAAGTGGAGATTTCAAGCGCTTTGGGGCCAAAGGCAGAAAAGGAAATAACTTCGTATAAAAACTTGACAGAATGATTCTCAGAAACTCCTTTGTGATGTGTGTGTTCAACTCACAGAGTTTAACCTTTCTTTTCATAGAGCAGTTAGGAAACACTCTGTTTGTAAGGTCTGCAAGAGGATATTCAGACCTCTTTGAGGCCTTCGTTGGAAACGGGTTTTTTTCATATAAGGCTAGACAGAAGAATTCCCAGTAACTTCCTTGTGTTGTGTGTGTTCAACTCACAGCAGTTGAACTTTCATTTACACAGAGCAGATTTGAAACACTCTTTTTGTGGAATTTGCAAATGGAGATTTCAAGCGCTTTGAGGCCAAAGGCAGAAAAGGAAATATCTTCGTTTCAAAACTAGACAGAATCATTCTCAGAAACTGCTCTGCGATGTGTGCGTTCAACTCTCAGAGTTTAACTTTTCTTGTCATTCAGCAGTTTGGAAACACTCTTTTTGTAAAGTCTGCACGTGGATATTTTGACCACTTAGAGGCCTTCGTTGGAAACGGGTTTTTTTCATGTAAGGCTAGACAGAAGAATTCTCAGTAACTTCCTTGTGTTGTGTGTATTCAACTCACAGAGTTGAACGATCCTTTACACAGAGCAGACTTGAAACACTCTTTTTGTGGAATTTGCAACTGGAGATTTCAGCCGCTTTGAGGTCAAAGGTAGAAAAGGAAACTATCTTCGTAGAAAAATTAGACAGAATGATTCTCAGAAACTTCTTTGTGATGTGTGCGTTCAACTCACAGAGTTTAACCTTTCTTTTCATAGAGCAGTTAGGAAACACTCTGTTTGTAAAGTCTGCAAGTGGATATTCAGACCTCTTTGAGGCCTTCGTTGGAAACGGGATTTCTTCATACTATGCTAGACACAAGAATTCCCAGTAACTTCCTTGTGTTGTGTGTGTTCAACTCACAGAGTTGAACTTTCATTTACACAGAGCAGATTTGAAACACTCTTTTTGTGGAAATTGCAAATGGAGATTTCAAGCGCTTTGAGGCCAAAGGCAGAAAAGGAAATATCTTCGTATAAAAACTAGACAGAATCATTCTCTGAAACTGCTCTGCGATGTGTGCCTTCAGCGCTCAGAGTTTAACTTTTCTTTTCATTCAGCAGTTTGGAAACACTCTGTTTCTAAAGTCTGCACGTGGATATTTTGACCACTTAGAGGCCTTCGTTGGAAACGGGTTTTTGTCATGTAAGGCTAGACAGAAGAATTCCCAGTAACTCCCTTGTGTTGTGTACATTCAACTCACAGAGTTGAACGTTCCCTTAGACAGAGCAGATTTGAAACACTCTTTTTGTGCAATTGGCAAGTGGAGATTTCAAGCGCTTAAGGTCAATGGCAGAAAAGGAAATATTTCCGTTTCAAAACTAGACAGAAATGATTCTCAGAAACTCCTTTGTGATGTGTGTGTTCAACTCACAGAGTTTAACCTTTCTTTTCATAGAGCAGTTAGGAAACACTCTGTTTGTAAAGTCTGCAAGTGGATATTCAGACCTCCTTGAGGCCTTCGTTGGAAACGGGATTTCTTCATATTCTGCTAGACAGAAGAATTCTCAGTAACTTCCTTGTGTTGTGTGTATTCAACTCACAGAGTTGAACGATCCTTTACACAGAGCAGACTTGGAACACTCTTTTTGTGGAATTTTCAAGTGGAGATTTCAGCCGCGTTGAGGTCAATGGTAGAAAAGGAAATATCTTCGTATAAAAACTAGACAGAACGATTCTCAGAAACTCCTTTGTGATGTGTGCGTTCAACTCACAGACTTTAACCTTTCTTTTCATAGAGCAGTTAGGAAACACTCTGTTTGTAAAGTCTGCAAGTGGATATTCAGACCTCTTTGAGGCCTTCGTTGGAAACGGGATTTCTTCATATTCTGCTAGACAGAAGAATTCCTCAGTAACTTTCTTGTGTTGTGTGTATTCAACTGACAGAGTTGAACTTTCATTTAGAGAGACCAGATTTGAAACACTGTTTTTGTGGAATTTGCAAGTGGAGATTTCAAGCGCTTTGGGGCCAAAGGCAGAAAAGGAAATATCTTCGTATAAAAACTAGACAGAATCATTCTCAGAAACTGCTGCGTGATGTGTGCGTTCAACTCTCAGAGTTTAACTTTTCTTTTCATTCAGCGGTTTGGAAACACTCTGTTTGTAAAGTCTGTACGTGGATATTTTGACCACTTAGAGGCCTTCGTTGCAAACGGGTTTTTTGCATGTAAGGCTAGACAGAAGAATTCCCAGTAACTTCCTTGTGTTGTGTGCATTCAACTCACAGAGTTGAACGTTCCCTTAGACAGAGCAGATTTGAAACACTCTATTTGTGCAATTTGCAAGTGTAGATTTCAAGCGCTTTAAGGTCAATGGCAGAAAAGGAAATTTCTTCGTTTTAAAACTAGACAGAATCATTCCCACAAACTGCGTTGTGATGTGTTCGTTCAACTCACAGAGTTTAACCTTTCTTTTCATAGAGAAGTTAGGAAACACTCTGTTTGTAAAGTCTGCAAGTGGATATTCAGACCTCCTTGAGGCCTTCGTTGGAAACGGGATTTCTTCATATTCTGCTAGACAGAAGAATTCTCAGAATCTTCCTTGTGTTGTGTGTATTCAACTCACAGAGTTGAACGATGGTTTACACAGAGCAGATTTGAAACACTCATTTGGTGGAATTTGCAAGTGGAGATTTCAGCCGCATTGAGGTCAATGGTAGAAAAGGAAATATCTTCGTATAACAACTAGACAGAATGATTCTCATAAACTCCTTTGTGATGTGTGCGTTCAACTCACAGAGTTTAACCTTTCTTTTCATAGAGCAGTTAGGAAACACTCTGTTTGAAAAGTCTGCAAGTGGATATTCAGACCACCTTGAGGCCTTCGTTGGAAACGGGATTTCTTCATATTCTGCTAGACAGAAGAATTCTCTGTAACTTCCTTGTGTTGTGTGTATTCAACTGACAGAGTTGAACTTTCATTTAGAGAGAGCAGGTTTGAAACACTGTTTTTGTGGAATTTGCAAGTGGAGATTTCAAGCGCTTTGGGGCAAAAGGCAGAAAAGGAAATATCTTCGTATAAAAACTAGACAGAATCATTCTCAGAAACTGCGCTGCGATGTGTGCGTTGAACTCTCAGAGTTTAACTTTTCTTTTCATTCAGCAGTTTGGAAACACTCTGTTTGTAAAGTCTGCACGTGGATATTTTGACCACTTAGAGTCCTTCGTTGGAAACGGGTTTTTTTCCTGTAAGGCTAGACAGAAGAATTCCCAGGAACTTCCTTGTGTTGTGTACATTCAACTCACAGAGTTGAACGTTCCCTTAGACAGAGCAGATTTGAAACACTCTTTTTGTGCAATTGGCAAGTGGTGATTTCAGCCGCTTTGAGGTCAATGGTAAAAAAGGAAATAACTTCCTATAAAAACTAGACAGAATCATTACCACAAACTGCGTTGTGATGTGTTCGTTCAACTCACAGAGTTTAACCTTTCTGTTCATAGAGCAGTTAGGAAACACTCTGTTTGTAAAGTCTGTAAGTGGATATTCTGACATCTTGTGGCCTTCGTTGGAAACGGGATTTCTTCATATTCTGCTAGACAGAAGAATTCTCAGTAACTTCCTTGTGTTGTGTGTATTCAACTCACAGAGTTGAACGATCCTTTACACAGAGCAGACTTCAAACACTCTTTTTGTGGAATTTGCAAGTGGAGATTTCAGCCGCTTTGAGGTCAATGGTAGAATAGGAAATATCTTCCTATAGAAACTAGACAGAATGATTCTGAGAAACTCCTTTGTGATGTGTGCATTCAACTCACAGAGTTTAACCTTTCTTTTCATAGAGCAGTTAGGAAACACTCTGTTTGTAAAGTCTGCAAGTGGATATTCAGACCTCCTTGAGGCCTTCGTTGGAAACGGGATTTCTTCATATTATGCTAGACAGAAGAATTTTCAGTAACTTCCTTGTGTTGTGTGTATTCAACTCACAGAGTTGAACGATCCTTTACACAGAGCAGACTTGAAACACTCTTTTTGTGGAATTTGCAAGTGGAGATTTCAGCCGCTTTGAGTTCAATGGTAGAATAGGAAATATCTTCCTATAGAAACTAGACAGAATCATTCTCAGAAACTGCTCTGCGATGTGTGCGTTCAACTCTCAGAGTTTAACTTTTCTTTTCATTCAGCAGTTTGGAAACACTCTGTTTTTTAAAGTCTGCACGTGGATATTTTGACCACTTAGAGGCCTTCGTTGGAAACGGGTTTTTTTCCTGTAAGGCTAGACAGAAGAATTCCCAATAACTTCCTTGTGTTGTGTACATTCAACTCACAGAGTTGAACGTTCCCTTAGACAGAGCAGATTTGAAACACTCTTTTTGTGCAATTGGCAAGTGGAGATTTCAAGCGCTTTAAGGTCAATGGCAGAAAAGGAAATATCTTCGTTTCAAAACTAGACAGAATGATTCTCAGAAACTCCTTTGTGATGTGTGCACTCAACTCACAGAGTTTAGCCTTTCTTTTCATAGAGCAGTTAGGAAACACTCTGTTTGTAAAGTCTGCAAGTGGATATTCAGACCTCTTTGAGGCCTTCGTAGGAAATGGGATTTCTTCATATTATGCTAGACAGAAGAATTCTCAGTAACTTCCTTGTGTTGTGTGTATTCAACTCACAGAGTTGAACGATCCTTTACACAGAGCAGACTTGAAACACTCTTTTTCTGGAATTTGCAAGTGGAGATTTCAGCCTCTTTGAGGTCAATGGTAGAAAAGGAAATATCTTCGTATAAAAACTAGACAGAATGATTCTCAGAAACTCCTTTGTGATGTGTGCGTGCAACTCACAGAGTTTAACCTTTCTTTTCATAGAGCAGTTAGGAAACACTCTGTTTGTAAAGTCTGCAAGTGGATATTCAGACATCTTTGAGGCTTTCGTTGGAAACGGGATTTTTTCATATTCTGCTAGGCAGAAGAATTCTCAGTAACTTCCTTGTGTTGTGTGTATTCAACTGACAGAGTTGAACTTTCATTTGGAGAGAGCAGATTTGAAACACTGTTTTTGTGGAATTTGCAAGTGGAGATTTCAAGCGCTTTGGGGCCAAAGGCAGAAAAGGAAATATCTTCGTATAAAAACTAGAAAGAATCATTCTCAGAAACTGCTCTGCGATGTGTGCGTTCAACTCTCAGAGTTTAACTTTTCTTTTCATTCAGCAGTTTGGAAACACTCTGTTTGGAAAGTCTGCACGTGGATATTTTGACCACTTAGAGGCCTTCGTTGGAAACGGGTTTTTTTCCTGTAAGGCTAGACAGAAGAATTCCCAGTAACTTCCTTGTGTTGTGTGTGTTCAACTCACAGAGTTGAACTTTCATTTACACAGAGCAGATTTGAAACACTCTTTTTGTGCAATTGGCAAGTGGAGATTTCAAGCGCTTTAAGGTCAATGGCAGAAAAGGAAATATCTTCGTTTCAAAACTAGACAGAATGATTCTCAGAAACTTCTTTGTGATGTGTGCGTTCAACTCACAGAGTTTAACCTTTCTTTTCATAGAGGAGTTAGGAAACACTCTGTTTGTAAAGTCTGCAAGTGGATATTCAGACCTCTTTGAGGCCATCGTTGGAAACGGGATTTCTTCATACTATGCTAGACAGAAGAATTCTCAGTAACTTCCTTGTGTTGTGTGTATTCAACTCACAGAGTTGAACGATCCTTTACACAGAGCAGACTTGTAACACTCTTTTTGTGGAATTTGCAAGTGGAGATTTCAGCCGCGTTGAGGTCAATGGTAGAAAAGGAAATATCTTCGTATAAAAACTAGACAGAATGATTCTCAGAAACTCCTTTGTGATGTGTGCGTTCAACTCACAGAGTTTAACCTTTCTTTTCATAGAGCAGTTAGGAAACACTCCGTTTCTAAAGTCTGCAAGTGGATATTCAGACCTCTTTGAGGCCTTCGTTGGAAACGGGTTTTTTTCATATAAGGCTAGAGAGAAGAATTCCCAGTAACTTCCTTGTGTTGTGTGTGTTCAACTCACAGAGTTGAACTTTCATTTACACAGAGCAGATTTGAAATACTCTTTTTGTGGAATTTGCAAGTGGAGATTTCAAGCGCTTTGAGGCCAAAGGCCGAAAAGGAAATATCTTCGTATAAAAACTAGACAGAATGATTCTCAGAAATTTCTTTGTGATGTGTGCGTTCAACTCACAGAGTTTAACTTTTCTTTTCATTCAGCAGTTTGGAAACACTCTGTTTGTAAAGTCTGCAAGTGGATATTCAGACCTCTTTGAGGCCTTCCTTGGAAACGGGTTTTTTTTCATGTAAGGCTAGACAGAAGAATTCCCAGTAACTTCCTTGTGTTGTGTACATTCAACTCACAGAGTTGAACGTTCCCTTAGACAAAGCAGATTTGAAACACTCTTTTTGTGCAATTGGCAAGTGGAGATTTCAAGCGCTTTAAGGTCAATGGCAGAAAAGGAAATATCTTCGTTTCAAAACTAGACAGAATGATTCTCAGAACCTCCTTTGTGATGTGTGCGTTCAACTCACAGAGTTGAACCTTTCTTTTCATAGAGCAGTTAGGAAACACTCTGTTTGTAAAGTCTGCAAGTGGATATTCAGACATCCTTGAGGCTTTCGTTGGAAACGGGATTTCTTCATATTCTGCTAGAAAGAAGAATTCTCAGTAACTTCTTTGTGTTGTGTTTATTCAACTCACAGAGTTGAACGATACTTTACACAGAGCAGACTTGATACACTCGTTTTGTGGAATTTGCAAGTGGAGATTTCAGCCGCTTTGAGGTCCATGGTAGAAAAGGAAATATCTTCGTATAAAAACTTGACAGAATGATTCTCAGAAACTCCTTTGTGATGTGTGCGTTCAACTCACAGAGTTTAACCTTTCTTTTCATAGAGCAGTTAGGAAACACTCTGTTTGTAAAGTCTGCAAGTGGATATTCGGACCTCCTTGAGGCCTTCTTTGGAAACGGGATTTCTTCTTATTATGCTAGACAGAAGAATTCTCAGTAACTTCCTTGTGTTGTGTGTATTCAACTCACAGAGTTGAACTTTCATTTAGAGAGAGCAGATTTGAAACACAGTTTTTGTGGAATTTGCAAGTGGAGATTTCAAGCGCTTTGGGGCCAAAGGCAGAAAAGGAAATATCTTCGTATAAAAACTAGACAGAATCATACTCAGAAACTGCTGCGTGATGTGTGCGTTGAACTCTCAGAGTTTAACTTTTCTTTTCATTCAGCGGTTTGGAAACACTCTGTTTGTAAAGTCTGCACGTGGATATTTTGACCACTTAGAGGCCTTCGTTGGAAACGGGTTTTTTTCATGTAAGGCTAGACAGAAGAATTCCCAGTAACTTCCTTGTGTTGTGTACATTCAACTCACAGAGTTGAACGTTCCCTTAGACAGAGCAGATTTGAAATACTCTTTTTGTGCAATTGGCAAGTGGAGATTTCAAGCGCTTTAAGGTCAATGGCAGAAAAGGAAATATCTTCGTTTCAAAACTAGACAGAATCATTCCCAAAAACTGCGTTGTGATGTGTTCGTTCATCTCACAGAGTTTAACCTTTCTTTTCATAGAGCAGTTAGGAAACACTCTGTTTGTAAATTCTGTAAGTGGATATTCTGACATCTTGTGGCCTTCGTTGGAAACGGGATTTCTTCATATTCTGCTAGACAGAAAAATTCTCAGTAACTTCCTTGTGTTGTGTGTATTCAACTCACAGAGTTGAACGATCCTTTACACAGAGCAGACTTGAAACACTCTTTTTGTGGAATTTGCAAGTGGAGATTTCAGCCGCTTTGAGGTCAATGGTAGAAAAGGAAATATCTTCCTATAGAAACTGGACAGAAAGATTCTCAGAAACTCCTTTGTGATGTGTGCGTTCAACTCACAGAGTTTAACCTTTCTTTTCATAGAGCAGTTAGGAAACACTCTGTTTGTAAAGTCTGCAAGTTCATATTCAGACCTCTTTGAGGCCTTCGTTGGAAACGGGTTTTTTTCATATAAGGCTAGAGAGAAGAATTCCCAGTAACTTCCTTGTGTTGTGTGTGTTCAACTCACAGAGTTGAACTTTCATTTACACAGAGCAGATTTGAAACACTCTTTTTGTGGAATTTGCAAATGGAGATTTCAGCCGCGTTGAGGTCAACGGTAGAAAAGGATATATCTTCGTTTCAAAACTAGACAGAATCATTCTCAGAAACTGCTCTGCGATGTGTGCGTTGAACTCTCAGAGTTTAACTTTTCTTTTCATTCAGCAGTTTGGAAACACTCTGTTTGTAAAGTCTGCACGTGGATATTTTGACCACTTAGAGGCCTTTGTTGGAAACGGGTTTTTTTCCTGGAAGGCTAGACAGAAGAATTCCCAGTAACTTTCCTTGTGTTGTGTGCATTCAACTCACAGAGTTGAACGTTCCCTTAGACAGAGCAGATTTGAAACACTCTATTTGTGCAATTGGCAAGTGTAGATTTCAAGCGCTTT
Source organism: Homo sapiens (assembly GCF_000001405.40). Classification (NCBI taxonomy): domain Eukaryota; kingdom Metazoa; phylum Chordata; class Mammalia; order Primates; family Hominidae; genus Homo; species Homo sapiens. The sequence continues at coordinate 26,282,746 of NC_000019.10, forward strand.
AAGGTCAATGGCAGAAAAGGAAATATCTTCGTTTCAAAACTAGACAGAATGATTCTCAGAAACTCCTTTGTGATGTGTGCCTTCAACTCACAGAGTTTAACTTTTCTTTTCATAGAGCAGTTAGGAAACACTCTGTTTCTAAAGTCTGCAAGTGGATATTCAGACCTCTTTGAGGCCTTCGTTGGAAACGGGATTTCTTCATATTCTGCTAGACAGAAGAATTCTCAGTAACTTCCGTGTGTTGCGTGTATTCAACTCACAGAGTTGAACGATCCTTTACACAGAGCAGACTTGAAACACTCTTTTTGTGGAATTTGCAAGTGGAGATTTCAGCCGCTTTGAGGTCAAAGTTAGAAAGGAAATATCTTCCTATAAAAACTAGACAGAATGATTCTCAGAAACTCCTTTGTGATGTGTGCGTTCAACTCACAGAGTTCAACCTTTCTTTTAATAGAGCAGTTGGGAAACACTCTGTTTGTAAAGTCTGCAAGTGGATATTCAGACTTCTTTGAGGCCTTCGTTGGAAGCGGGCTTTCTTCATATTCTGCTAGACAGAAGAATTCCCAGTAACTTCCATGTGTTGTGTGTGTTCAACTCACAGAGTTGAACGTTCCCTTAGACAGAGCAGATTTGAAACACTCTTTTTGTGGAATTTGCAAGTGGAGATTTCAAGCGCTTTGAGGCCAAAGGCAGAAAAGGAAATATCTTCGTATAAAAACTAGACAGAATCATTCTCAGAAACTGCTGCGTGATGTGTGCGTTCAAGTCTCAGAGTTTAACTTTTCTTTTCATTCAGCGGTTTGGAAACACTCTGTTTGTAAAGACTGCACGTGGATATTTTGACCACTTAGAGGCCTTCGTTGGAAACGGGTTTTTTTTCATGTAAGGCTAGACAGAAGAATTCCCAGGAACTTCCTTGTGTTGTGTACATTCAACTCACAGAGTTGAACGTTCCCTTAGACAGAGCAGATTTGAAACACTCTTTTTGTGCAATTGGCAAGTGGTGATTTCAGCCGCTTTGACGTCAATGGTAGAAAAGGAAATATCTTCGTATAAAAACTAGACAGAATCATTCCCACAAACTGCGTTGTGATGTGTTCGTTCAACTCACAGAGTTTAACCTTTCTTTTCATAGAGCACTTAGGAAACAGTCTGTTTGTAAATTCTGTAAGTGGATATTCTGACATCTTGTGGCCTTCGTTGGAAACGGGATTTCTTCATATTCTGCTAGACAGAATAATTCTCAGTAAGTTCCTTGTTTTGTGTGTATTCAACTCACAGAGTTGAAGGATCCTTTAGAGAGAGCAGGCTTGAAACACTCTTTTTGTCGAAATTGCAAGTGGAGATTTCAGCCGCTTTGAGGTCAATGGTAGAATAGGAAATATCTTCCTATAGAAACTAGACAGAATGATTCTCAGAAACTCCTTTGTGATGTGTGTGTTCAACTCACAGAGTTTAACCTTTCTTTTCATAGAGCAGTTAGGAAACACTCTGTTTGTAAAGTCTGCAAGTGGATATTCAGACCTCTTTGAGGCCTTCTTTGGAAACGGGATTTTTCATATAAGGCTAGACAGAAGAATTCCCAGTAACTTCCTTGTGTTGTGTGTGTTCAACTCACAGAGTTGAACTTTCATTTACACAGAGCAGATTTGAAACACTCTTTTTGTGGAATTTGCAGGTGGAGATTTCAAGCGCTTTGAGGCCAAAGGCAGAAAAGGAAATATACTTCGTATAAAAACTAGACAGAATCATTCTCAGAAACTGCTCTGCGATGTGTGCGTTCAACTCTCAGAGTTTAACTTTTCTTTTCATTCAGCAGTTTGGAAACACTCTGTTTGTAAAGTCTGCACGTGGATAATTTGACCACTTAGAGGCCTTCGTTGGAAACGGGTTTTTTTCATGTAAGGATAGACAGAAGAATTCCCAGTAACTTCCCTTGTGTTGTGTGCATTCAACTCACAGAGTTGAACGTTCCCTTAGACAGAGCAGATTTGAAACACTCTATTTGTGCAATTTGCAAGTGTAGATTTCAAGCGCTTTAAGGTCAATGGTAGAAAAGGAAATATCTTCGTTTTAAAACTAGACAGAATCACTCCCACAAACTGCGTTGTGATGTGTTCGTTCAACTCACAGAGTTTAACCTTTCTTTTCATAGAGCAGTTAGGAAACAGTCTGTTTGAAAATTCTGTAAGTGGATATTCTGACATCTTGTGGCCTTCGTTGGAAACGGGATTTCTTCATATTCTGCTAGACAGAAGAATTCTCAGAATCTTCCTTGTGTTGTGTGTATTCAACTCACAGAGTTGAACGATCCTTTACACAGAGCAGATTTGAAACACTCTTTTTGTGGAATTTGCAAGTGGAGATTTCAGCCGCTTTGAGGTCAATGGTAGAAAAGGAAATATCTTCCTATAAAAACTAGACAGAATGATTCTCAGAAACTCGTTTGTGATGTGTGCGTTCAACTCACAGAGATTAACTTTTCTTTTCATAGAGCAGTTAGGAAACACTCTGTTTGTAAAGTCTGCAAGTGGATATTCAGACCTCTTTGTGGCCTTCGTTGGAAACGGGATTTCTTCATATTATGCTAGACAGAAGAATTCTCAGTAACTTCCTTGTGTTGTGTGTATTCAACTGACAGAGTTGAACTTTCATTTAGAGAGAGCAGATTTGAAACACTGTTTTTGTGGAATTTGCAAGTGGAGATTTCAAGCGCTTTGGGGCCAAAGGCAGAAAAGGAAATATCTTCGTATAAAAAGTAGACAGAATCATTCTCAGAAACTGCTGCGTGATGTGTGCGTTCAACTCTCAGAGTTTAACTTTTCTTTTCATTCAGCAGTTTGGAAACACTCTGTTTGTAAAGTCTGCACGTGGAAATTTTGACCACTTAGAGGCCTTCGTTGGAAACGGGTTTTTTTCATGTAAGGCTAGACAGAAGAATTCCCAGTAACTTCCTTGTGTTATGTGCATTCAACTCACAGAGTTGAACGTTCCCTTAGACAGAGCAGATTTGAAACACTCTATTTGTGCAATTTGCAAGTGTAGATTTCAAGCGCTTTAAGGTCAATGGCAGAAAAGGAAATATCTTCGTTTCAAAACTAGACAGAATCATTCCCACAAACTGCGTTGTGATGTGTTCGTTCAACTCACAGAGTTTAACCTTTCTTTTCATAGAGCAGTTAGGAAACAGTCTGTTTGTAAATTCTGTAAGTGGATATTCTGATATCTTGTGGCCTTCGTTGGAAACGGGATTTCTTCATATTCTGCTAGACAGAAGAATTCTCAGTAACTTCTTTGTGTTGTGTGTATTCAACTCACAGAGTTGAGCGATCCTTTACACAGAGCAGACTTGAAACACTCGTTTTGTGGAATTTGCAAGTGGAGATTTCAGCCGCTTTGAGGTCAATGGTAGAAAAGGAAATATCTTCGTATAAAAACTAGACAGAATGATTCTCAGAAACTCCTTTGTGATGTGTGCGTTCAACTCACAGAGTTTAACCTTTCTTTTCATAGAGCAGTTAAGAAACACTCTGTTTGTAAAGTCTGCAAGTGGATATTCAGACCTCTTTGAGGCCTTCGTTGGAAACGGGATTTCTTCATATTCTGCTAGACAGAAGAATTCCCAGTAACTTCCCTTGTGTTGTGTGTGTTCAACTCACAGAGTTGAACTTTCATTTACACAGAGCAGATTTGAAACACTCTTTTTGTGGAATTTGCAAGTGGAGATTTCAAGCGCTTTCAGGCCAAAGGCAGAAAAGGAAATATCTTCGTATAAAAACTAGGCAGAATCATTCTCAGAAACTGCTCTGCGATGTGTGCGTTCAACTCTCAGAGTTTAACTTTTCTTTTCATTCAGCAGTTTGGAAACACACTGTTTGTAAAGTCTGCACGTGGATATTTTGACCACTTAGAGGCCTTCGTTGGAAACGGGTTTTTTTCCTGTAAGGCTAGACAGAAGAATTCCCAGTAACTTCCTTGTGTTGTGTACATTCAACTCACAGAGTTGAACGTTCCCTTAGACAGAGCAGATTTGAAACACTCTTTTTGTGCAATTGGCAAGTGGAGATTTCAAGCGCTTTGAGGTCAATGGCAGAAAAGGAAATATCTTCGTTTCAAAACTAGACAGAATGATTCTCAGAAACTCCTTTGTGATGTGTGCGTTCAACTCACAGAGTTTAAGTTTTCTTTTCATAGAGCAGTTAGGAAACACTCTGTTTGTAAAGTCTGCAGGTGGATATTCAGACCTCTTTGAGGCCTTCGTTGGAAAAGGGATTTCTTCATATTATGCTAGACAGAATAATTCTCAGTAACTTCCTTGTGTTGTGTGTATTCAACTCAGAGTTGTACGATCCTTTACAGAGAGCAGACTTGAAACACTCTTTTTGTGGAATTTGCAAGTGGAGATTTCAGCCGCTTTGAGGTCAATGGTAGAACTAGGAAATATCTTCCTATAGAAACTAGACAGAATGATTCTCAGAAACTCCTTTGTGATGTGTGTGTTCAACTCACAGAGTTTAACCTTTCTTTTCATAGAGCAGTTAGTAAACACTCTGTTTATAAAGTCTGCAAGTGGATATTCAGAGCCCTTTGTGGCCTTCGTTGGAAACGGGGTTTCTTCATATTATGCTAGACAGAAGAATTCCCAGTAACTTCCTTGTGTTGTGTGTGTTCAACTCACAGAGTTGAACTTTCATTTACACAGAGCAGATTTGAAACACTCTTTTTGTGGAATTTGCAAGTGGAGATTTCAAGCGCTTTAAGGCCAAAGGCAGAAAAGGAAATATCTTCGTTTCAAAACTAGACAGAATCATTCTCAGAAACTGCTGCGTGATGTGTGCGTTCAACTCTCAGAGTTTAACTTTTCTTTTCATTCAGCGGTTTGGAAACACTCTGTTTGTAAAGTCTGCAAGTGGATATTCAGACCTCTTTGAGGCCTTCGTTGGAAACGGGATTTCTTCATATTATGCTAGACAGAAGAATTCCCAGTAACTTCCTTGTGTTGTGTACATTCAACTCACAGAGTTGAACGTTCCCTTAGACAGAGCAGATTTGAAACACTTTTTTTGTGCAATTGGCAAGTGGTGATTTCAACCGCTTTGAGGTCAATGGTAGAAAAGGAAATATCTTCGTATAAAAACTAGACAGAATCATTCCCACAAACTGCGTTGTGATGTGTTCGTTCAACTCACAGAGTTTAACCTTTCTGTTCATAGAGCAGTTAGGAAACACTCTGTTTGTAAAGTCTGCAAGTGGATATTCAGACCTCCTTGAGGCTTTCGTTGGAAACGGGATTTGTTCATATTCTGCTAGACAGAAGAATTCTCAGTAACTTCCTTGTGTTGTGTGTATTCAACTCACAGAGTTGAACGATCCTTTACACAGAGCAGACTTGAAACACTCTTTTTCTGGAATTTGCAAGTGGAGATTTCAGCCGCTTTGAGGTCAATGGTAGAAAAGGAAATATCTTCGTATAAAAACTAGACAGAATGATTCTCAGAAACTCCTTTGTGATGTGTGCGTTCAACTCACAGAGTTTAACCTTTCTTTTCATAGAGCAGTTAGGAAACACTCTGTTTGTAAAGTCTGCAAGTGGATATTCAGACCTCTTTGAGGCCTTCGTTAGAAACGGGATTTCTTCATATTATGCTAGACAGAAGAATTCTCAGTAACTTCCTTGTGTTGTGTGTATTCAACTGACAGTGTTGAACTTTCATTTAGAGAGAGCAGATTTGAAACACTGTTTTTGTGGAATTTGCAAGTGGAGATTTCAAGCGCTTTGGGGCCAAAGGCAGAAAAGGAAATATCTTCGTATAAAAACTAGACAGAATCATTCTCAGAAACTGCTGCGTGATGTGTGCGTTCAACTCTCAGAGTTTAACTTTTCTTTTCATTCAGCGGTTTGGAAACACTCTGTTCGTAAAGTCTGCACGTGGATATTTTGACCACTTAGAGGCCTTCGTTGGAAACGGGTTTTTTTCATGTTAGGCTAGACAGAAGAATTCCCAGTAACTTCCTTGTGTTGTGTACATTCAACTCACAGAGGTGAACGTTCCCTTAGACAGAGCAGATTTGAAACACTCTTTTTGTGCAATTGGCAAGTGGAGATTTCAAGCGCTTTAAGGTCAATGGCAGAAAAGGAAATATCTTCGTTTCAAAACTAGACAGAATGATTCTCAGAAACTCCTTTGTGATGTGTGCATTCAACTCACAGAGTTTAACCTTTCTTTTCATAGAGCAGTTAGGAAACACTCTGTTTGTAAAGTCTGCAAGTGGATATTCAGACCTCCTTGAGGCCTTCGTTGGAAACGGGATTTCTTCATATTCTGCTATACAGAAGAATTCTCAGAAACTTCCTTGTGTTGTGTGTATTCAACTCACAGAGTTGAACGATCGTTTACACAGAGCAGACTTGAGACACTCTTTTTGTGGAATTTGTAAGTGGAGATTTCAGCCGCTTTGAGGTCAATGGTAGAAAGGGAAATATCTTCATATAAAAACTAGACAGAATGATTCTCAGAACCTCCTTTGTGATGTGTGCGTTCAACTCACAGAGTTTAACCTTTCTTTTCATAGAGCAGTTAGGAAACACTCTGTTTGTAAAGTCTGCAAGTGGATATTCAGACCTCTTTGAGGCCTTCGTTGGAAACGGGATTTCTTCATATTATGCTAGACAGAAGAATTCTCAGTAACTTCCTTGTGTTGTGTGTATTCAACTCACAGAGTTGAACTTTCATTTACACAGAGCAGATTTGAAACACTCTTTTTGTGGAATTTGCAAGTGGAGATTTCAAGCGCTTTGAGGCCAAAGGCAGAAAAGGAAATATCTTCGTTTCAAAACTAGACAGAATCATTCTCAGAAACTGCTCTGCGATGTGTGCGTTCAACTCTCAGAGTTTAACTTTTCTTTTCATTCAGCAGTTTGGAAACACTCTGTTTGTAAAGTCTGCACGTGGATAACTTGACCACTTAGAGGCCTTCGTTGGAAACGGGTTTTTTTCCTGTAAGGCTAGACAGAAGAATTCCCAGGAACTTCCTTGTGTTGTGTACATTCAACTCACAGAGTTGAACGTTCCCTTAGACAGAGCAGATTTGAAACACTCTTTTTGTGCAATTGGCAAGTGGTGATTTCAGCCGCTTTGAGGTCAATGGTAGAAAAGGAAATATCTTCGTTTCAAAACCAGACAGAATGATTCTCAGAAACTCCTTTGTGATGTGTGCGTTCAACTCACAGAGTTTAACCTTTCTTTTCATAGAGCAGTTAGGAAACACTCTATTTGTAAAGTCTGCAAGTGGATATTCAGACATCCTTGAGTCTTTCTTTGGAAACGGGATTTCTTCATATTCTGCTAGAAAGAATAATTCTCAGTAACTTCCTTGTGTTGTGTGTATTCAACTCACAGAGTTGAACGATCCTTTACACAGAGCAGACTTGAAACACTCTTTTTGTGGAATTTGCAATTGGAGATTTCAGCCGCTTTGAGGTCAATGGTAGAATAGGAAATATCTTCCTATAGAAACTAGACAGAATGATTCTCAGAAACTCCTTTCTGATGTGTGTGTTCAACTCACAGAGTTTAAACTTTCTTTTCATAGAGCAGTTAGGAAACACTCTGTTTATAAAGTCTGCAAGTGGATATTCAGACCCCTTTGTGGCCTTCGTTGGAAACGGGATTTCTTCATATTATGCTAGACAGAAGAATTCTCAGTAACTTCCTTGTGTTGTGTGTATTGAACTCGCAGAGTTGAACGATCCTTTACACAGAGCAGACTTGAAACACTCTTTTTGTGGAATTTGCAAGTGGAGATTTCAGCCGCATTGAGGTCAATAGTAGAAAAGGAAATATCTTCGTAGAAAAACTAGACAGAATCATTCTCAGAAACTGCTCTGCGATGTGTGCGTTCAACTCTCAGAGTTTAACTTTTCTTTTCATTCAGCAGTTTGGAAACACTCTGTTTGTAAAGTCTGCACGTGGATATTTTGACCACTTAGAGGCCTTCGTTGGAAACGGGTTTTTTTCCTGTAAGGCTACACAGAGGAATTCCCAGTAACTTCCTTGTGTTGTGTACATTCAACTCACAGAGTTGAACGTTCCCTTAGACAGAGCAGATTTGAAACACTCTTTTTGTGCAATTGGCAAATGGAGATTTCAAGCGCTTTAAGTTCAATGGCAGAAAAGGAAATATCTTCGTTTCAAAACTAGACAGAATCATTCCCACAAACTGCGTTGTGATGTGTTCGTTCAAATCACAGAGTTTAACCTTTCTGTTCATAGAGCAGTTAGGAAACACTCTGTTTGTAAAGTCTGTAAGTGGATATTCTGACATCTTGTGGCCTTCGTTGGAAACGGGATTTCTTCATATTCTGCTAGACAGAAGAATTCTCAGTAACTTCCTTGTGTTGTGTGTATTCAACTCACAGAGTTGAACGATCCTTTACACAGAGCAGACTTGAAACACTCTTTTTGTGGAATTTGCAAGTGGAGATTTCAGCCGCTTTGAGGTCAATGGTAGAATAGGAAATATCTTCCTATAGAAAATAGACAGAATGATTCTCAGAAACTCTTTTATGATGTGTGCGTTCAACTCACAGAGTTTAACTTTTCTTTTCATAGAGCAGTTAGGAAACACTCTGTTTGTAAACTCTGCAAGTGGATATTCAGACCTCTTTGAGGCCTTCGTTGCAAACGGGATTTGTTCATATTATGCCTGACAGAAGAATTCTCAGTAACTTCCTTGTGTTGTGTGTATTCAACTCACAGAGTTGAACTTTCATTCACACAGAGCAGATTTGAAACACGCTTTTTATGGAATTTGCAAGTGGAGATTTCAAGCGCTTTGAGGCCAAAGGCAGAAAAGGAAATATCTTCGTTTCAAAACTAGACAGAATCATTCTCAGAAACTGCTCTGCGATGTGTGCGTTCAACTATCAGAGTTTAACTTTTCTTTTCATTCAGCAGTTTGGAAACACTCTGTTTGTAAAGCCTGCACGTGGATAATTTGACCACATAGAGGCCTTCGTTGGAAACGGGTTTTTTTCATGTAAGGCTAGACAGAAGAATTCCCAGTAACTTCCTTGTGTTGTGTGCATTCAACTCACAGAGTTGAACGTTCCCTTAGACAGAGCAGATTTGAAACACTCTATTTGTGCAATTTGCAAGTGTAGATTTCAAGCGCTTTAAGGTCAATGGCAGAAAAGGAAATATCTTCGTTTCAAAACTAGACAGAATGATTCTCAGAAACTCCTTTGTGATGTGTGCGTTCAACTCACAGAGTTCAACCTTTCTTTTCCTAGAGCAGTTGGGAAACACTCTGTTTGTAAAGTCTGCATGTGGATATTCAGACATCCTTGAGGCTTTCGTTGGAAACGGGATTTCTTCATATTCTGCTAGAAAGAAGAATTCTCAGTAACTTCCTTGTGTTGTGTGTATTCAACTCACAGAGTTGAACGATCCTTTACAGAGAGCAGACTTGACACACTCTTTTTGTGGAATTTGCAAGTGGAGATTTCAGCCGCTTTGTGGTCAATGGTAGAATAGGAAATATCTTCCTATAGAAACTAGACAGAATGATTCTCAGAAACTCCTTTGTGATGTGTGCGTTCAACTCACAGAGTTTAACCTTTCTTTTCATAGAGCAGTTAGGAAACTCTCTGTTTGTAAAGTCTGCAAGTGGATATTCAGACATCCTTGAGGCTTTCGTTGGAAACGGGATTTCTTCATATTCTGCTAGAAAGAAGAATTCCCAGTAACTTCCTTGTGTTGTGTGTGTTCAACTCACAGAGTTGAACTTTCATTTACACAGAGCAGATTTGAAACACTCTTTTTGTGGAATTTGCAAGTGGAGATTTCAAGCGCTTTGAGGCCAAAGGCAGAAAAGTAAATATCTTCGTTTCAAAACTAGACAGAATCATTCTCAGAAACTGCTGCGTGATGTGTGCGTTCAACTCTCAGAGTTTAACTTTTCATTTCATTCAGCGGTTTGGAAACACTCTGTTTGTAAAGTCTGCACGTGGAAATTTTGACCACTTAGAGGCCTTCGTTGGAAACGGGTTTTTTTCATGTAAGGCTAGACAGAAGAATTCCCAGTAACTTCCCTTGTGTTGTGTACATTCAACTCACAGAGTTGAACGTTCCCTTAGACAGAGCAGATTTGAAACACTCTTTTTGTGCAATTGGCAAATGGAGATTTCAAGCGCTTTAAGGTCAATGGCAGGAAAGGAAATATCTTCGTTTCAAAACTAGACAGAATCATTCCCACAAACTGCGTTGTGATGTGTTCGTTCAACTCACAGAGTTTAACCTTTCTGTTCATAGAGCAGTTAGGAAACACTCTCTTTGTAAAGTCTGTAAGTGGATATTCTGATATCTTGTGGCCTTCGTTGGAAACGGGATTTCTTCATATTATGCTAGACAGAAGAATTCTCAGTAACTTCCTTGTGTTTTGTGTATTCAACTCACAGAGTTGAACGATCCTTTACACAGAGCAGACTAGAAACATTCTTTTTGTGGAATTTGCAAGTGGAGATTTCAGCCGCTTTGAGGTCAATCGTAGAATAGGAAATATCTTCCTATAGAAACTAGACAGAACGATTCTCAGAAACTCCTTTGTGATGTGAGCGTTCAACTCACAGAGTTTAACCTTTCTTTTCTTAGAGCAGTTAGGAAACACTCTGTTTGTAAAGTCTGCAAGTGGATATTCAGACCTCTTTGAGGCCTTCGTTGGAAACGGGATTTCTTCATATTCTGCTAGACAGAAGAATTCTCAGTAACTTCCCTTGTGTTGTGTGTATTCAACTGACAGAGTTGAACTTTCATTTAGAGAGAGCAGATTTGAAACACTGTTTTTGTGGAATTTGCAAGTGGAGATTTCATGCGCTTTGGGGCCAAAGGCAGAAAAGGAAATATCTTCGTATAAAAACTAGACAGAATCATTCTCAGAAACTGCTCTGCGATGTGTGCGTTCAACTCTCAGAGTTTAACTTTTCTTTTCATTCAGCAGTTTGGAAACACTCTGTTTGTAAAGTCTGCACGTGGATAACTTGACCACTTAGAGGCCTTCGTTGGAAACGGGTTTTTTTTCCTGTAAGGCTAGACAGAAGAATTCCCAGGAACTTCCTTATGTTGTGTACATTCAACTCAGAGAGTTGAACGTTCCCTTAGACAGAGCAGATTTGAAACACTCTTTTTGTGCAATTGGCAAGTGGTGATTTCAGCCGGTTTGAGGTCAATGGTAGAAAAGGAAATATCTTCGTATAAAAACTAGACAGAATCATTCCCACAAACTGCGCTGTGATGTGTTCGTTCAACTCACAGAGTTTAACCTTTCTTTTCATAGAGCAGTTAGGAAACAGTCTGTTTGTAAATTCTGTAAGTGGATATTCTGACATCTTGTGGCCTTCGTTGGAAACGGGATTTCTTCATATGCTGCTAGACAGAAGAATTCTCAGTAACTTCCTTTTGTTGTGTGTATTCAACTCACAGAGTTGAACGATCCTTTACACAGAGCAGACTTGAAACACTCTTTTTGTGGAATTTGCAAGTGGAGATTTCAGCCGCTTTGAGGTCAATCGTAGAAAAGGAAATATCTTCGTAGAAAAACTAGACAGAATGATTCTCAGAAACTCCTTTGGGATGTGTGCGTTCAACTCACAGAGTTTAACCTTTCTTTTCATAGAGCAGTTAGGAAACACTCTGTTTGTAAAGTCTGCAAGTGGATATTCAGACCTCTTTGAGGCCTTCGTTGGAAACGGGATTTCTTCATACTGTGCTAGACAGAAGAATTCTCAGTAACTTCCTTGTGTTGTGTGTATTCAACTCACAGAGTTGAACGATCCTTTACACAGAGCGGACTTGAAACACACTTTTTGTGGAATTTGCAAGTGGAGATTTCAGCCGCGTTGAGGTCAATGGTAGAAAAGCAAATATCTTCGTATAAAAAATAGACAGAATCATTCTCAGAAACTGCTCTGCGATGTGTGCGTTCAACTCTCAGAGTTTAACTTTGCTTTTCATTCAGCAGTTTGGAAACACTCTGTTTGTAAACTCTGCACGTGGATAATTTGACCACTTAGAGGCCTTCGTTGGAAACGGGTTTTTTTCATGTAAGGCTAGACAGAAGAATTCCCAGTAACTTCCTTGTGTTGTGTACATTCAACTCACAGAGTTGAACGTTCCCTCAGACAGAGCAGATTTGAAACACTCTTTTTGTGCAATTGGCAAATGGAGATTTCAAGCGCTTTAAGGTCAATGGCAGAAAAGGAAATATCTTCGTTTCAAAACTAGACAGAATCATTCCCACAAACTGCGTTGTGATGTGTTCGTTCAACTCACAGAGTTTAACCTTTCTGTTCATAGAGCAGTTAGGAAACAGTCTGTTTGTCAATTCTGTAAGTGGATATTCTGACATCTTGTGGCCTTCGTTGGAAACGGGATTTCTTCATATTCTGCTAGACAGAAGAATTCTCAGAAACTTCGTTGTGTTGTGTGTTTTCAACTCACAGAGTTCAACGATCCTTTACACAGAGTAGACTTGAAACACTCTTTTTGTGGAATTGGCAGGGTGGAGATTTCAGCCGCTTTGAGGTCAATGGTAGAAAAGGAAATATCTTCGTATAAAAACTAGACAGAACGATTCTCAGAAACTCCATTGTGATGTGTGCGTTCAACTCACAGAGTTTAACCTTTCTTTTCATAGAGCAGTTAGGAAACACTCTGTTTGTAAAGTCTGCAAGTGGATATTCAGACCTCCTTGAGGCCTTCGTTGGAAACGGGATTTCTTCATATTCTGCTAGACAGAAGAATTCCCAGTAACTTCCTTGTGTTGTGTGTGTTCAACTCACAGTGTTGAACTTTCATTTACACAGAGCAGATTTGAAACACTCTTTTTGTGGAATTTGCAAGTGGAGATTTCAAGCGCTTTGAGGCCAAAGGCAGAAAAGGAAATATCTTCGTTTCAAAACTAGACAGAATCATTCTCAGAAACTGCTCTGCGATGTGTGCGTTCAACTCTCAGAGTTTAACTTTTCTTTTCATTCAGCAGTTTGGAAACACTCTGTTTGTAAAGTCTGCACGTGGATATTTTGACCACTTAGAGGCCTTCGTTGGAAACGGGTTTTTTTCCTGTAAGGATAGACAGAAGAATTCCCAGTAACTTCCTTGTGTTGTGTGCATTCAACTCACAGAGTTGAACGTTCCCTTAGACAGAGCAGATTTGAAACACTCTATTTGTTCAATTTGCAAGTGTAGATTTCAAGCGCTTTAAGGTCAATGACAGAAAAGGAAATATCTTCGTTTCAAAACTAGACAGAATCATTCCCACAAACTGCGTTGTGATGTGTTCGTTCAACTCACAGAGTTTAACCTTTCTGTTCATAGAGCAGTTAGGAAACACTCTGTTTGTAAAGTCTGCAAGTGGATATTCAGACCTCCTTGAGGCCTTCGTTGGAAAAGGGATTTCTTCATATTCTGCTAGACAGAAGAATTCTCAGAAACTTCCTTGTGTTGTGTGTTTTCAACTCACAGAGTTGAACGATCCTTTACACAGAGCAGACTTGAAACACTCCTTTTGTGGAATTTGCAAGTGGAGATTTCAGCCGCTTTGAGGTCAGTGGTAGATTAGGAAATATCTTCCTATAGAAACTAGACAGAATGATTCTCAGAAACTCCTTTGTGATGTGAGCGTTCAACTCACAGAGTTTAACCTTTCTTTTCATAGAGCAGTTAGGAAACACTCTGTTTGTAAAGTCTGCAAGTGGATATTCAGACATCCTTGAGGCTTTCGTTGGAAACGGGATTTCTTCATATTCTGCTAGAAAGAAGAATTCTCAGTAACTTCCTTGTGTTGTGTGTATTCAACTGACAGAGTTGAGCTTTCATTTGGAGAGAGCAGATTTGAAACACTGTTTTTGTGGAATTTGCAAGTGGAGATTTCAAGCGCTTTGGGGCCAAAGGCAGAAAAGGAAATATCTTCGTATAAAAACTAGACAGAATCATTCTCAGAAACTGCTCTGCGATGTGTGCGTTCAACTCTCAGAGTTTAACTTTTCTTTTCATTCAGCAGTTTGGAAACACTCTGTTTGTAAAGTCTGCACGTGGATATTTTGACCACTTAGAGGCCTTCGTTGGAAACGGGTTTCTTTCCTGTAAGGCTAGACAGAAGAATTCCCAGTAACTTCCTTGTGTTGTGTACATTCAACTCACAGAGTTGAACGTTCCCTTAGACAGAGCAGATTTGAAACACTCTTTTTGTGCAATTGGCAAGTGGAGATTTCAAGCGCTTTGAGGCCAAAGGCAGAAAAGGAAATATCTTCGTATAAAAACTAGACAGAATCATTCCCACAAACTGCGTTGTGATGTGTTCGTTCAACTCACAGAGTTTAACCTTTCCGTTCATAGAGCAGTTAGGAAACACTCTGTTTGTAAAGTCTGTAAGTGGATATTCTGACATCTTGTGGCCTTCGTTGGAAACGGGATTTCTTCATATTATGCTAGACAGAAGAATTCTCAGTAACTTCCTTGTGTTGTGTGTATTCAACTCACAGAGTTGAACGATTCTTTACACAGAGCAGACTTGAAACACTCTTTTTGTGGAATTTGCAAGTGGAGATTTCAGCCACTTTGAGGTCAATAGTAGAAAAGGAAATATCTTCGTAGAAAAACTAGACAGAATGATTCTCAGAAACTCCTTTGTGATGTGTGCGTTCAACTCACAGAGTTTAACCTTTCTTTTCATAGAGCAGTTAGGAAACACTCTGTTTGTAAAGTCTGCAAGTGGATATTCAGTCCTCCTTGAGGCCTTCGTTGGAAACGGGTTTTTTTCATATAAGTCTAGACAGAAGAATTCTCAGTAATTTCCTTGTGTTGTGTGTATTCAACTGACAGAGTTGAACTTTCATTTAGAGAGAGCAGATTTGAAACACTGTTTTTGTGGTATTTGCAAGTGGAGATTTCAAGCGCTTTGGGGCCAAAGGCAGAAAAGGAAATATCTTCGTATAAAAACTAGACAGAATCATTCTCAGAAACTGCTCTGCGATGTGTGCGTTCAACTCTCAGAGTTTAACTTTTCTTTTCATTCAGCAGTTTGGAAACACTCTGTTTGTAAAGTCTGCACGTGCATAATTTGACCACTTAGAGGCCTTCGTTGGAAACGGGTTTTTTTCATGTAAGGCTAGACAGAAGAATTCTCAGTAACTTCCTTGTGTTGTGTGTATTCAACTCACAGAGTTGAACGATCCTTTACACAGAGCAGACTTGAAACACTCTTTTTGTGGAATTTGCAGGTGGAGATTTCAGCCGCTTTGAGGTCAATGGTAGAATAGGAAATATCTTCCTATAGAAACTAGACAGAATGATTCTCAGAAACTCCTTTGTGATGTGTGCGTTCAACTCACAGAGTTTAACCTTCCAATTCATAGAGCAGTTAGGAAACACTCTGTTTGTAAAGTCTGCAAGTGGATATTCAGACCTCTTTGAGGCCTTCTTTGGAAACGGGATTTCTTCATTTTCTGCTAGACAGAAGAATTCTCAGTAACTTCTTTGTGTTGTGTGTATTCAACTCACAGAGTTGAACGATCCTTTACACAGAGCAGACTTGAAACACTCTTTTTGTGGAATTTCAAGTGGAGATTTCAGCCGCTTTGAGGTCAATGGTAGAATAGGAAATATCTTCCTATAGAAACTAGACAGAATGATTCTCAGAAAATCTTTTGTGATGTGTGCTTTCAACTCACAGAGTTTAACTTTTCTTCTCATAGAGCAGTTAGGAAACACTCTGTTTGTAAAGTCTGCAAGTGGATATTCAGACCTGTTTGAGGCCTTCGTTGGAAACGGGATTTCTTCATATTATGCTAGACAGAAGAATTCTCAGTAACTTCCTTGTGTTGTGTGTATTCAGCTGACAGAGTTGAACTTTCATTTAGAGAGAGCAGATTTGAAACACTGTTTTTGTGGAATTTGCAATTGGAGATTTCAAGCGCTTTGGGGCCAAAGGCAGAAAAGGAAATATCTTCGTATAAAAACTAGACAGAATCATTCTCAGAAACTGCTGCGTGATGTGTGCGTTCAACTCTCAGAGTTTAACTTTTCTTTTCATTCAGCGGTTTGGAGACACTCTGTTTGTAAAGTCTGCAAGTGGATATTTTGACCACTTAGAGGCCTTCGTTGGAAACGGGTTTTTTTCATGTAAGGCTAGACAGAAGAGTTCTCAGTAACTTCCTTGTGTTGTGTGTATTCAACTCACACAGTTGAACGATCCTTTACAGAGAGCGGACTTGTAACACTCTTTTTGTGGAATTTGCAAGTGGAGATTTCAGCCGCTTTGAAGTCAAAGGTAGAAAAGGGAATATCTTCCTATAAAAACTAGACAGAATCATTCCCAGAAACTGCGTTGCGATGTGTTCGTTCAACTCACAGAGTTTAACCTTTCTTTTCATAGAGCACTTAGGAAACAGTCTGTTTGTAAATTCTGTAAGTGGATATTCTGACATCTTGTGGCCTTCGTTGGAAACGGGATTTCTTCATATTCTGCTAGACAGAAGAATTCTCAGTAACTTCCTTGTGTTGTGTGTATGCATCTCACAGAGTTGAACGATCCTTTACACAGAGCAGACTTGAAACACTCTTTTTGTGGAATTTGCAAGTGGAGATTTCAGCCGCTTTGAGGTCAATGGTAGAAAAGGAAATATCTTCCTATAAAAACTAGACAGAATGATTCTCAGAAACTCCTTTGTGATGTGTGTGTTCAACTCGCAGAGTTTAACCTTTCTTTTCATAGAGCAGTTAGTAAACACTCTGTTTATAAAGTCTGCAAGTGGATATTCAGACCCCTTTGAGGCCTTCGTTGGAAACGGGATTTCTTCATATTATGCTAGACAGAAGAATTCTCAGAATCTTCCTTGTGTTGTGTGTATTCAACTCACAGAGTTGAACGATGGTTTACACAGAGCAGATTTGAAACACACTTTTTGTGGAATTTGCAAGTGGAGATTTCAAGCGCTTTGAGGCCAAAGGCAGAAAAGGAAATATCTTCGTATAAAAACTAGACAGAATCACTCTCAGAAACTGCTCTGCGATGTGTGCGTTCAACTCTCAGAGTTTAACTTTTCTTTTCATTCAGCAGTTTGGAAACACTCTGTTTGTAAAGTCTGCACGTGGATATTTTGACCAATCAGAGGCCTTCGTTGGAAACGGGTTTTTTTCCTGTAAGGCTAGACAGAAGAATTCTCAGTAACTTCCTTGTGTTGTGTGTATTCAACTGACAGAGTTGAACTTTCATTTAGAGAGAGGAGATTTGAAACACTGTTTTTGTGGAATTTGCAAGTGGAGATTTCAAGCGCTTTAAGGTCAATGGCAGAAAAGGAAATATCTTCGTTTCAAAACTAGACAGAATCATTCCCACAAACTGCGTTGTGATGTGTTCCTTCAACTCACAGAGTTTAAGCTTTCTGTTCATAGAGCAGTTAGGAAACACTCTGTTTGTAAAGTCTGTAAGTGGATATTCTGACATCTTGTGGCCTTCGTTGGAAACGGGATTTCTTCATATTATGCTAGACAGAAGAATTCTCAGTAACTTCCTTGTGTTGTGTGTATTCAACTCACAGAGTTGAACGATCCTTTACACAGAGCAGACTTGTAACACTCTTTTTGTGGAATTTGCAAGTGGAGATTTCAGGGGCTTTGAAGTCAAAGGTACAAAAGGAAATATCTTCCTATAAAAACTAGACAGAATGATTCTCAGAAACTCCTTTGTGATGTGTGCGTTCAACTCACAGAGTTTAACCTTTCTTTTCATAGAGCAGTTAGGAAACACTCTGTTTGTAAAGTCTGCAAGTGGATATTCAGACCTCTTTGAGGCCTTCGTTGGAAACGGGTTTTTTACATATAACGCTAAACAGAAGAATTCCCAGTAACTTCCTTGTGTTGTGTGTGTTCAACTCACAGAGTTGAACTTTCATTTACACAGAGCAGATTTGAAACACTCTTTTTGTGGAATTTGCAAGTTTAGATTTCAAGCGCTTTGAGGCCAAAGGCAGAAAAGGAAATATCTTCGTATAAAAACTAGACAGAATCATTCTCAGAAACTGCTCTGCGATGTGTGCGTTCAACTCTCAGAGTTCAACTTTTCTTTTCATTCAGCAGTTTGGAAACACTCTGTTTGTAAAGTCTGCACGTGGATAATTTGACTACTTAGAGGCCTTCGTTGGAAACGGGTTTTTTTCATGTAAGGCTACACAGAAGAATTCCCAGTAACTTCCTTGTGTTGTGTACATTCAACTCACAGAGTTGAACGTTCCCTTAGACAGAGCAGATTTGAAACACTCTTTTTGTGCAATTGGCAAATGGAGATTTCAAGCGCTTTAAGTTCAATGGCAGAAAAGGAAATATCTTCGTTTCAAAACTAGACAGAATCATTCCCACAAACTGCGTTGTGATGTGTTCGTTCAACTCACAGAGTTTAACCTTTCTTTTCATAGAGCAGTTAGGAAACAGTCTGTCAATTCTGTAAGTGGATATTCTGACCTCTAGTGGCCTTCGTTGGAAACGGGATTTCTTCATATTCTGCTAGACAGAAGAATTCTCAGAATCTTCCTTGTGTTGTGTGTATTCAACTCACAGAGTTGAACGATCCTTTACACAGAGCAGACTTGAAACACTCTTTTTGTGGAATTTGCAAGTGGAGATTTCAGCCGCTTTGAGGTCAATGGTAGAAAAGGAAATATTTTCGTATAAAAACTAGACAGAATGATTCTCATAAACTCCTTTGTGATGTGTGCGTTCAACTCACAGAGTTTAACCTTTCTTTTCATAGAGCAGTTAGGAAACACTCTGTTTGTAAAGTCTGCAAGTCGATATTCAGACCTCTTTGAGGCCTTCGTTGGAAACGGGATTTCTTCATATTCTGCTAGACAGAAGAATTCTCAGTAACTTCCTTGTGTTGTGTGTATTCAACTGACAGAGTTGAACTTTCATTTAGAGAGAGCAGATTTGAAACACTGTTTTTGTGGAATTTGCAAGTGGAGATTTCATGCGCTTTCGGGCCAAAGGCAGAAAAGGAAATATCTTCGTATAAAAACTAGACAGAATCATTCTCAGAAACTGCTCTGCGATGTGTGCGTTCAACTCTCAGAGTTTAACTTTTCTTTTCATTCAGCAGTTTGGAAACACTCTGTTTGTAAAGTCTGCACGTGGATATTTTGACCACTTAGAGGCCTTCGTTGGAAACGGTTTTTTTCATGTAAGGCTAGACAGAAGAATTCCCAGTAACTTCCTTGTGTTGTGTGCATTCAACTCACAGAGTTGAACGTTCCCTTAGACAGAGCAGATTTGAAACACTCTATTTGTGCAATTTGCAAGTGTAGATTTCAAGCGCTTTAAGGTCAACGGCAGAAAAGGAAATACCTTCGTTTCAAAAGTAGACAGAATCATTCCCACAAACTGCGTTGTGATGTGTTCGTTCAACTCACAGAGTTTAACCTTTCTTTTCATAGAGCAGTTAGGAAACAGTCTGTTTGTAAATTCTGTAAGTGGATATTCTGACATCTTGTGGCCTTCGTTGGAAACGGGATTTTATCATATTCTGCTAGACAGAAGATTCTCAGTAACTTCCTTGTGTTGTGTGTATTCAACTCACAGAGTTGAACGATCCTTTACACAGAGCGGACTTGAAACAAACTTTTTGTGGAATTTGCAAGTGGAGATTTCAGCCGCGTTGAGGTCAATGGTAGAAAAGGAAATATCTTCGTATAAAAACTAGACAGAATGATTCTCAGAAACTCCTTTGTGATGTGTGCGTTCAACTCACAGAGTTTAACCTTTCTTTTCATAGAGCAGTTAGGAAACACTCTGCTTGTAAAGTCTGCAAGTGGATATTCAGCCCTCTTTGAGGCCATCGTTGGAAACGGGTTTTTTTCATATAAGGCTAGACAGAAGAATTCTCAGTAACTTCCTTGTGTTGTGTGTATTCAAGTGACAGAGTTGAACTTTCATTTAGAGAGAGCAGATTTGAAACACTGTTTTTGTGGAATTTGCAAGTGGAGATTTCAAGCGCTTTGGGGCCAAAGGCAGAAAAGGAAATATCTTCGTATAAAAACTAGACAGAATCATTCTCAGAAACTGCTCTGCGATGTGTGCGTTCAACTCTCAGAGTTTAACTTTTCATTCAGCAGTTTGGAAACACTCTGTTTGTAAAGTCTGCGCGTGGATAACTTGACCATTTAGAGGCCTTCGTTGGAAACGGGTTTTTTTCATGTAAGGCTAGACAGAAGAATTCCCAGTAACTTCCTTGTGTTGTGTGCATTCAACTCACAGAGTTGAACGTTCCCTTGGACAGAGCAGATTTGAAACACTCTATTTGTGCAATTTGCAAGTGTAGATTTCAAGCGCTTTATGGTCAATGGCAGAAAAGGAAATATCTTCGTTTCAAAACTAGACAGAATCATTCCCACAAACTGCGTTGTGATGTGTTCGTTCAACTCACAGAGTTTAACCTTTCTGTTCATAGAGCAGTTAGGAAACGCTCTGTTTGTAAAGTCTGTAAGTGGATATTCTGACATCTTGTGGCCTTCGTTGGAAACGGGATTTCTTCATATTCTGCTAGACAGAAGAATTCTCAGTAACTTCCTTGTGTTGTGTGTATTCAACTCACAGAGTTGAACGATGCTTTACACAGAGCATACTTGAAACACTCTTCTTGTGGAATTTGCAAGTGGAGATTTCAGCCGCTTTGAGGTCAATGGTAGAATAGGAAATATCTTCCTATAGAAACTAGACAGAATGATTCTCAGAAACTTCTTTGTGATGTGTGCGTTCAACTCACAGAGTTTAACCTTTCTTTTCATAGAGCAGTTAGGAAACACTCTGTTTGTAAACTCTGCAAGTGGATATTCAGACCTCTTTGAGGCCTTCGTTGGAAACGGGATTTCTTCATACTATGCTACACAGAAGAATTCCCAGTAACTTCCTTGTGTTGTGTGTGTTCAACTCGCAGAGTTGAACTTTCATTTACACAGAGCAGATTTGAAACACTCTTTTTGTGGAATTTGCAAATGGAGATTTCAAGCGCTTTGAGGCCAAAGGCAGAAAAGGAAATATCTTCGTATAAAAACCAGACAGAATCATTCTCAGAAACTACTGCGTGATGTGTGCGTTCAACTCTCAGAGTTTAACTTTTCTTTTCATTCAGCGGTTTGGAAACACTTTGTTTGTAAAGTCTGCACGTGGATATTTTGACCACCTAGAGGCCTTCGTTGGAAACGGGTTTTTTTCATGTAAGGCTAGACAGAAGAATTCCCAGTAACTTCCTTGTGTTGTGTACATTCAACTCACAGAGTTCAACGTTCCCTTAGACAGAGCAGATTTGAAACACTCTTTTTGTGCAATTGGCAAGTGGAGATTTCAAGCGCTTTAAGGTCAATGGCAGAAAAGGAAATATCTTCGTTTCAAAACTAGACAGAATCATTCCCACAAACTGCGTTGTGATGTGTTCGTTCAACTCACAGAGTTTAACCTTTCTTTTCATAGAGCAGTTAGGAAACACTCTGTTGGTAAATTCTGTAAGTGGATATTCTGACATCTTGTGGCCTTCGTTGGAAACAGGATTTCTTCATATTCTGCTACACAGAAGAATTCTCAGAAACTTCCTTGTGTTGTGTGTATTCAACTCTCAGAGTTGAACGACCCTTTACACAGAGCAGACTTGAAACACTCTTTTTGTGGAATTTGCAAGTGGAGATTTCAGCCGCTTTGAGGTCAATGGTAGAAAAGGAAATATCTTCGTATAAAAACTAGACAGAATGATTCTCAGAAACTCCTTTGTGATGTGTGTGTTCAACTCTGAGAGTTTAACCTTTCTTTTCATAGAGCAGTTAGGAAACACTCTGTTTATAGAGTCTGCAAGTGGATATTCAGACCCCTTTGTGGTCTTCTTTGGAAACGGATTTCTTCATATTATGCTAGACAGAAGAATTCTCAGTAACTTCCTTGTGTTGTGTGTATTCAACTGACAGAGTTGAACTTTCATTTAGAGGGAGCAGATTAGAAACACTGTTTTTGTGGAATTTGCAAGTGCAGATTTCAAGCGCTTTGTGGCCAAAGGCAGAAAAGGAAATATCTTCGTATGAAAACTAGACAGAATCATTCTCAGAAACTGCTCTGTGATGTGTGCGTTCAACTCTCAGAGTTTAACTTTTCTTTTCATTCAGCAGTTTGGAAACACTCTGTTTGTAAAGTCTGCACGTGGATAATTTGACCACTTAGAGGCCTTCGTTGGAAACGGGTTTTTTTCATGTAAGGCTAGACAGAAGAATTCCCAGTAACTTCCTTGTGTTGTGTGCATTCAACTCAGAGAGTTGAACTTTCCTTTAGACAGAGCAGATTTGAAACACTCTATTTGTGCAATTTGCAAGTGTAGATTTCAAGCGCTTTAAGGTCAATGGCAGAAAAGGAAATATCTTCGTTTCAAAACTAGACAGAATCATTCCCACAAACTGCGTTGTGATGTGTTCGTTCAACTCACAGAGTTTAACTTTTCTGTTCATAGAGCAGTTAGGAAACACTCTGTTTGTAAAGTCTACAAGTGGATATTCAGACCTCCTTGAGGCCTTCGTTGGAAACGGGATTTCTTCATATTCTGCTAGACCGAAGAATTCTCAGAATCTTCCTTGTGTTGTGTGTATTCAACTCACACAGTTGAACGATGGTTTACACAGAGCAGATTTGAAACACTCTTTTTGTGGAATTTGCAAGTGGAGATTTCAGCCGCGTTGAGGTCAATGGTAGAAAAGGAAATATCTTCGTATAAAAACTAGACAGCATGATTCTCAGAAACTCCTTTGTGATGTGTGCGTTCAATTCACAGAGTTTAACTTTTCTTTTCATAGAGCAGTTAGGAAACACTCTGTTTGTAAAGTCTGAAAGTGGATATTCAGACCTCTTTGTGGCCTTCGTTGGAAACGGGATTTCTTCATATTCTGCTAGACAGAAGAATTCTCAGTAACTTCCTTGTGTTGTGTGTATTCAACTCACAGAGTTGAACGATCCTTTACACAGAGCAGACTTGAAACACTCTTTTTGTGGAATTTGCAAGTGGAGATTTCAAGCGCTTCGGGGCCAAAGGCAGAAAAGGAAATATCTTCGTATAAAAACTAGACAGAATCATTCTCAGAAACTGCTGCGTGATGTGTGCGTTCAACTCTCAGAGTTTAACTTTTCTTTTCATTCAGCGGTTTGGAAACACTCTGTTTGTAAAGTCTGCACGTGGAAATTTTGACCACTTAGAGGCCTTCGTTGGAAACGGGATTTTTTCATGTAAGGCTAGACAGAATAATTCCCGGTAACTTCCTTGTGTTGTGTACATTCAACTTACAGAGTTGAACGTTCCCTTGGACAGAGCAGATTTGAAACACTCTTTTTGTGCAATTGGCAAGTGGAGATTTCAAGCGCTTAAGGTCAATGGCAGAAAAGGAAATATCTTCGTTTCAAAACTAGACAGAATCATTCCCACAAACTGCGTTGTGATGTGTTCGTTCAACTCACAGAGTTTAACCTTTCTGTTCATAGAGCAGTTAGGAAACACTCTGTTTGTAAAGTCTGTAAGTGGATATTCTGATATCTTGTGGCCTTCGTTGGAAACGGGATTTCTTCATATTCTGCTAGACAGAAGAATTCTCAGAAACTTCCTTGTGTTGTGTGTATTCAACTCACAGAGTTGAACGATCGTTTACACAGAGCAGACTTGAGACCCTCTTTTTGTGGAATTTGTAAGTGGAGATTTCAGCCGCTTTGAGGTCAATGGTAGAAAAGGAAATATCTTCATATAAAAACTAGACAGAATGATTCTCAGAAACTCCTTTGTGATGTGTGTGTTCAACTCACAGAGTTTAACCTTTCCTTTCATAGAGCAGTTAGTAAACACTCTGTTTATAAAGTCTGCAAGTGGATATTCAGACCCCTTTGAGGCCTTCGTTGGAAACGGGATTTCTTCATATTATGCTAGACAGAAGAATTCCCAGTAACTTCTTTGTGTTGTGTGTGTTCAACTCACAGAGTTGAACTTTGATTTACACAGAGCAGATTTGAAACACTCTTTTTGTGGAATTTGCAAGTGGAGATTTCAAGCGCTTTGAGGCCAAAGGCAGAAAAGGAAATATCTTCGTATAAAAACTAGACAGAATCATTCTCAGCAATCTGCTGCGTGATGTGTGCGTTCAACTCTCAGAGTTTAACTTTTCTTTTCATTCAGCGGTTTGGAAACACTCTGTTTGTAAAGTCTGCACGTGGATATTTTGACCACTTAGAGGCCTTCGTTGGAAACGGGTTTTTTTCATGTAAGGCTAGACAGAAGAATTCCCAGTAACTTCCTTGTGTTGTGTACATTCAACTCACAGAGTTGAACGTTCCCTTAGACAGAGCAGATTTGAAACACTCTTTTTGTGCAATTGGCAAGTGGAGATTTCAAGCGCTTTAAGGTCAATGGCAGAAAAGGAAATATCTTCGTTTCAAAACTAGACAGAATCATTCCCACAAACTGCGTTGTGATGTGTTCGTTCATCTCACAGAGTTTAACCTTTCTTTTCATAGAGCAGTTAGGAAACAGTCTGTTTGTAAATTCTTTAAGTGGATATTCTGACATCTTGTGGCCTTCGTTGGAAACGGGATTTCTTCATATTCTGCTAGACAGAAGGATTCTCAGTAACTTCCTTGTGTTGTGTGTATTCAACTCACAGAGTTGAACGATCCTTTACACAGAGCAGACTTGAAACACTCTTTTTGTGAAATTTGCAAGTGGAGATTTCAGCCGCTTTGAGGTCAATAGTAGAAAAGGAAATATCTTCGTAGAAAAACTAGACAGAATGATTCTCAGAAACTCCTTTCTGATGTGTGCATTCAACTCACAGAGTTTCACCTTTCTTTTCATAGAGCAGTTAGGAAACACTCTGTTTGTAAAGTCTGCAAGTGGATATTCAGACCTCCTTGAGGCCTTCGTTGGAAACGGGATTTCTTCATATTCTACTAGACAGAATCATTCTCAGAAACTGCTGCGTGATGTGTGCGTTCAACTCTCAGAGTTTAACTTTTCTTTTCATTCAGCGGTTTGGAAACACTCTGTTTCTAAAGTCTGCACGTGGAAATTTTGACCACTTAGAGGCCTTCGTTGGAAACGGGTTTTTTTCATGTAAGGCTAGACAGAAGAATTCCCAGTAACTTTCCTTGTGTTGTGTGCATTCAACTCACAGAGTTGAACGTTCCCTTAGACCGAGCAGATTTGAAACACTCTATTTGTGCAATTTGCAAGTGTAGTTTTCAAGCTCTTTAAGGTCAACGGCAGAAAAGGAAATATCTTCGTTTCAAAACTAGACAGAATCATTCCCACAAACTGCGTTGTGATGTGTTCGTTCAACTCACAGAGTTTAACCTTTCTGTTCATAGAGCAGTTAGGAAACACTCTGTTTGTAAAGTCTGCAAGTGGATATTCAGACCTCCTAGAGGCCTTCGTTGGAAACAGGATTTCTTCATATTCTGCTAGACAGAAGAATTCTCAGTAACTTCCTTGTGTTGTGTTTATTCAACTCACAGAGTTGAATGATCCTTTACACAGAGCAGACTTGAAACACTCTTTTTGTGGAATTTGCAAGTGGAGATTTCAGCCGCTTTGTGGTCAATGGTAGAAAAGGAAATATCTTCGTATAAAGACTAGACAGAATGATTCTCAGAAACTCCTTTGTGATGTGTGTGTTCAACTCACAGAGTTTAACCTTTCTTTTCATAGAGCAGTTAGGAAACACTCTGTTTGTAAAGTCTGCAAGTGGATATTCAGACCTCTTTGAGGCCTTCGTTGGAAACTGGTTTTTTTCATGTAAGGCTAGACAGAAGATTTCCCAGTAACTTCCTTGTGTTGTGTGTGTTCAACTCACAGAGTTGAACTTTCATTTACACAGAGCAGATTTGAAACACTCTTTTTGTGGAATTTGCAAATGGAGATTTCAAGCGCTTTGAGGCCAAAGGCAGAAAAGGAAATATCTTCGTATGAAAACTAGACAGAATCATTCTCAGAAACTGCTCTGCGATGTGTGCGTTCAACTCTCAGAGTTTAACTTTTCTTTTCATTCAGCAGTTTGGAAACACTCTGTTTGTAAAGTCTGCACGTGGATATGTTGACCACTTAGAGGCCTTCGTTGGAAACGGGTTTCTTTCCTGTAAGGCTAGATAGAAGAATTCCCAGTAACTTCCTTGTGTTGTGTACATTCAACTCACAGAGTTGAACGTTCCCTTAGACAGAGCAGATTTGAAACACTCTTTTTGTGCAATTGGCAAGTGGAGATTTCAAGCGCTTTAAGGTCAATGGCAGAAAAGGAAATATCTTCGTTTCAAAACTAGACAGAATCATTCCCACAAACTGCGTTGTGATGTGTTCGTTCAACTCACAGAGTTTAACCATTCTGTTCATAGAGCAGTTAGGAAACACTCTGTTTGTAAAGTCTGTAAGTGGATATTCTGACATCTTGTGGCCTTCGTTGGAAAAGGGATTTATTCATATTCTGCTAGACAGAAGAATTCTCAGTAACTTCCTTGTGTTGTGTTTATTCAACTCACAGAGTTGAATGATCCTTTACACAGAGCAGACTTGAAACACTGTTTTTGTGGAATTTGCAAGTGGAGATTTCAGCCGCTTTGAAGTCAATGGTAGAAAAGTAAATATCTTCGTATAAAAACTAGACAGAATGATTCTCAGAAACTCCTTTGTGATGTGTGCGTTCAACTCACAGAGTTTAACCTTTCTTTTCATAGAGCAGTTAGGAAACACTCTGTTTGTAAAGTCTGCAAGTGGATATTCAGACATCTTTGAGGCTTTCGTTGGAAACGGGATTTCTTCGTATTCTGCTATACAGAAGAATTCTCAGTAACTTCCTTGTGTTGTGTGTATTCAACTGACAGAGTTGAACTTTCATTTAGGTAGAGCAGATTTGAAACACTGTTTTTGTGGAATTTGCAAGTGGAGATTTCAAGCGCTTTGGGGCCAAAGGCAGAAAAGGAAATATCTTCGTATAAAAACTAGACAGAATCATTCTCAGAAACTGCTGCGTGATGTGTGCGTTCAACTCTCAGAGTTTAACTTTTCTTTTCATTCAGCGGTTTGGAAACACTCTGTTTGTAAAGTCTGCACGTGGAAATTTTGACCACTTAGAGGCCTTCGTTGGAAACGGGATTTTTTCATGTAAGGCTAGACAGAAGAATTCCCAGTAACTTCCTTGTGTTGTGTGCATTCAACTCACAGAGTTGAACGTTCCCTTAGACAGAGCAGATTTGAAACACTCTATTTCTGCAATTTGCAAGTGTAGTTTTCAAGCTCTTTAAGGTCAACGGCAGAAAAGGAAATATCTTCGTTTCAAAACTAGACAGAATGATTCTCAGAAACTCCTTTGTGATGTGTGCGTTCAACTCACAGAGTTTAACCTTTCTTTTCATAGAGCAGTTAGGAAACACTCTGTTTGTAAAGCCTGCAAGTGGATATTCAGACATCCTTGAGGCTTTCGTTGGAAACGGGATTTCTTCATATTCTGCTAGAAAGAAGAATTCTGAGTAACTTCCTTGTGTTGTGTGTATTCAACTCACAGAGTTGAACGATCCTTTACACAGAGCAGACTTGTAACACTCTTTTTGTGGAATTTGCAAGTGGAGATTTCAGCCACTTTGAAGTCAAAGGTAGAAAAGGAAATAAGTTCCTATAAAAACTAGACAGAATGATTCTCAGAAAATCCTTTGTGATGTGTGCGTTCAACTCACAGAGTTTAACTTTTGTTTTCATAGAGCAGTTAGGAAACACTCTGTTTGTAAAGTCTGCAAGTGGATATTCAGACCTCTTTGAGGCCTTCATTGGAAACGGGATTTCTTCATATTATGCTAGACAGAAGAATTCCCAGTAACTTCCTTGTGTTGTGTGTTTTTTAAGTCACAGAGTTGAACTTTCATTTACACAGAGCAGATTTGAAACACTCTTTTTGTGGAATTTGCAAGTGGAGATTTCAAGTGCTTTGAGGCCAATGGCAGAAAAGGAAATATCTTCGTATAAAAACTAGACAGAATCATTCTCAGAAACTGCTCTGCGATGTGTGCGTTCAACTCTCAGAGTTTAACTTTTCTTTTCATTCAACAGTTTGAAAACACTCTGTTTGTAAAGTCTGCACGTGGATATTTTGACCACTTAGAGGCCTTCGTTGGAAACGGGTTTTTTTCCTGTAAGGCTAGACAGAAGAATTCTCAGTAACTTCCTTCTGTTGTGTGTATTCAACTCACAGAGTTCAACGATCCTTTACACAGAGCAGACTTGAAACACTCTTTTTGTGGAATTTGCAAGTGGACATTTCAGCCGCTTTGAGGTCAATGGTAGAAAAGGATATATCTTCGTATAAAAACTAGACAGAATTATTCTCAGAAACTCCTTTGTGATGTGTGCGTTCAACTCACAGAGTTTAACCTTTCTTTTCGTAGAGCAGTTAGGAAACACTCTGTTTGTAAAGTCGGCAAGTGGATATTCAGACCTCTTTGGGGCCATCGTTGGAAATGGGATTTCTTCATATTCTGCTAGACAGAAGAATTCTCAGTAACTTCCTTGTGTTGTGTGTATTCAACTGACAGAGTTGAACGATCCTTTACACAGAGCAGACTTGAAACACACTTTTTGTGGATTTTGCAAGTGGAGATTTCAGCCTCTTTGAGATCAATGGTAGAATAGGAAATATCTTCCTATAGAAACTAGACAGAATGATTCTCAGAAACTCCTTTGTGATGTGTGCGTTCAAGTCACAGAGTTTAACCTTTCTTTTCATAGAGCAGTTAGGAAACACTCTGTTTGTAAAGTCTGCAAGTGGATATTCAGACCTCTTTGAGGCCTTCGTTGGAAACGGGTTTTTTTCATATAAGGCTAGACAGAAGAATTCTCAGTAACTTCCTTGTGTTGTGTGTATTCAACTGACAGAGTTGAACTTTCATTTAGAGAGAGCAGATTTGAAACACTGTTTTTGTGGAATTTGCAAGTGGAGATTTCAAGCCCTTTGGGGCCAAAGGCAGAAAAGGAAATATCTTCGTGTAAAAATTAGACAGAATCATTCTCAGAAACTGCTGCGTGATGTGTGCGTTCAACTCTCAGAGTTTAACTTTTCTTTTCATTCAGCGGTTTGGAAACACTCTGTTTGTAAAGTCTGCACGTGGATATTTTGACCACTTAGAGGCCTTCGTTGGAAACGGGTTTTTCTCATGTAAGGCTAGACAGAAGAATTCCCAGTAACTTCCTTGTGTTGTGTACATTCAACTCACAGAGTTGAACGTTCCCTTAGACAGAGGAGATTTGAAACACTCTTTTTGTGCAATTGGCAAGTGGAGATTTCAAGCGCTTTAAGGTCAATGGCAGAAAAGGAAATATCTTCGTTTCAAAACTAGACAGAATGATTCTCAGAAACTACTTTGTGATGTGTGCGTTCAACTCACAGAGTTTAACCTTTCTTTTCCTAGAGTAGTTAGGAAACACTCTGTTTGTAAAGTCTGCAAGTGGATATTCAGACCTCTTTGTGGCCTTCATTGGAAACGGGATTTCTTCATATTATGCTAGACAGAAGAATTCTCAGTAACTTCCTTGTGTTGTGTGCATTCATATCACAGAGTTGAACGATCCTTTACGCAGAGCAGATTAGAAACACTCTTTTTGTGGAACTTGCAATTGGAGATTTCAGCCGCTTTGAGGTCAATGGTAGAAAAGGAAATATCTTTGTATAAAAACTAGACAGAATGATTCTCAGAAACTCCTTTGTGATGTGTGCGTTCAACTCACAGAGTTTAACCTTTCTTTTCATAGAGCAGTTAGGAAACACTCTGTTTGTAAAGTCTGCAAGTGGATATTCAGACCTCTTTGAGGCCTTCGTTGGAAACGGGTTTTTTTCATATAAGCCTAGACAGAAGAATTCCCAGTAACTTCCTTGTGTTGTGTGTGTTCAACTCACAGAGTTGAACTTTCATTTACACAGAGCAGATTTGAAACACTCTTTTTGTGGAATTTGCAGGTGGAGATTTCAAGCGCTTTGAGGCCAAAGGCAGAAAACGAAATATCTTCGTATAAAAACTAGACAGAATCATTCTCAGAAAGTGCTCTGCGATGTGTGTGTTCAACTCTCAGAGTTTAACTTTTCTTTTCATTCAGCAGTTTGGAAGCACTCTGTTTGTAAAGTCTGCACGTGGATAATTTGACCACTTAGAGGCCTTCGTTGGAAACGGGTTTTTTTCCTGTAAGGCTAGACAGAAGAATTCCCAGTAACTTCCTTGTGTTGTGTACATTCAACTCACAGAGTTGAACGTTCCCTTAGACAGAGCAGATTTGAAACACTCTTTTTGTGCAATTGGCAAGTGGAGATTTCAAGCGCTTTGAGGTCAATGGCAGAAAAGGAAATATCTTCGTTTCAAAAGTAGACAGAATCATTCCCACAAACTGCGTTGTGATGTGTTCGTTCAACTCACAGAGTTTAACCTTTCTGTTCATAGAGCAGTTAGGAAACACTCTGTTTGTAAACTCTGTAAGTGGATATTCTGACATCTTGTGGCCTTCGTTGGAAACGGGATTTCTTCACATTCTGCTAGACAGAAGAATTCTCAGTAACTTCCTTGTGTTGTGTGTATTCAACTCACAGAGTTGAACGATCCTTTACACAGAGCAGACTTGTAACACTCTTTTTGTGGAATTTGCAAGTGGAGATTTCAGCCGCTTTGACGTCAAAGGTAGAAAAGGAAATATCTTCCTATAAAAACTAGGCAGAATGATTCTCAGAAAATCTTTTGTGATGTGTGCGTTCAACTCACAGAGTTTAACTTTTGTTCTCATAGAGCAGTTAGGAAACACTCTGTTTGTAAAGTGTGCAAGTGGATATTCAGACCTCTTTGAGGCCTTCGTTGGAAACGGGATTTCTTCATATTCTGCTAGACAGAAGAATTCCCAGTAACTTCCTTGTGTTGTGTGTGTTCAACTCACAGAGTTGAACGATCCTTTACACAGAGCAGACTTGTAACACTCTTTTTGTGGAATTTGCAAATGGAGATTTCAAGCGCTTTGAGGCCAAAGGCAGAAAAGGAAATATCTTCGTATAAAAACTAGACAGAATCATTCTCAGAAACTGCTCTGCGATGTGTGCGTTCAACTCTCAGTGTTTAACTTTTCTTTTCATTCAGCAGTTTGGAAACACTCTGTTTGTAAAGTCTGCACGTGGATAACTTGACCACTTAGAGGCCTTCGTTGGAAACGGGTTTTTTTCATGTAAGGCTAGACAGAAGAATTCTCAGTAACTTCCTTGTGTTGTGTGTATTCAACTGACAGAGTTGAACGATCCTTTACACAGAGCAGACTTGTAACACTCTTTTTGTGGAATTTGCAAGTGGAGATTTCAGCCGCTTTGAAGTCAAAGGTAGAAAAGGAAATATCTTCCTATAAACACTAGACAGAATCATTCCCACAAACTGCGTTGTGATGTGTTCGTTCATCTCACAGAGTTTAACCTTTCTTTTCATAGAGCAGTTAGGAAACAGTCTGTTTGAAAATTCTGTAAGGGGATATTCTGACATCTTGTGGCCTTCGTTGGAAACGGGATTTCTTCATATTCTGCTAGACAGAAGAATTCTCAGTAACTTCCTTGTCTTGTGTGTATTCAACTCACAGAGTTGAACGATCCTTTACACAGAGCAGACTTGAAACACTCTTTTTGTGGAATTTGCAAGTGGAGATTTCAGCCGCTTTGAGGTCAATGGTAGAAAAGGAAATATCTTCGTATAAAAACTAGACAGAATGATTCTCAGAAACTCCTTTGTGATGTGTGTGTTCAACTCACAGAGTTTAACCTTTCTTTTCATAGAGCAGTTAGTAAACACTCTGTTTATAAATTCTGCAAGTGGATATTCAGACCCCTTTGAGGCCTTCGTTGGAAACGGGATTTCTTCATATTATGCTAGACAGAAGAGTTCCCAGTAACTTCCTTGTGTTGTGTGTGTTCAACTCACAGAGTTGAACTTTCATTTACACAGAGCAGATTTGAAACACTCTTTTTGTGGAATTTGCAAGTGGAGATTTCAAGCGCTTTGAGGACAAAGGCAGAAAAGGAAATATCTTCGTATAAAAACTAGACAGAATCATTCTCAGAAACTGCTCTGTGATGTGTGCGTTCAACTCTCAGAGTTTAACTTTTCTTTTCATTCAGCAGTTTGGAAACACTCTGTTTCTAAAGTCTGCACGTGGATAATTTGACCACTTAGAGGCCTTCGTTGGAAACGGGTTTTTTTCATGTAAGGCTAGACAGAAGAATTCCCAGTAACTTCCTTGTGTTGTGTACATTCAACTCACAGAGTTGAACGTTCCCTTAGACAGAACACATTTGAAACACTCTTTTTGTGCAATTGGCAAGTGGTGATTTCAGCCGCTTTGAGGTCAATGGTAGAAAACGAAATATCTTCGTATAAAAACTAGACAGAATCATTCCCACAAACTGCGTTGTGATGTGTTCGTTCAACTCACAGAGTTTAACCTTTCTGTTCATAGAGCAGTTAGGAAACACTCTGTTTGTAAAGTCTGTAAGTGGATATTCTGACATCTTGTGGTCTTCGTTGGAAACGGGATTTCTTCATATTCTGCTAGACAGAAGAATTCTCAGTCACTTCCTTGTGTTGTGTGTATTCAACTCACAGAGTTGAACGATCCTTTACACAGAGCAGACTTGAAACACTCTTTTTGTGGAATTTGCAAGTGGAGATTTCAGCCGCTTTGAGGTCAATTGTAGAATAGGATATATCTTCGTATAGAAACTAGACAGAATGATTCTCAGAAACTCCTTAGTGATGTGTGCGTTCAACTCACAGAGTTTAACCTTTCTGTTCATAGAGCAGTTAGGAAACACTCTGTTTGTAAAGTCTGCAAGTGGATATTCAGACCTCCTTGAGGCCTTCGTTGGAAACGGGATTTCTTCATATTCTGCTAGACAGAAGAATTCCCAGTAACTTCCTTGTGTTGTGTGTGTTCAACTCACAGAGTTGAACTTTCATTTACACAGAGCAGATTTGAAACACTCTTTTTGTGGAATTTGCAAATGGAGATTTCAAGCGGTTTGAGGCCAAAGGCAGAAAAGGAAATATCTTCGTATAAAAACTAGACAGAATCATTCTCAGAAACTGCTGCGTGATGTGTGCGTTCAACTCTCAGAGTTTAACTTTTCTTTTCATTCAGCGGTTTGGAAACACTCTGTTTGTAAAGTCTGCACGAGGAAATTTTGACCACTTAGAGGCCTTCGTTGGAAACGGGTTTTTTTCATCTAAGGCTAGACAGAAGAATTCCCAGTAACTTCCTTGTGTTGTGTGCATTCAACTCACAGAGTTGAACGTTACCTTAGACAGAGCAGATTTGAAACACTCTATTTGTGCAATTTGCAAGTGTAGATTTCAAGCGCTTTAAGGTCAACGGCAGAAAAGGAAATATCTTCGTTTCAAAACTAGACAGAATCATTCCCACAAACTGCGTTGTGATGTGTTCGTTCAACTCACAGAGTTTAACCTTTCTGTTCATAGAGCAGTTAGGAAACACTCTGTTTGTAAAGTCTGTAAGTGGATATTCTGACATCTTGTGGCCTTCGTTGGAAACGGGATTTCTTCATATTCTGCTAGACAGAAGAATTCTCAGAAACTTCCTTGTGTTGTGTGTTTTCAACTCACAGAGTTGAACGATCCTTTACACAGAGCAGACTTGAAACACTCCTTTTGTGGAATTTGCAAGTGGAGATTTCATCCGCTTTGAGGTCAATGGTAGAATAGGAAATATCTTCCTATAGAAAGTAGACAGAATGATTCTCAGAAACTCCTTTGTGATGTGTGCGTACAACTCACAGAGTTTAACCTTTCTTTTCATAGAGCAGTTAGGAAACACTCTGTTTGTAAAGTCTGCAAGTGGATATTCAGACCTCTTTGAGGCCTTCGTTGGAAACGGGTTTTTTTCATATAAGGCTAGACAGAAGAATTCCCAGTAACTTCCTTGTGTTGTGTGTGTTCAACTCACAGAGTTGAACTTTCATTTACACAGAGCCGATTTGAAACACTCTTTTTGTGGAATTTGCAAGTGGAGATTTCAGCCGCTTTGAGGTCAATGGTAGAAAAGGAAATATCTTCGTATAAAAACTAGACAGAATGATTCTCAGAAAGTCCTTTGTGATGTGTTTGTTCAACTCACAGAGTTTAACCTTTCTTTTCATAGAGCAGTTAGGAAACACTCTGTTTGTAAAGTCTGCAAGTGGATATTCAGACCTCTTTGAGGCCTTCGTTGGAAACGGGATTTCTTCATATTCTGCTAGACAGAAGAATTCTCAGTAACTTCCTTGTGTTGTGTGTATTCAACTCACAGAGTTGAACGATCCTTTACACAGAGCAGACTTGAAACACTCTTTTTGTGGAATTTGCAACTGTAGATTTCAAGCGCTTTAAGGTCAATGGCAGAAAAGGAAATATCTTCGTTTCAAAACTAGACAGAATCATTCCCACAGACTGCGTTGTGATGTGTTCGTTCAAATCACAGAGTTTAACCTTTCTTTTCATAGAGCAGTTAGGAAACAGTCTGTTTGTAAATTCTGTAAGTGGATATTCTGACAACTTGTGGCCTTCGTTGGAAACGGGATTTCTTCATATTCTGCTAGACAGAATAATTCTCAGTAACTTCCTTGTGTTGTGTGTATTCAACTCACAGAGTTGAACGATCCTTTACACAGAGCAGAATTGAAACACTCTTTTTGTGGAATTTGCAAGTCGAGATTTCAGCCGCTTTGAGGTCAATAGTAGAAAAGGAAATATCTTCGTAGAAAAACTAGACAGAATGATTCTCAGAAACTCCTTTGTGATGTGTGCGTTCAACTCACAGAGTTTAACCTTTCTTTTCATAGAGCAGTTATGAAACACTCTGTTTGTAAAGTCTGCAAGTTGATATTCAGACCTCCTTGAGGCCTTCGTTGGAAACGGGATTTCTTCATATTATGCTAGACAGAAGAATTCCCAGTAACTTCCTTGTGTTGTGTGTGTTCAACTCACAGAGTTGAACTTTCATTTACACAGAGCAGATTTGAAACACTCTTTTTCTGGAATTTGCAAATGGAGATTTCAAGCGCTTTGAGGCCAAAGGCAGAAAAGGAAATATCTTCGTATAAAAACTAGACAGAATCATTCTCAGAAACTGCTCTGCGATGTGTGCGTTCAACTCTCAGAGTTTAACTTTTCTTTTCATTCAGCAGTTTGGAAACACTCTGTTTGTAAAGTCTGCACGTGGATATTTTGACCACTTAGAGGCCTTCGTTGGAAACGGGCTTTTTCCTGTAAGGCTAGACAGAAAGAATTCCCAGTAACTTCCTTGTGTTGTGTACATTCAACTCACAGAGTTGAACGTTCCCTTAGACAGAGCAGATTTGAAACACTCTTTTTGTGCAATTGGCAAATGGAGATTTCAAGCGCTTTAAGGTCAATGGCAGAAAAGGAAATATCTTCGTTTCAAAACTAGACAGATGATTCTCAGAAACTCCTTTGTGATGTGTGCGTTCAACTCACACAGTTTAACCTTTCTTTCCATAGAGCAGTTAGGAAACACTCTGTTTGTAAAGTCTGCAAGTGGATATTCAGACCTCCTACAGGCCTTCGTTGGAAACGGGATTTCTTCATATTATGCTAGACAGAAGAATTCTCAGTAACTTCCTTGTGTTCTGTGTATTCAACTCACAGAGTTGAACGATACTTTACACAGAGCAGACTTGAAACACTCTTTTTGTGGAATTTGCAAGTGGAGATTTCAGCCGCTTTGAGGTCAATTGTAGAAAAAGAAATATCTTCGTATAGAAACTAGACAGAATGATTCTCAGAAACTCCTTTGTGATGTGTGCGTTCAACTCAGAGAGTTTAACCTTTCTTTTCATAGAGCAGTTAGGAAACACGCTGTTTATAAAGTCTGCAAGTGGATATTCAGACCCCTTTGAGGCCTTCGTTGGAAACGGGATTTCTTCATATTATGCTAGACAGAAGAATTCCCAGTAACTTCCTTGTGTTGTGTGTGTTCAACTCACAGAGTTGAACTTTCATTTACACAGAGCAGATTTGAAACACTCTTTTTGTGGAATTTGCAAGTGGAGATTTCAAGCGCTTTGAGGCCAAAGGCAGAAAAGCAAATATCTTCGTATAAAAACTAGACAGAATCATTCTCAGAAACTGCTCTGCGATGTGTGCGTTCAACTCTCAGAGTTTAACTTTTCTTTTCATTCAGCAGTTTGGAAACACTCTGTTTGTAAAGTCTGCACGTGGATAATTTGACCACTTAGAGGCCTTCGTTGGAAACGGGATTTTTTCATGTAAGGCTAGACAGAAGAATTCCCAGTAACTTCCTTGTGTTGTGTACATTCAACTCACAGAGTTGAACGTTCCGTTAGACAGAGCAGATTTGAAACACTCTTTTTGTGCAATTGGCAAGTGGAGATTTCAAGCGCTTTGAGGTCAATGGCAGAAAAGGAAATATCTTCGTTTCAAAACTAGACAGAATCATTCCCACAAACTGCGTTGTGATGTGTTCGTTCAACTCACAGAGTATAACCTTTCTGTTCATAGAGCAGTTAGGAAACACTCTGTTTGTAAAGTCTGTAAGTGGATATTCTGACATCTTGTGGCCTTCGTTGGAAACGGGATTTCTTCATATTCTGCTAGACAGAAGAATTCTCAGAAACTTCCTTGTGTTCTGTGTTTTCAACTCACAGAGTTGAACGATGCTTTACACAGAGTAGACTTGAAACACTCTTTTTGTGGAATTTGCAAGTGGAGTTTTCAGCCGCTTTGAGGTCAATGGTAGAAAAGGAAATATCTTCGTATAAAAACTAGACAGAATGATTCTCAGAAACTACTTTGTGATGTGTGCGTTCAACTCACAGAGTTTAACCTTTCTTTTCATAGAGCAGTGAGGAAACACTCTGTTTGTAAAGTCTGCAAGTGGATATTCAGACCTCCTTGATGCCTTCGTTGGAAACGGGATTTCTTCATATTATGCTAGACAGAAGAATTCCCAGTAACTTCCCTTGTGTTGTGTGTGTTCAACTCACAGAGTTGAACTTTCATTTACACAGAGCAGATTTGAAACACTCTTTTTGTGGAATTTGCAAGTGGAGATTTCAAGCGCTTTGAGGCCAAAGGCAGAAAAGGAAATATCTTCGTATAAAAACTAGACAGAATCATTCTCAGAAACTGCTCTGCGATGTGTGCGTTCAACTCTCAGAGTTTAACTTTTCTTTTCATTCAGCAGTTTGGAAACACTCTGTTTGTGAAGTCTGCACGTCGATATTTTGACCACTTAGAGGCCTTCGTTGGAAACGGGTTTTTTTCCTGTAAGGCTAGAGAGAAGAATTCCCAGGAACTTCCTTGTGTTGTGTACATTCAACTCACAGAGTTGAACGTTCCCTTAGACAGAGCAGATTTGAAACACTCTTTTTGTGCAATTGGCAAGTGGTGATTTCAGCCGCTTTGAGGTCAATGGTAGAAAAGGAAATATCTTCGTATAAAAACTAGACAGAATGATTCTCAGAAACTTCATTGTGACGTGTGCGTTCAACTCACAGAGTTTAACCTTTCTTTTCATAGAGCAGTTAGGAAACACTCTGTTTGTAAAGTCTGCAAGTGGATATTCAGACCTCTTTGAGGCCTTCGTTGGAAACGGGATTTCTTCATAATGTGCTAGACAGAAGAATTCTCAGTAACTTCCTTGTGTTGTGTGTATTCAACTCACAGAGTTGAACGATCCTTTACACAGAGCAGACTTGAAACACTCTTTTTGTGGAATTTGCAAGTGGAGATTTCATCCGCTTTGAGGTCAATGGTAGAATAGGAAATATCTTCCTATAGAAACTAGACAGAATGATTCTCATAAACTCCTTTGTGATGTGTGCGTTCAACTCACAGAGTTTAACCTTTCTTTTCATAGAGCAGTTAGGAAACACTCTGTTTGTAAAGTCTGCAAGTGGATATTCAGACCTCCTTGAGGCCTTCGTTTGAAACGGGATTTCTTCATATTCTGCTAGACAGAAGAATTCCCAGTAACTTCCTTGTGTTGTGTGTGTTCAACTCACAGAGTTGAACTTTCATTTACACAGAGCAGATTTGAAACACTCTTTTTGTGCAATTTGCAAGTGGAGATTTCAAGCGCTTTGAGACCAAAGGCAGAAAAGGAAATATCTTCGTTTCAAAACTAGACAGAATCATTCTCAGAAACTGCTCTGCGATGTGTGCGTTCAACTCTCAGAGTTTAACTTTTCTTTTCATTCAGCAGTTTGGAAACACTCTGTTTGTAAAGTCTGCACGTGGATATGTTGACCACTTAGAGGCCTTCGTTGGAAACGGGTTTTTTTCATGTAAGGCTAGACAGAAGAATTCCCAGTAACTTCCTTGTGTTGTGTGCATTCAACTCACAGAGTTGAACTTTCCCTTAGACAGAGCAGATTTGAAACACTCTATTTGTGCAATTTGCAAGTGTAGATTTCAAGCGCTTTAAGGTCAACGGCAGAAAAGGAAATATCTTCGTTTCAAAACTAGACAGAATCATTCCCACAAACTGCGTTGTGATGTGTTCGTTCAACTCACAGAGTTTAACCTTTCTTTTCATAGAGCAGTTAGGAAACAGTCTGTTTGTCAATTCTGTAAGTGGATATTCTGACATCTTGTGGCCTTCGTTGGAAACGGGATTTCTTCATATTCTGCTAGACACAAGAATTTTCAGTAACTTCCTTGTGTTGTGTGTATTCTACTCACAGAGTTGAACGATCCTTTACACAGAGCAGACTTGAAACACTCTTTTTGTGGAATTTGCAAGTGGAGATTTCAGCCGCTTTGAGGTCAATGGTAGAAAAGGAAATATCTTCGTATAAAGACTAGACAGAATGATTCTCAGAAACTCCTTTGTGATGTGTGCGTTCAACTCACAGAGTTTAACCTTTCTTTTCATGGAGCTGTTAGGAAACACTCTGTTTGTAAAGTCTGCAAGTGGATATTCAGACCTCTTTGAGGCCTTCGTTGGAAACGGGATTTCTTCATACTGTGCTAGACAGAAGAATTCTCAGTAACTTTCTTGTGTTGTGTGTATTCAACTGACAGAGTTGAACTTTCATTTAGAGAGAGCAGATTTGAAACACTGTTTTTGTGGAATTTGCAAGTGGAGATTTCAAGCGCTTTGGGGCCAAAGGCAGAAAAGGAAATATCTTCGTATAAGCACTAGACAGAATCATTCTCAGAAACTGCTCTGCGATGTGTGCGTTCAACTCTCAGAGTTAAACTTTTCTTTTCATTCAGCAGTTTGGAAACACTCTGTTTGTAAAGTCTGCACGTGGATATTTTGACCACTTAGAGGCCTTCGTTGGAAACGGGTTTTTTTCCTGTAAGGCTAGACAGAAGAATTCCCAGTAACTTCCTTGTGTTGTGCGCATTCAACTCACAGAGTTGAACGTTCCCTTAGACAGAGCAGATTTGAAACAGCCTATTTGTGCAATTTGCAAGTGTACATTTCAAGCGCTTTAAGGTCAACGGCAGAAAAGGAAATATCTTCCTTTCAAAACTAGACAGAATCACTCCCACAAACTGCGTTGCGATGTGTTCGTTCAACTCACAGAGTTTAACATTTCTTTTCATAGAGCACTTAGGAAACAGTCTGTTTGTAAATTCTGTAAGTGGATATTCTGACATCTTGTGGCCTTCGTTGGAAACGGGATTTCTTCATATTCTGCTAGACAGAAGAATTCTCAGTAACTTCCTTGTGTTGTGAGTATTCAACTCACAGAGTTGAACGATCCTTTACACAGAGCAGACTTGAAACACTCTTTTTGTGGAATTTGCAAGAGGAGATTTCAGCCGCTTTGAGGTCAATAGTAGAAAAGGAAATATCTTCGTAGAAAAACTAGACAGAATGATTCTCAGAAACTCCTTTGTGATGTGTGCGTTCAACTCACAGAGTTTAACCTTTCTTTTCATAGAGCAGTTAGGAAACACTCTGTTTGTAAAGTCTGCAAGTGGATATTCAGACCTCTTTGAGGCCTTCGTTTTAAACGGGATTTCTTCATATTATGCTAGACAGAGGAATTCCCAGTAACTTCCTTGTGTTGTGTGTGTTCAACTCACAGAGTTGAACTTTCATTTACACAGAGCAGATTTGAAACACTCTTTTTGTGGAATTTGCAAGTGGAGATTTCAAGCGCTTTGAGGCCAAAGGCAGAAAAGGAAATATCTTCGTTTCAAAACTAGGCAGAATCATTCTCAGAAACTGCTCTGCGATGTGTGTGTTCAACTCTCAGAGTTTAACTTTTCTTTTCATTCAGCAGTTTGGAAACACTCTGTTTGTAAAGTCTGCACGTGGATAATTTGACCACTTAGAGGCCTTCGTTGGAAACGGGTTTTTTTCAGTAAGGCTAGATAGAAGAATTCCCAGTAACTTCCTTGTGTTGTGTGCATTCAACTCACAGAGTTGAACGTTCCCTTAGACAGAGCAGATTTGAAACACTCTATTTGTGCAATTTGCAAGTGTAGATTTCAACCGCTTTAAGGTCAACGGCAGAAAAGGAAATATCTTCGTTTCAAAACTAGACAGAAATCATTCCCACAAACTGCGTTGTGATGTGTTCGTTCAACTCACAGAGTTTAACCTTTCTTTTCATAGAGCAGTTAGGAAACAGTCTGTTTGTCAATTCTGTAAGTGGATATTCTGACATCTTGTGGCATTCGTTGGAAACGGGATTTCTTCATATTCTGCTAGACAGAAGAACTCTCAGAAACCTCCTGGTGTTGCGTGTTTTCAACTCACAGAGTTCAACGATCCGTTACACAGAGTAGACTTGAAAAACTCTTTTTGTTGAATTGGCCAGTGGAGATTTCAGCCGCTTTGAGGTCAATGGTAGAAAAGGAAATATCTTCGTATAAAAACTAGACAGAACGATTCTCAGAAACTCCTTTGTGATGTGTGTGTTCAACTCACAGAGTTTAACCTTTCTTTTCATAGAGCAGTTAGGAAACACTCTGTTTGTAAAGTCTGCAAGTGGATATTCAGACCTCTTTGAGGCCTTCGTTGGAAACGGGATTTCTCCATATTCTGCTAGACAGAAGAATTCTCAGTAACTTCCTTGTGTTGTGTGTATTCAACTGACAGAGTTGAACTTTCATTTAGAGAGAGCAGATTTGTAAGACTGTTTTTGTGGAATTTGCAAGTGGAGATTTCAAGCGCTTTGCGGCCAAAGGCAGAAAAGGAAATATCTTCGTATAAAAACTAGACAGAATCATTCTCAGAAACTGCTCTGTGATGTGTGCGTTCAACTCTCAGAGTTTAACTTTTCTTTTCATTCAGCAGTTTCGAAACACTCTGTTTGTAAAGTCTGCACGTGGATATTTTGACCACTTAGAGGCCTTCGTTGGAAACGGGTTTTCTTCATGTAAGGCTAGACAGAAGAATTCCCAGTAACTTCCTTGTGTTGTGTGCATTCAACTCACACAGATGAACGTTCCCTTAGACAGAGCAGATTTGAAACACTCTATTTGTGCAATTTGCAAGTGTAGATTTCAAGCGCTTTAAGGTCAATGGCAGAAAAGGAAATATCTTCGTTTCAAAACTAGACAGAATGATTCTCAGAAACTCCTTTGTGATGTGTGCGTTCAAGTCACAGAGTTTAACCTTTCTTTTCATAGAGCAGTTAGGAAACACTCTGTTTGTAAAGTCTGCAAGTGGATATTCAGACCTCCTTGAGGCCTTCGTTGGAAACGGGATTTCTTCCTATTATGCTAGACAGAAGAATTCTCAGTAACTTCCTTGTGTTGTGTGTATTCAACTCACAGAGTTGAACCATCCTTTACACAGAGCAGACTTGAAACACTCTTTTTGTGGAATTTGCAAGTGGAGATTTCAGCCGCTTTGAGGTCAATGGTAGAAAAGGAAATATCTTCGTATAAAAACTAGACAGAAATGATTCTCAGCAAACTCCTTTGTGAGGTGTGTGTTCAACTCACAGAGTTTAACCTTTCTTTTCATAGAGCAGTTAGTAAACACTCTGTTTATAAAGTCTGCAAGTGGATATTCAGACCCCTTTGAGGCCTTCGTTGGAAACGGGATTTCTTCATATTCTGCTAGACAGAAGAATTCTCAGTAACTTCCTTGTGTTGTGTGTATTCAACTGACAGAGTTGAACTTTCATTTAGAGAGAGCAGATTTGAAACACTGTTTTTGTGGAATTTGCAAGTGGAGATTTCAAGCGCTTTGGGGCCAAAGGCAGAAAAGGAAATATCTTCGTATAAAAACTAGTCAGAATCATTCTCAGAAACTGCTGCGTGATGTGTGCGTTCAACTCTCAGAGTTTAACTTTTCTTTTCATTCAGCGGTTTGGAAACACTCTGTTTGTAAAGTCTGGACGTGGAAATTTTGACCACTTAGAGGCCTTCGTTGGAAACGGGTTTTTTTCATGTAAGGCTAGACAGAAGAATTCCCAGTAACTTCCTTGTGTTGTGTGCATTCAACTCACAGAGTTGAACGTTCCCTTAGACAGAGCAGATTTGAAACACTCTATTTGTGCAATTTGCAAGTGTAGTTTTCAAGCTCTTTTAGGTCAACGGCAGAAAAGGAAATATCTTGGTTTCAAAACTAGACAGAATCATTCTCAGAAACTGCTCTGCGATGTGTGCGTTCAACTCTCAGAGTTTAACTTTTCTTTTCATTCAGCAGTTTGGAAACACTCTGTTTGTGAAGTCTGCACGTGGATAATTTGACCACTTAGAGGCCTACGTTGGAAACGGGTTTTTTTCATGTAAGGCTAGACAGAAGAATTCTCAGAAACTTCCTTGTGTTGTGTGTTTTCAACTCACAGAGTTAAACGATCCATTACACAGAGTAGACTTGAAACACTCTTTTTGTGGAATTGGCAAGTGGAGATTTCAGCCGCTTTGAGGTCAATGGTAGAATAGGAAATATCTTCCTATGGAAACTAGACAGAATGATTCTCAGAAACTCCTTTGTGATGTGGGCGTTCAACTCACAGAGTTCAACCTTTCTTTTCATAGAGCAGTTGGGAAACACTCTGTTTGTAAAGTCTGCAAGTGGATATTCAGACTTCTTTGAGGCCTTCGTTGGAAGCGGGATTTCTTCATATTCTGCTAGACAGAAGAATTCCCAGTAACTTCCTTGTGTTGTGTGTGTTCAACTCACAGAGTTGAACTTTCATTTACACAGAGCAGATTTGAAACACTCTTTTTGTGGAATTTGCAAGTGGAGATGTCAAGCGCTTTGAGGCCAAAGGCAGAAAAGGAAATACCTTCGTTTCAAAACTAGACAGAATCATTCTCAGAAACTGCTCTGCGATGTGTGCGTTCAACTCTCAGAGTTTAACTTTTCTTTTCATTCAGCAGTTTGGAAACACTCTCTTTGTAAAGTCTGCACTTGGATATTTTGACCACTTAGAGGCCTTCGTTGGAAACGGGTTTTTTTCCTGTAAGGCTAGACAGAAGAATTCCCAGTAACTTCCTTGTGTTGTGTACATTCAACTCACAGAGTTGAACGTTCCCTTAGACAGAGCAGATTTGAAACACTCTTTTTGTGCAGTTGGCAAATGGAGATTTCAAGCGCTTTAAGGTCAATGGCAGAAAAGGAAATATCTTCGTTTCAAAACTAGACAGAATCATTCCCACAAACTGCGTTGTGATGTGTTCGTTCAACTCACAGAGTTTAACAATTCTTTTCATAGAGCAGTTAGGAAACACTCTGTTTGTAAATTCTGTAAGTGGATATTCTGACATCTTTTGGCCTTCGTTGGAAACGGGATTTCTTCATATTCTGCTAGACAGAAGAATTCTCAGTAACTTCCTTGTGTTGTGTGTATTCAACTCACAGAGTTGAACGATCCTTTACACAGAGC
Source organism: Homo sapiens (assembly GCF_000001405.40). Classification (NCBI taxonomy): domain Eukaryota; kingdom Metazoa; phylum Chordata; class Mammalia; order Primates; family Hominidae; genus Homo; species Homo sapiens. The sequence goes on from NC_000019.10 coordinate 26,326,691, forward strand.
GGACTTGAAACACTCGTTTTGTGGAATTTGCAAGTGGAGGTTTCTGCCGCGTTGAGGTCAATGGTAGAAAAGGAAATATCTTCGTATAAAAACTAGACAGAATGATTCTCAGAAACTCCTTTGTGATGTGTGAGTTCAACTCACAGAGTTTAACCTTTCTTTTCATAGAGCAGTTAGGAAACACTCTGTTTGTAAAGTCTGCAAGAGGATATTCAGACCTCTTTGAGGCCTTCGTTGGAAACGGGTTTTATTCATATAAGGCTAGACAGAAGAATTCTCAGTAACTTCCTTGTGTTGTGTGTATTCAACTCACAGAGTTGAACGATCCTTTACACAGAGCAGACTTGAAACACTCTTTTTGTGGAAATTGCAAGTGGAGATTTCAGCCGCTTTGAGGTCAATGATAGAAAAGGAAATATCTTCGTATAAAAACTAGACAGAATCATTCTCAGAAACTGCTGCGTGATGTGTGGGTTCAACTCTCAGAGTTTAACTTTTCTTTTCATTCAGCGGTTTGGAAACACTCTGTTTGTAAAGTCTGCACGTGGAAATTTTGACCACTTAGAGGCCTTCGTTGGAAACGGGTTTTTTTCATGTAAGGCTAGACAGAAGAATTCCCAGTAACTTCCTTGTGTTGTGTGCATTCAACTCACAGAGTTGAACGTTCCCTTAGACAGAGCAGATTTGAAACACTCTATTTGTGCAATTTGCAAGTGTAGATTTCAAGCGCATTAAGGTCAATGGCAGAAAAGGAAATATCTTCGTTTCAAAATTAGACAGAATCACTCCCACAAACTGCGTTGTGATGTGTTCGTTCAACTCACAGAGTTTAACCTTTCTTTTCTTAGAGCAGTTAGGAAACAGTCTGTTTGAAAATTCTGTAAGTGGATATTCTGACATCTTGTGGCCTTCGTTGGAAACGGGATTTCTTCATATTCTGCTAGACAGAATAATTCTCAGTAACTTCCTTGTGTTGTGTGTATTCAACTCACAGAGTTGAACGATCCTTTACAGAGAGCAGACTTGAAACACTCTTTTTGTGGAATTTGCAAGTGGAGAATTCAGCCGCTTTGAGGTCAATGGTAGAAAAGGAAATATCTTCGTATAAAGACTAGACAGAATGATTCTCAGAAACTCCTTTGTGATGTGTGCGTTAAACTCACAGAGTTTAACTTTTCTTTTCATAGAGCAGTTAGGAAACACTCTGTTTGTAAAGTCTGCAAGTGGATATTCAGACCTCTTTGACGCCTTCGTTGGAAACGGGATTTCTTCATATTCTGCTAGACAGAAGAATTCTAAGTAACTTCCTTGTGTTGTGTGTATTCAACTGACAGAGTTGAACTTTCATTTAGAGAGAGCAGATTTGAAACACTGTTTTTGTGGAATTTGCAAGTGGAGATTTCAAGCGCTTTGGGGCCAAAGGCCGAAAAGTAAATATCTTCGTATAAAAACTAGACAGAATCATTCTCAAAAACTGCTGCGTGATGTTTGCGTTCAACTCTCAGAGTTTAACTTTTCTTTTCATTCAGCGGTTTGGAAACACTCTGTTTGTAAAGTTTGCACGTGGATATTTTGACCACTTAGAGGCCTTCGTTGGAAACGGGTTTTTTTCATGTAAGGCTAGACAGAAGAATTCCCAGTAACTTCCTTGTGTTGTGTGCATTCAACTCACAGAGTTGAACAGTTCCCTTAGACAGAGCAGATTTGAAACACTCTATTTGTGCAATTTGCAAGTGTAGATTTCAAGCGCTTTAAGGTCAATGGCAGAAAAGGAAATATCTTCGTTTCAAAACTAGACAGAATGATTCTCAGAAACTCCTTTGTGATGTGTGCGTTCAACTCACAGAGTTTAACCTTTCTTCTCATAGAGCAGTTAGGAAACACTCTGTTTGTAAAGTCTGCAAGTGGATATTCAGACCTCTTTTAGGCCTTCGTTGGAAACGGGATTTCTTCATATTCTGCTAGACAGAAGAATTCTCAGTAACTTCCTTGTGTTGTGTATTCAACTCACAGAGTTCAACGATCCTTTACACAGAGCAGACTTGAAACACTCTTTTTGTGGAATTTGCAAGTGGGGATTTCAGCCGCTTTGAGGTCAATGTTAGAAAAGGAAATATCTTCGTATAAAAACTAGACAGAATGATTCTCAGAAACTCCTTTGTGATGTGTGCGTTCAACTCACAGAGTTCAACCTTTCTTTTCATAGAGCAGTTAGGAAACACTCTGTTTATAATGTCTGCAATTGGATATTCAGACCTCTTTGAGGCCTTCGTTGGAAACGGGATTTCTTCATATTCTGCTAGACAGAAGAATTCCCAGTAACTTCCTTGTGTTGTGTGTGTTCAACTCACAGAGTTGAACTTTCGTTTACACAGAGCAGATTTGAAACACTCTTTTTGTGGAATTTGCAAGTGGAGATTTCAAGCGCTTTGAGGCCAAAGGCAGAAAAGGAAATATCTTCGTATAAAAACTAGACAGAATCATTCTCAGAACCTGCTTCGTGATGTGTGCGTTCAACTCTCAGAGTTTAACTTTTCTTTTCATTCAGCGGTTTGGAAACACTCTGTTTGTAAAGTCTGCACGTGGAAATTTTGACCACTTAGAGGCCTTCGTTGGAAACGGGTTTTTTTCATGTAAGGCTAGACAGAAGAATTCCCAGTAACTTCCTTGTGTTGTGTGCATTCAACTCACAGAGTTGAACGTTCCCTTAGACAGAGCAGATTTGAAACACTCTATTTGTGCAATTTGCAAGTGTAGATTTCAAGCGCTTTAAGGTCAATGGCAGAAAAGGAAATATCTTCGTTTCAAAACTAGACAGAATCATTCCCACAAACTGCGTTGTGATGTGTTCGTTCAACTCACAGAGTTTAACCTTTCTATTCATAGAGCAGTTAGGAAACACTCTGTTTGTAAAGTCTGTAAGTGGATATTCTGACATCTTGTGGCCTTCGTTGGAAACGGGATTTCTTCATATTCTGCTAGACAGAAGAATTCTCAGTAACTTCCTTGTGTTGTGTGTATTCACCTCACAGAGTTGTATGATCCTTTACACAGAAGAGTCTTGAAACACTCTTTTTGTGGAATTTGCAAGTGGAGATTTCAGCCGCTTTGAAGTCAATGGTAGAATAGGAAATATCTTCCTATAGAAACTAGACAGAATGATTCTCATAAACTCCTTTGTGATGTGTGCGTTCAACTCACAGAGTTTAACCTTTCTTTTCATAGAGCAGTTAGGAAACACTCTGCTTGTAAAGTCTGCAAGTGGATATTCAGCCCTCTTTGAGGCCTTCGTTGGAAACGGGTTTTTTTCATATAAGGCTAGACAGAAGAATTCCCAGTAACTTCCTTGTGTTGTGTGTGTTCAACTCACAGAGTTGAACTTTCATTTACACAGAGCAGATTTGAAACACTCTTTTTGTGGAATTTGCAAATGGAGATTTCAAGTGCTTTGAGGCCAAAGGCAGAAAAGGAAATGTCTTCGTTTCAAAACTAGACAGAATCATTCTCAGAAACTGCTCTGCGATGTGTGCGTTCAACTCTCAGAGTTTAACTTTTCTTTTCATTCAGCAGTTTGGAAACACTCTGTTTGTAAAGTCTGCACCTGGATAACTTGACCACTTAGAGGCCTTCGTTGGAAACGGGTTTTTTTCCTGTAAGGCTAGACAGAAGAATTCCCAGTAACTTCCTTGTGTTGTGTGCATTCAACTCACAGAGTTGAACGTTCCCTTAGACAGAGCAGATTTGAAACACTCTATTTGTGCAATTTGCAAGTGTACATTTCAAGCGCTTTAAGGTCAACGGCAGAAAAGGAAATATCTTCGTTTCAAAACTAGACAGAATGATTCTAAGAAACTTCTTTGTGATGTGTGCGTTCAACTCACAGAGTTTAACCTTTCTTCTCATAGAGCAGTTAGGAAACACTCTGTTTGTAAACTCTGCAAGTGGATATTCAGACCTCTTTGAGGCCTTCGTTGGAAACGGGATTTCTCCATACTGTGCGAGACAGAAGAATTCTCAGTAACTTCCTTGTGTTGTGTGGATTCAACTCACAGAGTTGAACGATCCTTTACAGAGAGCGGACTTGAAACACTCGTTTTGTGGAATTTGCAAGTGGAGATTTCAGCCGCTTTGAGGTCAATGGTAGAAAAGGAAATATCTTCGTACAAAAACTAGACAGATAATCATTCCCACAAACTGCGTTGTGATGTGTTCGTTCAACTCACAGCGTTTTACCTTTCTGTTCATAGAGCAGTTAGGAAACACTCTGTTTGTCAAGTCTGTAAGTGGATATTCTGACATCTTGTGGCCTTCGTTGGAAATGGGATTTCTTCATATTCTGCTAGACAGAAGAATTCCCAGTAACTTCCTTGTGTTGTGTGTATTCAACTCACAGAGTTGAACTTTCATTTACACAGAGCAGATTGGAAACACTCTTTTTGTGGAATTTGCAAGTGGAGATTTCAAGCGCTTTGAGGCCAAATGCAGAAAAGGAAATATCTTCGTATAAAAACTAGACAGAATCATTCTCAGAAACTGCTCTGCGATGTGTGCGTTCAACTCTCAGAGTTTAACTTTTCTTTTCATTCAGCAGTTTGGAAACACTCTGTTTGTAAAGTCTGCACGTGGATATTTTGACCACTTAGAGGCCTTCGTTGGAAACGGGTTTCTTTCTTGTAAGGCTAGACAGAAGAATTCTCAGTAACTTCCTTGTGTTGTGTGTATTCAACTCACAGAGTTGAATGATCTTTTACACAGAACAGACTTGAAACACTCTTTTTGTGGAATTTGCAAGTGGAGATTTCAGCCGCTTTGAGGTCAATGGTAGAAAAGGAAATATCTTCGTATAAAAACTAGACAGAATGATTCTCAGAAACTCCTTTGTGATGTGTGCGTTCAACTCACAGAGTTTAACCTTTCTTTTCATAGAGCAGTTAGGAAACACTCTGTTTGTAAAGTCTGGAAGTGGATATTCAGACCTCTTTGAGGCCTTCGTTGGAAACGGGATTTCTTCATATTCTGCTAGAGAGAAGAATTCTCAGTAACTTCCTTGTGTTGTGTGTATTCAACTCACAGAGTTCAACGATCCTTTACACAGAGCAGACTTGAAACACTCTTTTTGTGGAATTTGCAAGTGGAGATTTCAGCCGCTTTGAGGTCAATGGTAGAATAGGAAATATCTTCCTATAGAAACTAGACAGAATGATTCTCAGAAACTCCTTTGTGATGTGTGCGTTCAACTCACAGACTTTAACCTTTCTTTTCATAGAGCAGTTAGGAAACACTCTGTTTGTAAAGTCTGCAAGTGGATATTCAGACCTCCTTGAGGCCTTCGTTGGAAACGGGATTTCTTCATATTATGCTAGACAGAAGAATTCTCAGTAACTTCCTTGTGTTGTGTGTATTCAACTGACAGAGTTGAACTTTCATTTGGAGAGAGCAGATTTGAAACACTGTTTTTGTGGAATTTGCAAGTGGAGATTTCAAGCGCTCTGGGGCCAAAGGCAGAAAAGGAAATATCTTCGTATAAAAACTAGACAGAATCATTCTCAGAAACTGCTGTGTGATGTGTGCGTTCAACTCTCAGAGTTTAACTTTTCTTTTCATTCAGCGGTTTGGAAACACTCTGTTTGTAAAGTCTGCACGTGGATATTTTGACCACTTAGAGGCCTTCGTTGGAAACGGGTTTTTTTCATGTAAGGCTAGACAGAAGAATTCTCAGTAACTTCCTTGTGTTGTGTGTATTCAACTCACAGAGTTGAACGATCCTTTACACAGAGCAGACTTGAAACACTCTTTTTGTGGAATTTGCAAGTGGAGATTTCAGCCGCTTTGAGTTCAATGGTAGAATAGGAAATATCTTCCTATAGACACTAGACAGAATGATTCTCAGAAACTCCTTTGTGATGTGTGCGTTCAACTCACAGAGTTCAACCTTTCTTTTCATAGAGCAGTTGGGAAACACTCTGTTTGTAAAATCTGCAAGTGGATATTCAGACTTCTTTGAGGCCTTCCTTGGAAGCGGGATTTCTTCATATTCAGCTAGACAGATTAATTCTCAATAACTTCCTTGTGTTGTGTGTATTCAACTCACAGAGTTGAACGATCCTTTACAGAGAGCAGACTTGAAACACTCTTTTTGTGGAATTTGCAAGTGGAGATTTCAGCCGCTTTGAGGTCAATGGTAGAATAGGGAATATCTTCCTATAGAAACTAGACAGAGTGATTCTCAGAAACTCCTTTGTGATATCTGCGTTCAACTAACAGAGTTTAAACTTTCTTTTCATAGAGCAGTTAGGAAACACTCTGTTTGTAAAGTCTGCAAGTGGATATTCAGACCTCCTTGAGGCCTTCGTTGGAAACGGGATTTCTTCATATTCTGCTATACAGAAGAATTCTCAGTAACTGCCTTGTGTTGTGTGTATTCAACTCACACAGTTGAACGATCCTTTACACAGAGCAGACTTGAAACACTCTTTTTGTGGAATTTGCAAGTGGAGATTTCAGCCGCTTTGAGGTCAATGGTAGAATAGGAAATATCTTCCTATAGAAACTAGACAGAATGATTCTCAGAAACTCCTTTGTGATGTGTGCGTTCAACTCACAGAGTTTATCCTTTCTTTTCATAGAGCAGTTGGGAAACACTCTGTTTGTAAAGTCTGCAAGTGGATATTCAGACATCCTTGAGGCTTTCGTTGGAAACGGGATTTCTTCATATTCTGCTAGAAAGAAGAATTCCCAGTAACTTCCTTGTGTTGTGTGCATTCAACTCACAGAGTTGAACGTTCCCTTAGAGAGAGCAGATTTGAAACACTCTATTTGTGCAATTTGCAAGTGTAGATTTCAAGCGCTTTAAGGTCAATGGCAGAAAAGGAAATATCTTCGTTTCAAAACTAGACAGAATCATTCCCACAAACTGCGTTGTGATGTGTTCGTTCAACTCACAGAGTTTAACCTTTCCGTTCATAGAGCAGTTAGGAAACACACTGTTTGTAAAGTCTGTAAGTGGATATTCTGACATCTTGTGGCCTTCGTTGGAAACGGGATTTCTTCATATTCTGCTAGACAGAAGAATTCTCAGTAACTTCCTTGTGTTGTGTGTATTCAACTCACAGAGTTGAACTGATCCTTTACACAGAGCAGACTTGAAACACTCTTTTTGTTGAATTTGCAAGTGGAGATTTCAGCCGCTTTGAGGTCAATAGTAGAAAAGGAAATATCTTCGTAGAAAAACTAGACAGAATGATTCTCAGAAACTCCTTTGTGATGTGTACGTTCAACTCACAGAGTTTAACCTTTCTTTTCTTAGAGCAGTTAGGAAACACTCTGTTTGTAAAGTCTGCAAGTGGATATTCAGACCTCTTTGAGTCCTTCGTTGGAAACGGGTTTTTTTCATATAAGGCTAGACAGAAGAATTCCCAGTAACTTCCTTGTGTTGTGTGTGTTCAACTCACAGAGTTGAACTTTCATTTACACAGAGCAGATTTGAAACACTCCTTTTGTGGAATTTGCAAGTGGAGATTTCAAGCGCTTTGAGGCCAAAGGCAGAAAAGGAAATATCTTCGTTTCAAAACTAGACAGAATCATTCTCAGAAACTGCTGCGTGATGTGTGCGTTCAACTCTCAGAGTTTAACTTTTCTTTTCATTCAGCGGTTTGGAAACACTCTGTTTGAAAAGTCTGCACGTGGATATTTTGACCACTTAGAGGCCTTCGTTGGAAACGGGTTTTTTTCATGTAAGGCTAGAGAGAAGAATTCCCACTAACTTCCTTGTGTTGTGTACATTCAACTCACAGAGTTGAACGTTCCCTTAGACAGAGCAGACTTGTAACACTCTTTTTGTGGAATTTGCAAGTGGAGATTTCAGCCGCTTTCAAGTCAAAGGTAGAAAAGGAAATATCTTCCTATAAAAACTAGACAGAATCATTCCCACAAACTGCGTTGTGATGTGTTCGTTCAACTCACAGAGTTTAACCTTTCTGTTCATAGAGCAGTTAGGAAACACTCTGTTTGTAAAGTCTGCAAGTGGATATTCAGACCTCTTTGAGGCCTTCGTTGGAAACGGGATTTCTTCATATTCTGCTAGACAGAAGAATTCTCAGTAACTTCCTTGTGTTGTGTGTATTCAACTCACACAGTTGAACGATCCTTTACACAGAGCAGACTTGTAACACTCTTTTTGTGGAATTTGCAAGTGGAGATTTCAGCCGCTTTTAAGTCAAAGGTAGAAAAGGAAATATCTTCCTATAAAAACTAGACAGAGTGATTCTCAGAAACTCCTTTGTGATGTCTGCGTTCAACTCACAGAGTTTAACCTTTCTTTTCATAGAGCAGTTAGGAAACACTCTGTTTGTAAAGTCTGCAAGTGCATATTCAGACCTCCTTGAGGCCTTCGTTGGAAACGGGATTTCTTCATATTCTGCTATACAGAAGAATTCTCAGAAACTTCCTTGTGTTTTGTGTGTTCAACTCACAGAGTTGAACGATCCTTTACACAGAGCAGACTTGAAACACTCTTTTTGTGGAATTTGCAAGTGGAGATTTCAGCCGCTTTGAGGTCAATGGTAGAAAAGGAAATATCTTCGTATAAAAACTAGACAGAATCATTCTCAGAAACTGCTGCGTGATGTGTGCGTTCAACTCTCAGAGTTTACCTTTTCTTTTCATTCAGCGGTTTGGAAACACTCTATTTGTTAAAGTCTGCACGTGGATATTTTGACCACTTAGAGGCCTTCGTTGGAAACGGGATTTTTTCATGTAAGGCTAGACAGAAGAATTCCCAGTAACTTCCTTGTGTTGTGTGCATTCAACTCACAGAGTTGAACGTTCCCTTAGACAGAGCAGATTTGAAACACTCTATTTGTGCAATTTGCAAGTGTAGATTTCAAGCGCTTTAGGGTCAAAGGCAGAAAAGGAAATATCTTCGTTTCAAAACTAGACAGAATCATTCCCACAAACTGCGTTGTGATGTGTTCGTTCAAATCACAGAGTTTAACCTTTCTTTTCATAGAGCAGTTAGGAAACAGTCTGCTTGTAAATTCTGTAAGTGGATATTCTGACATCTTGTGGCCTTCGTTGGAAACGGCATTTCTTCATATTCTGCTAGACAGAAGAATTCTCAGTAACTTCCTTGTATTGTGTGTATTCAACTCACAGAGTTGAACGATCCTTTACACAGAGCAGACTTGAAACACTCTTTTTGAGGAATTTGCAAGTGGAGATTTCAGCCGCTTTGAAGTCAATGGTAGAAAAGGAAATATCTTCGTATAAAAACTAGACAGAATGATTCTCAGAAACTCATTTGTGATGTGTGCGTTCAACTCACAGAGTTTAACCTTTCTTTTCATAGAGCAGTTAGGAAACACTCTGTTTGTAAAGTCTGCAAGTGGATATTCAGACCTTTTTGAGGCCTTCGTTGGAAACGGGATTTCTTCATATGATGCTACACAGAAGAATTCTCAGTAACTTCCTTGTGCTGTGTGTATTCAACTGACAGAGTTGAACTTTCATTTAGACAGAGCAGATTTGAAACACTCTTTTTGTGGAATTTGCAAGTGGAGATTTTAAGCGCTTTGAGGCCAAAGGCAGAAAAGGAAATATCTTCGTATAAAAACTAGACAGAATCATTCTCAGAAACTGCTCTGCGATGTGTGCGTTCAACTCTCAGAGTTTAACTTTTCTTTTCATTCAGCAGTTTGAAAACACTCTGTTTGTAAAGTCTGCACGTGGATATTTTGACCACTTAGAGGCCTTCGTTGGAAACGGGTTTTTTTGCCTGTAAGGCTAGACAGAAGAATTCCCAGTAATTTCCTTGTGTTGTGTGCATTCAACTCACAGAGTTGAACGTTCCCTTAGACAGAGCAGATTTGAAACACTCTATTTGTGCAATTTGCAAGTGTAGATTTCAAGCGCTTTAAGGTCAATGGCAGAAAAGGAAATATCTTCATTTCAAAACTAGACAGAATCATTCCCACAAACTGCATTGTGATGGGTTCGTTCAACTCACAGAGTTTAACCTTTCTGTTCATAGAGCAGTTAGGAAACACTCTGTTTGTAAAGTCTGTAAGTTGATATTCAGACCTCTTTGAGGCCTTCGTTGGAAATGGATTTCTTCATATTCTGTTAGACAGAAGAATTCTCAGAAACTTCGTTGTGTTGTGTGTTTTCAACTCACAGAGTTCAACGATCCTTTACACAGAGTAGACTTGAAACACTCTTTTTGTGGAATTGGCAGGGTGGAGATTTCAGCCGCTTTGAGGTCAATGGAAGAAAAGGAAATATCTTCGTATAAAAACTAGACAGAGTGATTCTCAGAAACTCCTTTGTGATGTCTGTGTTCAACTCACAGAGTTTAACCTTTCTTTTCATAGAGCAGTTAGGAAACACTCTGTTTGTAAAGTCTGCAAGTGGATATTCAGACCTCCTTGAGGCCTTCGTTGGAAACGGGATTTCTTCATATTCTGCTATACAGAAGAATTCCCAGTAACTTCCTTGTGTTGTGTGTGTTCAACTCACAGAGTTGAACTTTCATTTACACAGAGCAGATTTGAAACACTCTTTTTGTGGAATTTGCAAATGGAGATTTCAAGCGCTTTGAGGCCAAAGGCAGAAAAGGAAATATCTTCGTAGAAAAACTAGACAGAATCATTCTCAGAAACTGCTGCGTGATGTGTGCGTTCAACTCTCAGAGTTTAACTTTTCTTTTCATTTAGCGGTTTGGAAACACTCTGTTTGTAAAGTCTGCACGTGGATATTTTGACCACTTAGAGGCCTTCGTTGGAAACGGGTTTTTTTTCATGTAAGGCTAGACAGAAGAATTCCCAGTAACTTCCTTGTGTTGTGTGCATTCAACTCACAGAGTTGAACGTTCCCTTAGACAGAGCAGATTTGAAACACTCTATTTGTGCAATTTGCAAGTGTAGATTTCAAGTGCTTTCAGGTCAATGGCAGAAAAGGAAATATCTTCGTTTCAAAACTAGACAGAATCATTCCCACAAACTGCGTTGTGAGGTGTTCGTTCAACTCACAGAGTTTAAACTTTCTTTTCATAGAGCAGTTAGGAAACAGTCTGTTTGTAAATTCTGTACGTGGATATTCTGACATCTTGTGGCCTTCGTTGGAAACGGGATTTCTTCATATTCTGCTAGACAGAAGAATTCTCAGTAACTTCCTTGTGTTGTGTGTATTCAACTCACAGAGTTGAACGATCGTTTACACAGAGCAGACTTGAAACACTCCTTTTGTGGAATTTGCAAGTGGAGATTTCAGCCGCGTTGAGGTCAATGGTAGAAAAGGAAATATCTTCGTATAAAAACTAGACAGAATGATTCTCAGAAACTCCTTTGTGATGTGTGCGTTCAACTCACAGAGTTTAACCTTTCTTTTCATAGAGCAGTTAGGAAACACTCTGTTTGTAAAGTCTGCAAGTGGATATTCAGACCTGTTTGAGGCCTTCGTTGGAAACGGGTTTTTTTCATATAAGGCTAGACAGAATTCTCAGTAACTTCCTTGTGTTGTGTGTGTTCAACTCACAGAGTTGAACTTTCATTTACACAGAGCAGATTTGAAACACTCTTTTTGTGGAATTTGCAAGTGGAGATTTCAAGCGCTTTGAGGCCAAAGGCAGAAAGGGAAATATCTTCGTATAAAAACTAGACAGAATCATTCTCAGAAACTGCTCTGCGATGTGTGCGTTCAACTCTCAGAGTTTAACTTTTCTTTTCCTTCAGCAGTTTGGAAACACTCTGTTTGTAAAGTCTGCACGTGGATAATTTGGCCACTTAGAGGCCTTCGTTGGAAACGGGTTTTTTCATGTAAGGCTAGACAGAAGAATTCACAGTAACTTCCTTGTGTTGTGTGCATTCAACTCACATAGTTGAACGTTCCCTTAGACAGAGCAGATTTGAAACACTCTATTTGTGCAATTCGCAACTGTAGATTTCAAGCGCTTTAAGATCAATGGCAGAAAAGGAAATATCTTCGTTTCAAAACTAGACAGAATCATTCCCACAAACTGCGTTGTGATGTGTTCGTTCAACTCACAGAGTTTAACCTTTGTGTTCATAGAGCAGTTAGGAAACACTCTGTTTGTAAAGTCTGTAAGTGGATATTCTGACATCTTGTGGCCTTCGTTGGAAACGGGATTTCTTCATATTCTGCTAGACAGAATAATTCTCAGTAACTTCCTTGTGTTGTGTGTATTCAACTCACAGAGTTGAACGATCCTTTACAGAGAGGAGACTTGAAACACTCTTTTTGTGGAATTTGCAAGTGGAGATTTCAGCCGCTTTGAGGTCAATGGTAGAATAGGAAATATCTTCCTATAGAAACTAGACAGAATAATTCTCAGAAACTCCTTTGTGATGTGTGTGTCCAACTCACAGAGTTTAACCTTTCTTTTCATAGAGCAGTTAGGAAACACTCTGTTTGTAAAGTCTGCAAGAGGATATTCAGACCTCTTTGAGGCCTTCGTTGGAAACGGGTTTTTTTCATATAAGGCTAGACAGAATAATTCTCAGTAACTTCCTTGTGTTGTGTGTATTCAACTCACAGAGTTGAAGGATCCTTTACAGAGAGCAGGCTTGAAACACGCTTTTTGTCGAATTTGCAAGTGGAGATTTCAGCCGCTTTGAGGTCAATGGTAGAATAGGAAATATCTTCTTATAGAAACTAGACAGAATCATTCTCAGAAACTGCTCTGCGATGTGTGCGTTCAACTCTCAGAGTTTAACTTTTCTTTTCATTCAGCAGTGTGGAAACACTCTGTTTGTAAAGTCTGCACGTGGATATTTTGACCGCTTAGAGGCCTTCGTTGGAAACGGGTTTTTTTCCTGTAAGGCTAGACAGAAGAATTCCCAGTAACTTCCTTGTGTTGTGTACATTCAACTCACAGAGTTGAACGTTCCCTTAGACAGAGCAGATTTGAAACACTCTTTTTGTGCAATTGGCAAATGGAGATTTCAAGCGCTTTAAGGTCAATGGCAGAAAAGGAAATATCTTCGTTTCAAAACGAGACAGAATCATTCCCACAAACTGCGTTGTGATGTGTTCGTTCAACTCACAGAGTTTAACCTTTCTGTTCATAGAGCAGTTAGGAAACACTCTGTTTGTAAAGTCTGCAAGTGGATATTCAGACCTCCTTGAGGTCTTCGTTGGAAACGGGATTTCTTCATATTCTGCTAGACAGAAGAATTCTCAGTAACTTCCTTGTGTTGTGTGTATTCACCTCACAGAGTTGAACGATCCTTTACACAGAGCAGACTTGTAACACTCTTTTTGTGGAATTTGCAAGTGGTGATTTCAGCCGCTTTGAAGTCAAAGGTAGAAAAGGAAATATCTTCCTATAAAAACTAGACAGAGTGATTCTCAGAAACTCCTTTGTGATGTCTGCGTTCAACTCACAGAGTTTAAACTTTCTTTTCACAGAGCAGTTAGGAAACACTCTGTTTGTAAAGTCTGCAAGTGGATATTCAGACCTCCTTGAGGCCTTCGTTGGAAACGGGATTTCTTCATATTCTGCTATACAGAAGAATTCCCAGTAACTTCCTTGTGTTGTGTGTGTTCAACTCACAGAGCTGAACTTTCATTTACACAGAGCAGATTTGAAACACTCTTTTTGTGGAATTTGCAAATGGAGATTTCAAGCGCTTTGAGGCCAAAGGCAGAAAAGGAAATATCTTCGTTTCAAAACTAGACAGAATCATTCTCAGAAACTGCTGCGTGATGTGTGCGTTCAACTCTCAGAGTTTAACTTTTCTTTTCATTCAGCGGTTTGGAAACACTGTGTTTGTAAAGTCTGCACGTGGATATTTTGACCACTTAGAGGCCTTCGTTGGAAACGGGTTGTTTTCATGTAAGGCTAGACAGAAGAATTCCCAGTAACTTCCTTGTGTTGTGTGCATTCAACTCACAGAGTTGAACGTTCCCTTAGACAGAGCAGATTTGAAACACTCTATTTGTGCAATTTGCAAGTGTAGATTTCAAGCGCTTTAAGGTCAATGGCAGAAAAGGAAATATCTTCGTTTCAAAACTAGACAGAATGATTCTCAGAAACTTCTTTGTGATGTGTGCGTTCAACTCACAGAGTTTAACCTTTCTTTTCATAGAGCAGTTAGGAAACACTCTGTTTGTAAAGTCTGCAAGTGGATATTCAGACCTCTTAGAGGCCTTCGTTGGAAACGGTATTTCTTCATACTCTAGACAGAAGAATTCTCAGTAACTTCCTTGTGTTGTGTGCTTTCAACTCACAGAGTTGAACGATCCTTTACACAGAGCAGATTAGAAACACTCTTTTTGTGGAATTTGCAAGTGGAGATTTCAGCCGCTTTGAGGTCAATGGTAGAAAAGGAAATATCTTCGTATAGAAACTAGACAGAATGATTCTCAGAAACTCCTTTGTGATGTGTGCGTTCAACTCACAGAGTTTAACCTTTCTTTTCATAGAGCAGTTAGGAAACACTCTGTTTGTAATGTCTGCAAGTGGATATTCAGACATCCTTGAGGCTTTCGTTGGAAACGGGATTTCTTCATATTCTGCTAGAAAGAAGAATTCTCAGTAACTTCCTTGTATTGTGTGTATTCAACTGACAGAGTTGAACTTTCATGTAGAGAGAGCAGATTTGAAACACTGTTTTTGTGGAATTTGCAAGTGGAGATTTCAAGCGCTTTGGGGCCAAAGGCAGAAAAGGAAATATCTTCGTATAAAACTAGACAGAATCATTCTCAGAAACTGCTGTGTGATGTGTGCGTTCAACTCTCAGAGTTTAACTTTTCTTTTCATTCAGCGGTTTGGAAACACTCTGTTTGTAAAGTTTGCACGTGGAAATTTTGACCACTTAGAGGCCTTCGTTGGAAACGGGTTTTTTTCATGTAAGGCTCGACAGAAGAATTCCCAGTAACTTCCTTGTGTTGTGTGCATTCAACTCACAGAGTTGAACGTTCCCTTAGACAGAGCAGATTTGAAACACTCTATTTGTGCAATTTGCAAGTGTAGATTTCAAGCGCTTTAAGGTCAATGACAGAAAAGGAAATATTCTTCGTTTCAAAACTAGACAGAATCATTCCCACAAACTGCGTTGTGATGTGATCGTTCAACTCACAGAGTTTAACCTTTCTGTTCATAGAGCAGTTAGGAAACACTCTGTTTGTAAAGTCTGTAAGTGGATATTCTGACATCTTGTGGCCTTCGTTGGAAACGGGATTTCTTCATATTCTGCTGGACAGAAGAATTCTCAGTAACTTCCTTGTGTTGTGTGTATTCAACTCACAGACTTGAACGATCCTTTACAGAGAGCAGACTTGAAACACTCTTTTTGTGGAATTTGCAAGTGGAGATTTCAGCCGCTTTGAGCTCAATGGTAGAATAGGAAATATCTTCCTATAGAAACTAGACAGAATGATTCTCAGAAACTCCTTTGTGATGTGTGCGTTCAACTCACAGAGTTTAACCTTTCTTTTCATAGAGCAGTTAGGAAACTCTCTGCTTGTAAAGTCTGCAAGTGGATATTCAGCCCTCTTTGAGGCCTTCGTTGGAAACGGGTTTTTTTCATATAGGGCTAGACAGAAGAATTCCCAGTAACTTCCTTGTGTTGTGTGTGTTCAACTCACAGAGTTGAACTTTGATTTACACAGAGCAGATTCGAAACACTCTTTTTGTGGAATTTGCAAGTGGAGATTTCAAGCGCTTTGAGGCCAAAGGCAGAAAAGGAAATATTCTTCGTATAAAAACTAGACAGAATCATTCTCAGAAACCGCTCTGTGATGTGTGCGTTCAACTCTCAGAGTTTAACTTTTCTTTTCATTCAGCAGTTTGGAAACACTCTGTTTGTAAAGTCTCCACGTGGATATTTTGACCACTTAGAAGCCTTCGTTGGAAACGTGTTTTTTTTCATGTAAGGCTAGACAGAAGAATTCCCAGTAACTTCCTTTTGTTGTGTGCATTCAACTCACAGAGATGAACGTTCCCTTCGACAGAGCAGATTTGAAACACTCTATTTGTGCAATTTGCAAGTGTAGATTTAAAGCGCTTTAAGGTCAATGGCAGAAAAGGAAATATCTTCGTTTCAAAACTAGACAGAATCATTCCCACAAACTGCGTTGTGATGTGTTCGTTCAACTCACAGAGTTTAACCTTTCTGTTCATAGAGCAGTGAGGAAACACTCTGTTTGTAAAGTCTGTAAGTGGATATTCTGACATCTTGTGGCCTTCGTTGGAAACGGGATTTCTTCATATTCTGCTAGACAGAAGAATTCTCAGTAACTTCTTTGTGTTGTGTGTATTCAACTCACAGAGTTGAACGATCCTTTATACAGAGCAGACTTGAAACACTCTTTTTGTGGAATTTGCAAGTGGAGATTTCAGCCGCTTTGAGGTCAATGGTAGAACAGGAAATATCTTCCTATAGAAACTAGACAGAATGATTCTCAGAAACTCCTTTGTGATGTGTGCATTCAACTCACAGAGTTTAACCTTTCTTTTCATAGAGCAGTTAGGAAACACTCTGTTTGTAAAGTCTGCAAGTGGATATTCAGAACTCCTTGAGGACTTCGTTGGAAACGGGATTTCTACATATTATGCTAGACAGAAGAATTCTCAGAAACTTCCTTGGGTTGTGTGTATTCAACTCACAGAGTTGAACGATCGTTTACACAGAGCAGACTTGAAACACTCTTTTTGTGGAATTTGCAAGTGGAGATTTCAGCCGCTTTGAGGTCAATGGTAGAAAAGGAAATATCTTTGTATAAAAACTAGACAGAATGATTCTCAGAAACTCCTTTGTGATGTGTGCGTTCAACTCACAGAGTTTAACCTTTCTTTTCATAGAGCAGTTAGGAAACACTCTGCTTGTAAAGTCTTCAAGTGGATATTCAGCCCTCTTTGAGGCCTTCGTTGGAAACGGGTTTTTTTCATATAAGGCTAGACAGAAGAATTCCCAGTAACTTCCTTGTGTTGTGTGTGTTCAACTCACAGAGTTGAACTTCCATTTACACAGAGCAGATTTGAAACACTCTTTTTGTGGAATTTGCAAGTGGAGATTTCAAGCGCTTTGAGGCCAAAGGCAGAAAAGGAAATATCTTTCGTTTCAAAACTAGACAGAATCATTCTCAGAAACTGTTCTGTGATGTGTGCGTTCAACTCTCAGAGTTTAACTTTTCTTTTCATTCAGCAGTTTGGAAACACTCTGTTTGTAAAGTCTGCACGTGGATAATTTGACCACTTAGAGGCCTTCGTTGGAAACGGGTTTTTTTCATGTAAGGCTAGACAGAAGAATTCCCGGTAACTTCCTTGTGTTGTGTGTATTCAACTCACAGAGTTGAACGTTCAGTTAGACAGAGCAGATTTGAAACACTCTTTTTGTGCAATTTGGAAGTGGAGATTTCAGCCACTTTGAGGTCAATGGCAGGAAAGGAAATATCTTCTTTTCAAAACTATACAGAATGTTTCTCAGTAAGTTCTTTGTGATGTGTGCGTTCAACTCACAGGGTTTAACCTTTCTTTTCATAGAGCAGTTAGAAAGCACTCTGTTTGTAAAGTCTTCAAGTGGATATTCAGACCTCTTTTAGGCCCTCGTTGGAAACGAGATTTCTTCATATTATGCTAGACAGAAGAATTCTCAGTAACTTCCTTGTGTTGTGTGTATTCAACACACAGAGTTGAACGATCCTTTACACAGAGCAGACTTGAAACACTCTTTTTGTGGAATTTGCAAGTGGAGATTTCAGCCGCTTTGAGGTCAATGGTAGAAAAGGAAGTATCTTCGTATAAAAACCAGACAGAATGATTCTCAGAAACTCCTTTGTGATGTGTGCGTTCAACTCACAGAGTTTAACCTTTCTTTTCATAGAGCAGTTAGAAAACACTCTGTTTGTAAAGTCTGCAAGTGGATATTCAGACCTCTTTGAGGCCTTCGTTAGAAACGGGATTTCTTCATATTCTGCTAGACAGAAGAATTCCCAGTAACTTCCTTGTGTTGTGTGTGTTCAACTCACAGAGTTGAACTTTCATTTACACAGAGCAGATTTGAAACACTCTTTTTGTGAAATTTGCAAGTGGAGATTTCAAGCGCTTTGAGGCCAAAGGCAGAAAAGGAAATATCTTCGTTTCAAAACTAGACAGAATCATTCTCAGAAACTGCTGTGTGATGTGTGCAGTTCAACTCTCAGAGTTTAACTTTTCTTTTCATTCAGCGGTTTGGAAACACTCTGTTTGTAAAGTCTGCACGTGGATATTTTGACCACTTAGAGGCCTTCGTTGGAAACGGGATTTTTTCATGTAAGGCTAGACAGAAGAATTCCCAGTAACTTCCTTGTGTTGTGTGCATTCAACTCACAGAGACGAACGTTCCCTTAGACAGAGCAGATTTGAAACACTCTATTGGTGTAATTTGCAAGTGTAGATTTCAAGCGCTTTAAGGTCAATGGCAGAAAAGGAAATATCTCCGTTTCAAAACTAGACAGAATGATTCTGAGAAACTCCTTTGTGATGTGTGCGTACAACTCACAGAGTTTAACCTTTCTTTTCATAGAGCAGATAGGAAACACTCTGTTTGTAAAGTCTGCAAGTGGATATTCAGACCTCCTTGAGGCCTTCGTTGGAAACGGCTTTTCTTCCTATTATGCTAGACAGAAGAATTCTCAGTAACTTCCTTGTGTTGTGTGTATTCAACTCACAGAGTTGAATGATCCTTTACACAGAGCAGACTTGAAACACTCTTTTTGTGGAATTTGCAAGTGGAGATTTCAGCCGCTTTGAGTTCAATGGTAGAATAGGAAAAATCTTCCTATAGAAACTAGACAGAATGATTCTCAGAAACTTCTTTGTGATGTGTGCGTTCAACTCACCGAGTTTAACCTTTCTTTTCATAGATCAGTTAGGAAACACTCTGTTTGTAAACTCTGCAAGTGGATATTCAGACCTCTTGGAGGCCTTCGTTGGAAACGGGATTTCTTCATACTATGCTAGACAGAAGAATTCTCAGAAACTTCCTTGTGTTGTGTGTATTCAACTCACAGAGTTGAACGATCCTTTACACAGAGCAGACTTGAAACACTCTTTTTGTGGAATTTGCAAGTGGAGATTTCAGCCGCTTTGTGGTCAATGGTAGAAAAGGAAATATCTTCGTATAGAAACTAGACAGAATGATTCTCAGAAACTCCTTTGTGATGTGGGCGTTGAACTCACAGAGTTTAACCTTTCTTTTCATAGAGCAGTTAGGAAACACTCTGTTTGTAAAGTCTGCACATGGATATTTTGACCACTTAGAGGCCTTCGTTGGAAACGTGTTTTTTTCATGTAAGGCTAGACAGAAGAATTCCCAGTAATTTCCTTGTGTTGTGTGCAGTCAACTCACAGAGTTCAACGTTCCCTTAGACAGAGCAGATTTGAAACACTCTATTTGTGCAATTTGCAAGTGTAGATTTCAAGCGCTTTAAGGTCAATGGCAGAAAAGGAAATATCTTCGTTTCAAAACTAGACAGAATCATTCCCACAAACTGCGTTGTGATGTGTTCGTTCAACTCACAGAGTTTAACCTTTCTTTTCATAGAGCAGTTAGGAAACACTCTGTTGTAAATTCTGTAAGTGGATATTCTGACATCTTGGGGCCTTCGTTGGAAACGGGATTTCTTCATATTCTGCTAGACAGAATAATTCTCAGTAACTTCCTTGTGTTGTGTGTATTCAACTCACAGATTTGAACGATCCTTTACAGAGAGCAGACTTGAAACACTCTTTTTGTGGAATTTGCAAGTGGAGATTTCAGCCGCTTTGAGGTCAATGTTAGAAAAGGAAATATCTTCGTATAAAGACTAGACAGAATGATTCTCAGTAAACTCCTTTGTGATGTGTGTGTTCAACTCACAGTATTTTAACCTTTCTTTTCATAGAGCAGTTAGGAAACACTCTGTTTGTAAAGTCTGCAAGTGGATACTCATACCTCTTTGAGGCCTTCGTTGGAAACGGGTTTTTTTCATATAAGGCTAGACAGAAGAATTCTCAGTAACTTCCTTGTGTTGTGTGTATTCAACTGACAGAGTTGAACTTTCATTAAGAGAGAGCAGATTTGAAACACTGTTTTTGTGGAATTTGCAAGTGGAGATTTCAAGCGCTTTGGGGCCAAAGCAGAAAAGGAAATATCTTCGTATAAAAACTAGACAGAATCGTTCTCAGAAACTGCTCTGCGATGTGTGCGTTCAACTCTCAGAGTTTAACTTTTCTTTTCATTCAGCAGTTTGGAAACACTCTGTTTGTAAAGTCTGCACGTGGATAATTTGACCACTTAGAGGCCTTCGTTGGAAACAGGTTTTTTTCATGTAAGGCTAGACAGAAGAATTCCCAGTAACTTCCTTGTGTTGTGTGCATTCAACTCACAGAGTTGAACGTTCCCTTAGACAGAGCAGATTTGAAACACTCTATTTGTGCAATTTGCAAGTGTAGATTTCAAGCGCATTAAGGTCAATGGCAGAAAAGGAAATATCTTCGTTTCAAAATTAGACAGAATCATTCCCACAAACTGCGTTGTGATGTGTTCGTTCAACTCACAGAGTTTAACCTTTCTGTTCATAGAGCAGTTAGGAAACACTCTGTTTGTAAAGTCTGCAAGTGGATATTCAGACCTCCTTGAGGCCTTCGTTGGAAGCGGGATTTCTTCATATTCTGCTAGACAGAAGAATTCCCAGTAACTTCCTTGTGTTGTGTGTGTTCAACTCACAGAGTTGAACTTTCATTTACACAGAGCAGATTTGAAACACTCTTTTTGTGGAATTTGCAAATGGAGTTTTCAGCCGCGTTGAGGTCAATGGTAGAAAAGGAAATATCTTCGTTTCAAAACTAGACAGAATGATTCTCAGAAACTCCTTTGTGATGTGTCTGTTCAACTCACAGAGTTTAACATTTCTTTTCATAGAGCAGTTAGGAAACACTCTGTTTGTAAAGTCTGCAAGTGGATATTCAGACCTCTTTGAGGCCTTCGTTGGAAACGGGTTTTTTTCATATAAGGCTAGACAGAAGAATTCTCAGTAACTTCCTTGTGTTGTGTGTATTCAACTGACAGAGATGAACTTTCATTTAGAGAGAGCAGATTTGAAACACTGTTTTTGTGGAATTTGCAAGTGGTGATTTCAAGCGCTTTGGGGCCAAAGGCAGAAAAGGAAATATCTTCGTATAAAAACTAGACAGAATCATTCTAAGAAACTGCTCTGCGATGTGTGTGTTCAACTCTCAGAGTTTAACTTTTCTTTTCCTTCAGCAGTTTGGAAACACTCTGTTTGTAAAGTCTGCACGTGGATAATTTGACCACTTAGAGGCCTTCGTTAGAAACGGGTTTTTTTCATGTAAGGCTAGACAGAAGAATTCCCGGTAACTTCTTTGTGTTGTGTGCATTCAACTCACAGAGTTGAACGTTCCTTTAGACAGAGCAGATTTGAAACACTCTTTTTGTGCAATTTGCAAGTGGAGATTTCAAGCGCTTTAAGGTCAATGGCAGAAAAGGAAATAACTTCGTTTCAAAACTAGACAGTATCATTCCCACAAACTGCGTTGTGATGTGTTCGCTCAACTCACAGAGTTTAACCTTTCTTTTCATAGAGCAGTTAGGAAACAGTCTGTTTGTAAATTCTGTAAGTGGATATTCTGACATCTTGTGGCCTTCGTTGGAAACGGGATTTCTTCATATTCTGCTAGACAGAAGAATTCTCAGTAACTTCCCTTGTGTTGTGTGTATTCAACTCACAGAGTTGAACGATCCTTTACAGAGAGCAGACTTGAAACACTCTTTTTGTGGAATTTGCAAGTGGAGATTTCAGCCGCTTTGAGGTCAATGGTAGAAAAGGAAATATCTTCCTATAAAGACTAGACAGAATGATTCTCAGAAACTCCTTTGTGATGTGTGCGTTCAACTCACAGAGTTCAACCTTTCTTTTCATAGAGCAGTTGGGAAACGCTCTGTTTGTAAAGTCTGCAAATGGATATTCAGACTTCTTTGAGGCCTTCGTTGGAAGCAGGATTTCTTCATATTCTGCTAGACAGAAGAATTCTCAGTAACTTCCTTGTTTTGTGTGTATTCAACTGACAGAGTTGAACTTTCGTTTAGAGAGAGCAGATTTGAAACACTGTTTTTGTGGAATTTGCAAGTGGAGATTTCAAGCGCTTTGGGGCCAAAGGCAGAAAAGGAAATATCTTCGTATAAAAACTAGACAGAATCATTCTCAGAAAATGCTTTGTGATGTGTGCGTTCAACTCTCAGAGTTTAACTTTTGTTTTCATTCAGCAGTTTGGAAACACTCTGTTTGTAAAGTCTGCACGTGGATATTTTGACCACTTAGAGGCCTTCGTTGGAAACGGGTTTTTTTCATGTAAGGGTAGACAGAAGAATTCCCAGTAACTTCCTTGTGTTGTGTGCATTCAACTCACAGAGTTGAACATTCCCTTAGACAGAGCAGATTTGAAACACACTATTTGTGCAATTTGCAAGTGTAGATTTCAAGCGCTTTAAGGTCAATGGCAGAAAAGGAAATATCTTCGTTTCAAAACTAGACAGAATGATTCTCAGAAACTCCTTTGTGATGTGTGCGTTCAACTCACATAGTTGAACCTTTC
Organism: Homo sapiens; assembly: GCF_000001405.40. Lineage (NCBI taxonomy): Eukaryota > Metazoa > Chordata > Mammalia > Primates > Hominidae > Homo > Homo sapiens. The sequence continues at coordinate 26,349,282 of NC_000019.10, forward strand.
TTTTCATAGAGCAGTTAGGAAACACTCTGTTTGTAAAGTCTGTAAGTGGATATTCAGACATCTTTGAGGCTTTCGTTGGAAACGGGATTTCTTCATATTCTGCTATACAGAAGAATTCTCAGTAACTTCCTTGTGTTGTGTTTATTCAACTCACAGGAGTTGAATGATCCTTTACACAGCAGCAGACTTGAAACACTCTTTTTGTGGAATTTGCAAGTGGAGATTTCAGCCGCTTTGTGGTCAATGGTAGAAAAGGAAATATCTTCGTATAAAGACTAGACAGAATGATTCTCAGAAACTCCTTTGTGATGTGTGCGTTCAACTCACAGAGTTTAACCTTTCTTTTCATAGAGCAGTTAGGAAACACTCTGTTTGTAAAGTCTGCAAGTGGATATTCAGACCTCTTTGAGGCCTTCGTTGGAAACGGGATTTCTTCATATTCTGCTGGACAGAAGAATTCTCAGTAACTTTCCTTGTGTTGTGTGTATTCAACTCACAGAGTTGAACGATCCTTTACACAGAGCAGACTTCAAACACTCTTTTTGTGGAATTTGCAAGTGGAGATTTCAGCCGCTTTGAGGTCAATAGTAGAAAAGGAAATATCTTCGTAGAAAAACTAGGCAGAAATCATTCTCAGAAACTGCTCTGCGATGTGTGCGTTCAACTCTCAGGAGTTTAACTTTTCTTTTCATTCAGCAGTTTGGAAACACTCTGTTTGTAAAGTCTGCACGTGGATATTTTGACCACTTAGAGGCCTTCGTTGGAAACGGGTTTTTTTCCTGTAAGGCTAGACAGAAGAATTCCCAGTAACTTCCTTGTGTTGTGTACATTCATCTCACAGAGTTGAACGTTCCCTTAGACAGAGCAGATTTGAAACACTCTTTTTGTGCAATTGGCAAATGGAGATTTCAAGCGCTTTAAGGTCAATGGCAGAAAAGGAAATATCTTCGTTTCAAAACTAGACAGAATCATTCCCACAAACTGCGTTGTGATGTGTTCGTTCAACTAACAGAGTTTAACCTTTCTTTTCATAGAGCAGTTAGGAAACAGTCTGTTTGTAAATTCTGTATGTGGATATTCTGACATCTTGTGGCCTTCGTTGGAAACGGGATTTCTTCATATTCTGCTTGACAGAAGAATTCTCAGAATCTTCCTTGTGTTGTGTGTATTCAACTCACAGAGTTGAATGATGGTTTACACAGAGCAGATTTGAAACACTCATTTGGTGGAATTTGCAAGTGGAGATTTCAGCCGCTTTGAGGTCAATGGTAGAAAAAGAAATATCTTCGTATAACAACTAGACAGAATGATTCTCAGAAACTCCTTTGTGATGTGTGCGTTCAACTCACAGAGTTTAACCTTTCTTTTCATAGAGCAGTTAGGAAACACTCTTTCTGAAAAGTCTGCAAGTGGATATTCAGACCTCTTTGAGGCCTTCGTTGGAAACGGGATTTCTTCATATTCTGCTAGACAGAGGAATTCCCAGTAACTTCCTTGTGTTGTGTGTGTTCAACTCACAGAGTTGAACTTTCATTTACACAGAGCAGATTTGAAACACTCTTTTTGTGGAATTTGCAAGTGGAGATTTCAAGCGCTTTGAGGCCAAAGGCAGAAAAGGAAATATCTTCGTTTCAAAACTAGACAGAATCATTCTCAGAAACTGCTGCATGATGTGTGCGTTCAACTCTCAGAGTTTAACTTTTCTTTTCATTCAGCGGTTTGGAAACACTCTGTTTGTAAAGTCTGCACGTGGATATTTTGACCACTTAGAGGCCTTCGTTGGAAACAGGTTTTTTGCATGTAAGGCTAGACAGAAGAATTTCCAGTAAATTCCTTGTGTTGTGTACATTCAACTCACAGAGTTGAACGTTCCCTTAGACAGAGCAGATTTGAAACACTCTTTTTGTGCAATTGGCAAGTGGAGATTTCAAGCGCTTTAAGGTCAATGGCAGAAAAGGAAATATCTTCGTTTCAAAACTAGACAGAATCATTCCCACAAACTGCGTTGTGATGTGTTCGTTCAACTCACAGAGTTTAACCTTTCTGTTCATAGAGCAGTTAGGAAACACTCTGTTTGTAAAGTCTGCAAGTGGATATTCAGACCTCTTTGAGGCCTTCGTTGGAAACGGGATTTCTTCATATTCTGCTAGACAGAAGAATTCTCAGAATCTTCCTTGTGTTGTGTGTATTCAACTCACAGAGTTGAACGATCCTTTACACAGAGCAGACTTGATGCACTCTTTTTGTGGAATTTGCAAGTGGAGATTTCAGCCGCTTTGAGGTCCATGGTAGAAAAGGAAATATCTTCGTATAAAAACTAGACAGAATGATTCTCAGAAACTTCTTTGTGATGTGTGCGTTCAACTAACAGAGTTTAACATTTCTTTTCATAGAGCAGTTAGGAAACACTCTGTTTGTAAACTCTGCAAGTGGATATTCAGACCTCTTTGAGGCCTTCGTTGGAAACGGGATTTCTTCATACTGTGCTAGACAGAAGGATTCCCAGTAACTTCCTTGTGTTGTGTGTGTTCAACTCACAGAGTTGAACTTTCATTTACAATGAGCAGATTTGAAACACTCTTTTTGTGGAATTTGCAAGTGGAGATTTCAAGCGCTTTGAGGCCAAAGGCAGAAAAGGAAATATCTTCGTATAAAAACTAGACAGAATCATTCTCAGAAACTGCTCTGCGATGTGTGCGTTCAACTCTCAGAGTTTAACTTTTCTTTTCATTCAGCAGTTTGGAAACACTCTGTTTGTAAAGTCTGCACGTGCATAATTTGACCACTTAGAGGCCTTCGTTGGAAACAGGTTTTTTTCATGTAAGGCTAGACAGAAGATTCCCAGTAACTTCCTTGTGTTGTGTACATTCAACTCACAGAGTTGAACGTTCCCTTAGACAGAGCAGATTTGAAACACTCTTTTTGTGCAATTGGCAAATGGAGATTTCAAGCGCTTTAAGGTCAATGGCAGAAAAGGAAATATCTTCGTTTCAAAACTAGACAGAATCATTCCCACAAACTGCGTTGTGATGTGTTCGTTCAACTCACAGGGTTTAACCTTTCTATTCATAGAGCAGTTAGGAAACACTCTGTTTGTAAAGTCTGTAAGTGGATATTCTGACATCTTGTGGCCTTCGTTGGAAACGGGATTTCTTCACATTCTGCTAGACAGAAGAATTCTCAGTAACTTCCTTGTGTTGTGTTTATTCAACTCACAGAGTTGAATGATCCTTTACACAGAGCAGACTTGAAACACTGTTTTTGTGGAATTTGCAAGTGGAGATTTCAGCCGCTTTGAAGTCAATGGTAGAAAAGTAAATATCTTCGTATAAAGACTAGACAGAATGATTCTCAGAAACTTCATTGTGATGTGTGCGTTCAACTCACAGAGTTTAACCTTTCTTTTCATAGAGCAGTTAGGAAACACTCTGTTTGTAAACTCTGCAAGTGGATATTCAGACCTCTTTGAGGCCTTCGTTGGAAACGGGTTTTTTCATGTAAGGCTAGACAGAAGAATTCCCAGTAACTTCCTTGTGTTGTGTGTGTTCAACTCACAGAGTTGAACTTTCAGTTACACAGAGCAGATTTGAAACACTCTTTTTGTGGACTTTGCAAATGGAGATTTCAAGCGCTTTGAGGCCAAAGGCAGAAATGGAAATATCTTCGTATAAAAACTAGACAGAATCATTCTCAGAAACTGCTCTGCGATGTGTGCGTTCAACTCTCAGAGTTTAACTTTTCTTTTCATTCAGCAGTTTGGAAACACTCTGTTTGTAAAGTCTGCACGTGGATAACTTGACCACTTAGAGGCCTTCGTTGGAAACGGGTTTTTTTCCTGTAAGGCTAGACAGAAGAATTCCCAGTAACTTCCTTGTGTTGTGTGCATTCAACTCACAGAGTTGAACGTTCCCTTAGACAGAGCAGATTTGAAACACTCTATTTCTGCAATTTGCAAGTGTAGTTTTCAAGCACTTTAAGGTCAACGGCAGAAAAGGAAATATCTTCGTTTCAAAACTAGACAGAATCATTCCCACAAACTGCGTTGTGATGTGCTCGTTCATCTCACAGAGTTTAACCTTTCTTTTCATAGAGCAGTTTGGAAACAGTCTGTTTGTAAATTCTGTAAGTGGATATTCTGACATCTTGTGGCCTTCGTTGGAAACGGGATTTCTTCATATTCTGCTAGACAGAAGAATTCTCAGTAACTTCCTTGTGTTGTGTGTATTCAACTCACAGAGTTCAACGATCCTTTACACAGAGCAGACTTGAAACACTCTTTTTGTGGAATTTGCAAGTGGAGATTTCAGCCGCTTTGAGGTCAATGGTAGAAAAGGAAATATCTTCGTATAAAAACTAGACAGAATGATTCTCAGAAACTCCTTTGTGATGTGTGCGTTCAACTCACAGAGTTTAACCTTTCTTTTCATAGAGCAGTTGGGAAACACTCTGTTTGTAAAGTCTGCAAGTGGATATTCAGACTTCCTTTGAGGCCTTCGTTGGAAGCGGGATTTCTTCATGTTCTGCTAGACAGAAGAATTCCCAGTAACTTCCTTCTGTTGTGTGTGTTCAACTCACAGAGTTGAACTTTCATTTACACAGAGCAGATTTGAAAAACTCTTTTTGTGGAATTTGCAAGTGGAGATTTCAAGCGCTTTGAGGCCAAAGGCAGAAAAGGAAATATCTTCGTATAAAAACTAGACAGAATCATTCTTAGAAACTGCTCTGCGATGTGTGTGTTCAACTCTCAGAGTTTAACTTTTCTTTTCATTCAGCAGTTTGGAAACACTCTGTTTGTAAAGTCTGCACGTGGATATTTTCACCACTTAGAGGCCTTCGTTGGAAACGGGTTTTTTTCCTGTAAGGCTAGACAGAAGAATTCCCAGTAACTTCCTTGTGTTGTGTGCATTCAACTCACAAAGTTGAACGTTCCCTTAGACAGAGCAGATTTGAAACACTCTATTTGTGCAATTTGCAAGTGTAGATTTCAAGCGCTTTAAGGTCAACGGCAGAAAAGGAAATATCTTCGTTTCAAAACTAGACAGAATCATTCCCACAAACTGCGTTGTGATGTGCTCGTTCAACTCACAGAGTTTAACCTTTCTTTTCATAGAGTAGTTAGGAAACAGTCTGTTTGAAAATTCTGTAAGTGGATATTCTGACATCTTGTGGCCTTCGTTGGAAACGGGATTTCTTCATATTCTGCTAGACAGAAGAATTCTCAGTAACTTCCCTTGTGTTGTGTGTATTCAACTCACAGAGTTGAACGATCCTTTACACAGAGCAGACTTGAAACACTCTTTTTGTGGAATTTGCAAGAGGAGATTTCAGCCGCTTTGAGGTCAATAGTAGAAAAGGAAATATCTTCGTAGAAAAACTAGACAGAATGATTCTCAGAAACTCCTTTGTGATGTGTGCGTTCAACTCACAGAGTTTAACCTTTCTTTTCATAGAGCAGTTAGGAAACACTCTGTTTGTAAAGTCTGCAAGTGGATATTCAGACCTCTTTGAGGCCTTCGTTGGAAACGGGTTTTTGTCATATAAGGCTAGACAGAAGAATTCTCAGTAACTTCCTTGTGTTGTGTGTATTCAACTGACAGGGTTGAACTTTCATTTAGAGAGAGCAGATTTGAAACACTGTTTTTGTGGAATTTGCAAGTGGAGATTTCAGGCGCCTTGGGGCCAAAGGCAGAAAAGGAAATATCTTGGTATAAAAACTAGACAGAATCATTCTCAGAAACTGCTGCGTGATGTGTGCGTTCAACTCTCAGAGTTTAACTTTTCTTTTCATTCAGCGGTTTGGAAACACTCTGTTTGTAAAGACTGCACGTGGATATTTTGACCACTTAGAGGCCTTCGTTGGAAACGGGTTTTCTTCATGTAAGGCTAGACAGAAGAATTCTCAGTAACTTCCTTGTGTTGTGTTTATTCAACTCACAGAGTTGAATGATCCTTTACACAGAGCAGACTTGAAACACTCTTTTTGTGGAATTTGTAAGTGGAGATTTCAGCCGCTTTGAAGTCAATGGTAGAAAAGTAAATATCTTCGTATAAAGACTGGACAGAATGATTCTCAGAAACTCCTTTGTGATGTGTGCGTTCAACTCACAGAGTTTAACCTTTCTGTTCATAGAGCAGTTAGGAAACACTCTGTTTGTAAAGTCTGTAAGTGGATATTCTGACATCTTGTGGCCTTCGTTGGAAACGGGATTTCTTCATATTCTGCTAGACAGAATAATTCTCAGTAACTTCCTTGTGTTGTGTGTATTCAACTCACAGAGTTGAACGATCCTTTACAGAGAGCAGACTTGAAACACTCTTTTTGTGGAATTTGCAAGTGGAGATTTCAGCCGCTTTGAGGTCAAAGGTAGAATAGGAAATATCTTCCTATAGAAACTAGACAGAATGATTCTCATAAACTCCTTTGTGATGTGTGCGTTCAACTCACAGAGTTTAACCTTTCTTTTCATAGAGCAGTTAGGAAACACTCTGTTTGTAAAGTCTGCAAGTGGATATTCAGACCTCTTTGAGGCCTTCGTTGGAAACGGGATTTCTTCATATTCTGCTAGACGGAAGAATTCTCAGTAACTTCCTTGTGTTGTGTGTATTCAACTGACTGAATTGAACTTTCATTTAGAGAGAGCAGATTTGAAACACTGTTTTTGTGGAATTTGCAAGTGGAGATTTCAAGCGCTTTGGGGCCAAAGGCAGAAAAGGAAATATCTTCGTATAAAAACTAGACAGAATCATTCTCAGAAACTGCTCTGCGATGTGTGCGTTCAACTCTCAGAGTTTAACTTTTCTTTTCATTCAGCAGTTTGGAAACACTCTGTTTGTAAAGTCTGCACGTGGATAATTTGACCACTTAGAGGCCTTCGTTAGAAACGGGTTTTTTTCATGTAAGGCTAGACAGAAGAATTCCCAGTAACTTCCTTGTGTTGTGTGCATTCAACTCACAGAGTTGAACGTTCCCTTAGACAGAGCATATTTGAAACACTCTATTTGTGCAATTTGCAAGTGTAGATTTCAAGCGCTTTAAGGTCAATGGCAGAAAAGGAAATATCTTCGTTTCAAAACTAGACAGAATCATTCCCACAAACTGCGTTGTGATGTGTTCGCTCAACTCGCAGAGTTTAACGTTTCTTTTCATAGAGCAGTTAGGAAACAGTCTGTTTGTAAATTCTGTAAGTGGATATTCTGACATCTTGTGGCCTTAGTTGGAAACGGGATTTCTTCATATTCTGCTAGACAGAAGAATTCTCAGAAACTTCCTTGTGTTGTGTGTATTCAACTCACAGAGTTGAACGATCCTTTACACAGAGCAGACTTGAAACACACTTTTTTTGGTATTTTCAAGTGGAGATTTCAGCCAATTTGAGGTAAATGGTAGAAAAGGAAATATCTTCGTATAAAAACTAGACAGAGTGATTCTCAGAAACTCCTTTGTGATGTCTGCGTTCAACTCACAGAGTTTAACCTTTCTTTTCATAGAGCAGTTAGGAAACACTCTGTTTGTAAAGTCTGCAGGTGGATATTCAGACCTCCTTGAGGCCTTCGTTGGAAACGGGATTTCTTCATATTCTGCTATACAGAAGAATTCCCAGTAACTTCCTTGTTTTGTGTGTGTTCAACTCACAGAGTTGAACTTTCATTTACACAGAGCAGATTTGAAACACTCTTTTTGTGGAATTTGCAAATGGAGATTTCAAGCGCTTTGAGGCCAAAGGCAGAAAAGGAAATATCTTCGTATAAAAACTAGACAGAATCATTCTCAGAAACTGCTCTGCGATGTGTGCGTTCAACTCTCAGAGTTTAACTTTGCTTTTCATTCAGCAGTTTGGAAACACTCTGTTTGTAAAATCTGCACGTGGATAATTTGACCACTTAGAGGCCTTCGTTGGAAACGGGTTTTTTTCATGTAAGGCTAGACAGAAGAATTCCCAGTAACTTCCTTCTGTTGCGTACATTCAGCTCACAGAGTTGAACGTTCCCTTAGACAGAGCAGATTTGAAACACTCTTTTTGTGCAATTGGCAAGTGGAGATTTCAAGCGCTTTAAGGTCAGTGGCAGAAAAGGAAATATCTTCGTTTCAAAACTAGACAGAATGATTCTCATAAACTCCTTTGTGATGTGTGCGTTCAACTCACAGAGTTTAACCTTTCTTTTCATAGAGCAGTTAGGAAACACTCTGCTTGTAAAGTCTGCAAGTGGATATTCAGACCTCCTTGAGGCCTTCGTTGGAAACGGGATTTCTTCATATTCTGCTAGACAGAAGAATTCTCAGTAACTTCCTTGTGTTGTGTGTATTCAACTCACAGAGTTGAACGATCCTTTACACAGAGCAGACTTGAAACCCTCTTTTTGTGGAATTTGCAAGTGGAGATTTCAGCCGCTTTGAGGTCAATGGTAGAAAAGGAAACTATCTTCGTATAAAGACTAGACAGAGTGATTCTCAGAAACTCCTTTGTGATGTCTGCGTTCAACTCACAGAGCTTAACCTTTCTTTTCATAGAGCAGTTAAGAAACACTCTGTTTGTAAAGTCTGCAAGTGGATATTCAGACCTCCTTGAGGCCTTCGTTGGAAACGGGATTTCTTCATATTCTGCTATACAGAAGAATTCTCAGAAACTTCCTTGTGTTGTGTGTTTTCAACTCACAGAGTTCAACGATCCTTTACACAGAGTAGACTTGAAACACTCTTTTTGTGGAATTGGCAGGGTGGAGATTTCAGCCGCTTTGAGGTCAATGGTAGAAAAGGAAATATCTTCGTATAAAAACTAGACAGAATGATTCTCAGAAACTCCTTTGTGATGTGTGCGTTCAACTCGCATAGTTTAACCTTTCTTTTCATAGAGCAGTTAGGAAACACTCTGTTTGTAATGTCTGCACGTGGATATTTGGACTTCTTTGAGGCCTTCGTTGGAAACGGGTTTTTTCCATGTAAGGCTAGACAGAAGAATTCCCAGTAACTTCCTTGTGTTGTGTACATTCAACTCACAGAGTTGAACGTTCCCTTAGACAGAGCAGATTTGAAACACTCTTTTTGTGCAATTGGCAAGTGGAGATTTCAAGCGCTTTAAGGTCAATGGCAGAAAACGAAATATCTTCGTTTCAAAACTACACAGAATCATTCCCACAAACGGCGTTGTGATGTGTTCGTTCAACTCACAGAGTTTAACCTTTCTGTTCATAGAGCAGTTAGGAAACACTGTTTGTAAAGTCTGTAAGTGGATATTCTGACATCGTGTGGCCTTCGTTGGAAACGGGATTTCTTCATATTCTGCTAGACAGAATAATTCTCAGTAACTTCCTTGTGTTGTGTGTATTCAACTCACAGAGTTGAACGATCCTTTACACAGAGCAGACTTGAAACATTCTTTTTGTGGAATTTGCAACTGGAGATTTCAGCCGCTTTGAGGTCAATTGTAGAATAGGAAATATCTTCCTATAGAAACTAGACAGAATGATTCTAAGAAACTCCTTTGTGATGTGTGTGTTCAACTCACAGAGATTAACCTTTCTTTTCATAGAGCAGTTAGTAAACACTCTGTTTATAAAGTCTGCAAGTGGATATTCAGACCCCTTTGAGGCCTTCGTTGGAAACGGGATTTCTTCATATTATGCTAGACAGAAGAATTCTCAGTAACTTCCTTGTGTTGTGTGTATTCAACTGACAGAGTTGAACTTTCATTTAGAGAGAGCAGATTTGAAACACTGTTTTTGTGGAATTTGCAAGTGGAGATTTCAAGCGCTTTGGGGCCAAAGGCAGAAAAGGAAATATCTTCGTATGAAAACTAGACAGAATCATTCTCAGAAACTGCTCTGTGATGTGTGCGTTCCACTCTCAGAGTTTAACTTTTCTTTTCATTCAGCAGTATGGAAACACTCTGTTTGTAAAGTCTGCACGTGGATGTTTTGACCACTTAGTGGCCTTCGTTGGAAACGGGTTTTTTTCATGTAAGGCTAGACAGAAGAATTCTCAGTAACTTCCTTGTGTTGTGTGTATTCAACTCACAGAGTTGAATGATCCTTTACACAGAGCAGACTTGTAACACTATTTTTGTGGAATTTGCAAGTGGAGATTTCAGCCACTTTGAAGTCAAAGTAGAAAAGGAAATAACTTCCTATAAAAACTAGACAGAATCATTCCCACAAACTGCGTTGTGATGTGTTTGTTCAACTCTCAGAGTTTAACCTTTCTGTTCATAGAGCAGTTAGGAAACACTCTGTTTGTAAAGTCTGCAAGTGGATATTCTGACATCTTGTTGCCTTCGTTGGAAACGGGATTTCTTCATATTCTGCTAGACAGAAGAATTCTCAGAATCTTCCATGTGTTGTGTGTATTCAACTCACAGAGTTGAACGATCCTTTACACAGAGCAGACTTGAAACACTCTTTTTGTGGAATTTGCAAGTGGAGATTTCAGCCGCTTTGAGGTCCATGGTAGAAAAGGAAATATCTTCGTATAAAAACTAGACAGAATGATTCTCAGAAACTCCTTTGTGATGTGTGTCTGCAACTCACAGAGTTTAACCTTTCTTTTCATAGAGCAGTTAGTAAACACTCTGTTTATAAAGTCTGCAAGTGGATATTCAGACCCCTTTTAGGCCCTCGTTGGAAACGGGATTTCTTCATATTCTGCCAGACAGAAGAATTCCCAGTAACTTCCTTGTGTTGTGTGTGTTCAACTCACAGAGTTGAACTTTCATTTACACAGAGCAGATTTGAAACACTCTTTTTGTGGAATTTGCAAGTGGAGATTTCAAGCGCTTTGAGGCCAAATGCAGAAAAGGAAATATCTTCGTTTCAAAACTAGACAGAAATCATTCTCAGAAACTGCTGTGTGATGTGTGCGTTCAACTCTCAGAGTTTAACTTTTCTTTTCATTCAGCGGTTTGGAAACACTCTGTTTGTAAAGTCTGCACGTGGAAATTTTGACCACTTAGAGGCCTTCGTTGGAAACGGGTTTTTTTCATGTAAGGCTCGACAGAAGAATTCCCAGTAACTTCCTTGTGTTGTGTACATTCAACTCACAGAGTTGAACGTTCCCTTAGACAGAGCAGATTTGAAACACTCTTTTTGTGCAATTGGCAAGTGGTGATTTCAGCCGCTTTGAGGTCAATGGTAGAAAAGGAAATATCTTCGTATAAAAACTAGACAGAATCATTCCCACAAACTGCGTTGTGATGTGTTCGTTCAACTCACAGAGTTTAACCTTTCTTTTCATAGAGCAGTTAGGAAACACTCTGTTGGTAAATTCTGTAAGTGGATATTCTGACATCTTGTGGCCTCCGTTGGAAACGGGATTTCTTCATATTCTGCTAGACAGAAGAATTCTCAGTAACTTCCTTGTGTTGTATGTATTCAACTCACAGAGTTGAACGATCCTTTACACAGAGCAGACTTGAAACACTCTTTTTGTGGAATTTGCAAGTGGAGATTTCAGCCGCTTTGAGGTCAATGGTAGAATAGGAAATATCTTCCTATAGAAACTAGACAGAATGATTCTCAGAAACACCTTTGTGATGTGTGCGTTCAACTCACAGAGTTTAACTTTTCTTTTCATAGAGCAGTTAGGAAACACTCTGTTTGTAAAGTCTGCAAGTGGATATTCAGACCTCTTTGAGGCCTTCGTTGGAAACGGGATTTCTTCATATTCTGCTAGACAGAAGAATTCTCAGTAACTTCCTTGTGTTGTGTGTATTCAACTCACAGAGTTGAATGATCCTTTACACAGAACAGACTTGAAACACTCTTGTTGTGGAATTTGCAAGTGGAGAATTCAGGCGCTTTGAGGTCAACGGTAGAATAGGAAATATCTTCCTATAGAAACTAGACAGAATCATTCTCAGAAACTGCTCTGTGATGTGTGCGTTCAACTCTCAGAGTTTAACTTTTCTTTTCATTCAGCAGTTTGGAAACACTCTGTTTGTAAAGTCTGCACGTGGATATTTTGACCACTTAGAGGCCTTCGTTGGAAACGGGTTTTTTTCCTGTAAGGCTAGACAGAAGAATTCTCAGTAACTTCCTTGTGTTGTGTACATTCAACTCACAGAGTTGAACGTTCCCTTAGACAGAGCAGATTTGAAACACTCTTTTTGTGCAATTGGCAAATGGAGATTTCAAGCGCTTTAAGGTCAATGGCAGAAAAGGAAATATCTTCGTTTCAAAACTAGACAGAATGATTCTCAGAAACTCCTTTGTGATGTGTGCGTTCAACTCACAGAGTTTAACCTTTCTTTTCATAGAGCAGTTAGGAAACACTCTGTTTGTGAAGTCTGCAAGTGGATATTCAGACCTCTTTGAGGCCTTTGTTGGAAACGGGATTTCTTCATATTCTGCTAGACAGAAGAATTCTCAGAAACTTCCTGGTGTTGTGTGTTTTCAACTCACAGAGTTCAACGATCCTTTACACAGAGTAGACTTGAAACACTCTTTTTGTTGAATTGGCAAGTGGAGATTTCAGCCGCTTTGAGGTCAATGGTAGAAAAGGAAATATCTTCGTATAAAAACTAGACAGAGTGATTCTCAGAAACTCCTTTGTGATGTCTGCGTTCAACTCACAGAGTTTAACCTTTCTTTTCATAGAGCAGTTAGGAAACACTCCGTTTGTAAAGTCTGCAAGTGGATATTCAGACCTCCTTGAGGCCTTCATTGGAAACCGGATTTCTTCATATTTTGCTATACAGAAGAATTCTCAGTAACTTCCTTGTGTTGTGTGTATTCAACTGACAGAGTTGAACTTTCATTTAGAGAGAGCAGATTTGAAACACTGTTTTTGTGGAATTTGCAAGGGGAGATTTCAAGCGCTTTGGGGCCAAAGGCAGAAAAGGAAATATCTTCGTATAAAAACTAGACAGAATCATTCTCAGAAACTGCTCTGCGATGTGTGCGTTCAACTCTCAGAGTTTAACTTCTCTTTTCATTCAGTAGTTTGGAAAAACTCTGTTTGTAAAGTCTGCACGTGGATAACTTGACCACTTAGAGGCCTTCGTTGGAAACGGGTTTTTTTCATGTAAGGCTAGACAGAAGAATTCTCAGTAACTTCCTTGTGTTGTGTGTATTCAACTGACAGAGTTGAACGATCCTTTACACAGAGCATACTTGAAACACTCTTCTTGTGGAATTTGCAAGTGGAGATTTCAGCCGCTTTGAGGTCAATGGTAGAATAGGAAATATCTTCGTATAAAAAGTAGACAGAATGATTCTCAGAAACTCCTTTGTGATGTGTGCGTTCAAATCACAGAGTTTAACCTTTCTTTTCATAGAGCAGTTAGGGAACACTCTGTTTGTAAAGTCTGCAAGTGGATATTCAGACCTCCTTGAGGCCTTCGTTGGAAACGGGATTTCTTCATATTCTGCTAGACAGAAGAATTCTCAGTAACTTCCTTGTGTTGTGTGTATTCAACTCACAGATTTGAACGATCCTTTACACAGAGCAGACTTGAAACACTCTTTTTGTGGAATTTGCAAGTGGAGATTTCTGACGCTTTGAGGTCAATGGTAGAATAGGAAATATCTTCCTATAGAAACTAGACAGAATGATTCTGAGAAACTCCTTTGTGATGTGTGCGTTCAACTCACAGAGTTTAACCTTTCTTTTCATAGAGCAGTTAGGAAACACTCTGTTTGTAAAGTGTGCAAGTGGATATTCAGAACTCCTTGAGGCCTTCGTTGGAAACGGGATTTCTTCATATTATGCTAGACAGAAGAATTCCCAGTAACTTCCTTCTGTTGTGTGTGTTCAACTCACAGAGTTGAACTTTGATTTACACAGAGCAGATTTGAAACACTCTTTTTGTGGAATTTGCAAGTGGAGATTTCAAGCGCTTTGAGGCCAAAGGCAGAAAAGGAAATATCTTCGTATAAAAACTAGACAGAATCATTCTCAGAAACTGCTCTGCGATGTGTGCGTTCAACTCTCAGAGCTTAACTTTTCTTTTCATTCAGCAGTTTGGAAACACTCTGTTTCTAAAGTCTGCACGTGGATAACTTGACCACTTAGAGGCCTTCGTTGGAAACGGGTTTTTTTCCTGTAAGGCTAGACAGAAGAATTCCCAGTAACTTCCTTGTGTTGTGTACATTCAACACACAGAGTTGAACGTTCCCTTAGACAGAGCAGATTTGAAACACTCTTTTAGTGCAATTGGCAACTGGAGATTTCAAGCGATTTAAGGTCAATGGCAGAAAAGTAAATATCTTCGTTTCAAAACTAGACAGAATCATTGCCACAAACTGCGTTGTGATGTGTTCGTTCAACCCACAGAGTTTAACCTTTCTGTTCATAGAGCAGTTAGGAAACACTCTGTTTGTAAAGTATGAAAGTGGATATTCTGACATGTTGTGGCCTTCGTTGGAAACGGGATTTCTTCATATTCTGCTAGACAGAAGAATTCTCAGAAACTTCCTTGTGTTGTGTGTTTTCAACTCACAGAGTTGAACGATCCTTTACACAGAGCAGACTTGAAACACTCTTTTTGTGGAATTTGCAAGTGGAGATTTCAGCCGCTGTGAGGTCAATGGTAGAATAGGAAATATCTTCCTATAGAAACTAGACAGAATGATTCTCAGAAACTCCTTTGTGATGTGTGTGTTCAACTCACAGAGTTTAACCTTTCTTTTCATACAGCAGTTAGGAAACACTCTGTTTGTAAATTCTGCAAGTGGATATTTTGACCGCTTTGAGGCCTTCGTTGGAAACGGGTTTTTTTCATGTAAGGCTAGACAGAAGAATTCCCAGTAACTTCCTTGTGTTGTGTGTGTTCAACTCACAGAGTTGAACTTTCATTTACCCAGAGCAGATTTGAAACACTCTTTTTGTGGAATTTGCAAGTGGAGATTTCAAGCACTTTGAGGCCAAAGGCAGAAAAGGAAATATCTTCGTTTCAAAACTAGACAGAATCATTCTCAGAAACTGCTCTGCGATGTGTCCGTTCAACTCTCAGAGTTTAACTTTTCTTTTCATTCAGCAGTTTGGAAACACTCTGTTTGTAAAGTCTGCACGTGGATATTTTGACCACTTAGAGGCCTTCGTTGGAAACGGGTTTTTTTCCTGTAAGGCTAGACAGAAGAATTCCCAGTAACTTCCTTGTGTTGTGTACATTCAACTCACAGAGTTGAACGTTCCCTTAGACAGAGCAGATTTGAAACACTCTTTTTGTGCAATTGGCAAGTGGAGATTTCAAGCGCTTTGAGGTCAATGGCAGAAAAGGAAATATCTTCGTTTCAAAACTAGACAGAATCATTCCCACAAACTGCGTTGTGATGTGTTCGTTCTACTCACAGAGTTTAACCTTTCTTTTCATAGAGCAGTTAGGAAACAGTCTGTTTGAAAATTCTGTAAGGGGATATTCTGACATCTTGTGGCCTTCGTTGGAAACGGGATTTCTTCATATTCTGCTAGACAGAAGAACTCCCAGTAACTTCCTTGTGTTGTGTGTGTTCAACTCACAGAGTTGAACTTTCATTTACACAGAGCAGATTTGAAACACTCTTTTTGTGGAATTTGCAAATGGAGATTTCAGCCGCGTTGAGGTCAATGGTAGAAAAGGAAATATTCTTCGTTTCAAAACTAGACAGAATGATTCTCAGAAACTCCTTTGTGATGTGTGCGTTCAACTCACAGAGTTTAACCTTTCTTTTCATAGACCAGTTAGGAAACACTCTGTTTGTAAAGTCTGCAAGTGGATATTCAGACCTCCTTGAGGCCTTCGTTGGAAGCGGGATTTCTTCATGTTCTGCTAGACAGAAGAATTCTCAGAAACTTCCTTGTGTTGTGTGTTTTCAACTCACAGAGTTGAACGATCCTTTACACAGAGCAGACTTGAAACACTCTTTTTGTGGTATTTGCAAGTGGAGATTTCAGCCGCTTTGAGTTCAATGGTAGAATAGGAAATATCTTCCTATAGAAACTAGACAGAATCATTCCCACAAACTGCGTTGTGATGTGTTCGTTCAACTCACAGAGTTTAACCTTTGTTTTCAGAGAGGAGTTAGGAAACTGTCTGTTTGTAAATTCTGTAAGTGGATATTCTGAAATCTTGTGGCCTTCGTTGGAAACGGGATTTCTTCATATTCTGCTAGACAGAAGAATTCTCAGAATCTTCCTTGTGTTGTGTGTATTCAACTCACAGAGTTTAACGATGGTTTACACAGAGCGGATTTGAAACACTCTTTTTGTGGAATTTGCAAGTGGAGATTTCAGCCGCTTTGAGGTCAATGGTAGAAAAGGAAATATCTTCGTATAAAAACTAGACAGAATGATTCTCAGAAACTTCTTTGTGATGTGTGCGTTCAACTCACAGAGTTTAACCTTTCTTTTCATAGAGCAGTTAGGAAACACTCTGTTTGTAAACTCTGCAAGTGGATATTCAGACCTCTTTGAGGCCTTCTTTGGAAACGGGATTTCTTCATACTGTGCTAGACAGAAGAATTCTCAGTAACTTCCTTGTGTTGTGTGTATTCATCTCACAGAGTTGAACGATCCTTTACACAGAGCGGACTTGAAACACTCTTTTGATGGAATTTGCAAGTGGAGATTTCAGCCGCGTTGAGGTCAATGGTAGAAAAGGAAATATCTTCGTATAAAAACTAGACAGAATGATTCTCAGAAACTTCTTTGTGATGTGTGCGTTCAACTCACAGAGTTTAACCTTTCTTTTCATAGAGCAGTTAGGAAACACTCTGTTTGTAAACTCTGCAAGTGGATATTCAAACCTCTTTGAGGCCTTCGTTGGAAACGGGATTTCTTCATACTATGCTAGACAGAAGAATTCCCAGTAACTTCCTTGTGTTGTGTGTGTTCAACTCACAGAGTTGAACTTTCATTTACACAGAGCAGATTTGCAACACTCTTTTTGTGGAATTTGCAAATGGAGATTTCAAGCGCTTTGAGGCCAAAGCCAGAAAAGGAAATATCTTCGTTTCAAAACTAGACAGAATCATTCTCAGAAACTACTGCGTGATGTGTGCGTTCAACTCTCAGAGTTTAACTTTTCTTTTCATTCAGCGGTTTGGAAACACTCTGTTTGTAAAGTCTGCACGTGGATATTTTGACCACTTAGAGGCCTTCGTTGGAAACGGGTTTTTTTCATGTAAGGCTAGACAGAAGAATTCTCAGAAACTCCCTTGTGTGGTGTGTATTCAACTGACAGGGTTGAACTTTCATTTAGACAGAGCAGATTTGAAACCCTCTTTATGTGGAATTGGCAAGTGGAGATTTCAAGCGCTTTGAGACCAAAGGCAGAAAAGGAAATATCTTCGTTTCAAAACTAGACAGAATCATTCCCACAAACTGCGTTGTGATGTGTTCGTTCAACTCACAGGGTTTAACCTTTCTTTTCATAGAGCAGTTAGGAAACACTCTGTTTGTAAAGTCTGTAAGGGGATATTCTGACATCTTGTGGCCTTCGTTAGAAACGGGATTTCTTCATATTCTGCTAGACACAAGAACTCTCAGTAACTTCCTTGTGTTGTGTGTATTCAACTCACAGAGTTGAACGATCCTTTACACAGAGCAGACTTGAAACATTCTTTTCGTGGAATTTGCAACTGGAGATTTCAGCCGCTTTGAGGTCAATGGTAGAATAGGAAATATCTTCCTATAGAAACTAGACAGAACGATTCTCAGAAACTCCTTTGTGATGTGTGCGTTCAACTCACAGAGTTTAAACTTTCTTTTCATAGAGCAGTTAGGAAACACTCTGTTTGTAAAGTCTGCAAGTGGATATTCAGACCTCTTTGAGGCCTTCGTTGGAAACGGGATTTCTTCATATTCTGCTAGACAGAAGAATTCTCAGTAACTTCCTTGTGTTGTGTGTATTCAACTGACAGAGTTGAACTTTCATTTAGAGAGAGCAGATTTGAAACACTGTTTTTGTGGAATTTGCAAGTGGAGATTTCAAGCGCTTTGGGACCAAAGGCAGAAAAGGAAATATCTTCGTATAAAAACTAGACAGAATCATTCTCAGAAACTGCTCTGCGATGTGTGCGTTCAACTCTCAGAGTTTAACTTTTCTTTTCATTCAGCAGTTTGGAAACACTCTGGTTGTAAAGTCTGCACTTGGATAACTTGACCACTTAGAGGACTTCGTTGGAAACGGGTTTTTTTCCTGTAAGGCTAGACAGAAGAATTCCCAGTAACTTCCTTGTGTTGTGTGCATTCAACTCACAGACTTGAACGTTCCCTTAGACAGAGCAGATTTGAAACACTCTATTTGTGCAATTTGCAAGTGTAGATTTCAAGCGCTTTATGGTCAACGGCAGAAAAGGAAATATCTTCGTTTCAAAACTAGACAGAATGATTCTCAGAAACTCCTTTGTGATGTGTGCGTTCAACTCACAGAGTTTAACCTTTCTTTTCATAGAGCAGTTAGGAAACACTCTGTTTGTAAAGTGTGCAAGTGGATATTCAGACCTCCTTGAGGCCTTCGTTGGAAACGGGATTTCTTCATATTATGCTAGACAGAAGAATTCTCAGTAAGTTCCTTGTGTTGTGTGTATTCAACTCACAGAGTTGAACGATCCTTTACACAGAGCAGACTTGAAACACTCTTTTTGTGGAATTTGCAAGTGGAGATTTCAGCCGCTTTGAGGTCAATGGTAGAATAGGAAATATCTTCCTATAGAAACTAGACAGAATGATTCTCAGAAACTCCTTTGTGATGTGTGCGTTCAACTCACAGAGTTTAACCTTTCTTTACATAGAGCAGTTAGGAAACACTCAGTTTGTAAAGTCTGCAAGAGGATATTCAGACATCTTTGAGGCTTTCGTTGGAAACGGGATTTCTTCATATTCTGCTAGAGAGAAAGAATTCCCAGTAACTTCCTTGTGTTGTGTGTGTTCAACTCACAGAGTTGAACTTTCATTTACACAGAGCAGATTGGAAACACTCTTTTTGTGGAATTTGCAAGTGGAGATTGCAAGCGCTTTGAGGCCAAAGGCAGAAAAGGAAATATCTTCGTATAAAAACTAGACAGAATCATTCTCAGAAACTGCTCTGCGATGTGTGCGTTCAACTCTCAGAGTTTAACTTTGCTTTTCATTCAGCAGTTTGGAAACACTCTGTTTGTAAAGTCTGCACGTGGATATTTTGACCACTTAGAGGCCTTCGTTGGAAACGGTTTTCTTTCCTGTAAGGCTAGACAGAAGAATTCCCAGTAACTTCCTTGTGTTGTGTACATTCAACTCACAGAGTTGAACGTTCCCTTAGACAGAGCAGATTTGAAACACTCTTTTTGTGCAATTGGCAAGTGGAGATTTCAAGCGCTTTAAGGTCAATGGCAGAAAAGGAAATATCTTCGTTTCAAAACTAGACAGAATCATTCCCACAAACTGCGTTGTGATGTGTTCGTTCAACTCACAGAGTTTAACCTTTCTGTTCATAGAGCAGTTAGGAAACACTCTGTTTGTAAAGTCTGTAAGTGGATATTCTGACATCTTGTGGCCTTTGTTGGAAACGGGATTTCTTCATATTCTGCTAGACAGAAGAATTCTCAGTAACTTCCTTGTGTTGTGTGTATTCAACTCATAGAGTTGAACGATCCCTTACACAGAGCAGACTTGTAACACTCTTTTTGTGGAATTTGCAAGTGGAGATTTCACCCGCTTTGACGTCAAAGGTAGAAAAGGAAATATCTTCCTATAAAAACTAGACAGAATGATTCTCAGAAACTCCTTTGTGATGTGTGCGTTCAACTCACAGAGTTTAACTTTTCTTTTCATAGAGCAGTTAGGAAACACTCTGTTTATAAAGTCTGCAAGTGGATATTCAGACCTCTTTGAGGCCTTCGTTGGAAACGGGATTTCTTCATATTATGCTAGACAGAAGAATTCCCAGTAACTTCCTTGTGTTGTGTGTGTTCAACTCACAGAGTTTAACTTTCATTTACCCAGAGCAGATTTGAAACACTCTTTTTGTGGAATTTGCAAGTGGAGATTTCAAGCGCTTTGAGGCCAAAGGCAGAAAAGGAAATATCTTCGTTTCAAAACTAGACAGAATCATTCTCAGAAACTGCTGCGTGATGTGTGCGTTCAACTCTCAGAGTTTAACTTTTCTTTTCATTCAGCGGTTTGGAAACACTCTGTTTGTAAAGTCTGCACGTGGAAATTTTGACCACTTAGAGGCCTTCGTTGGAAACGGGTTTTTTTCATGTAAGGCCAGACAGAAGAATTCCCAGTAACTTCCTTGTGTTGTGTACATTCAACTCACAGAGTTGAACGTTCCCTTAGACAGAGCAGATTTGAAACACTCTTTTTGTGCAATTGGCAAGTGGAGATTTCAAGCGCTTTAAGGTCAAAGCAGAAAAGGAAATATCTTCGTTTCAAAACTAGACAGAATCATTCCCACAAACTGCGTTGTGATGTGTTCGTTCAACTCACAGAGTTTAACCTTTCTTTTCATAGAGCAGTTAGGAAACAGTCTGTTTGTCAATTCTGTAAGTGGATATTCTGACATCTTGTGGCCTTCGTTGGAAAAGGGATTTCTTCATATTCTGCTAGACAGAAGAATTCTCAGTAACTTCCTTGTGTTGTGGGTATTCAACTCACAGAGTTGAACGATCCTTTACACAGAGCAGACTTGGAACACTCTTTTTGTGGAATTTGCAAGTGGAGATTTCAGCCGCGTTGAGGTCAATGGTAGAAAAGGAAATATCTTCGTATAAAAACTAGACAGAATGATTGTCAGAAACTCCTTGGTGCTGTGTGCGTTCAACTCACAGAGTTTAAAGTTTCTTTTCATAGAGCAGTTAGGAAACACTCTGTTTGTAATGTCTGCAGGTGGATATTCAGACATCATTGAGGCTTTTTTTGGAAACGGGATTTCTTCATATTCTGCTATATAGAAGAATTCTCAGTAACTTCCTTGTGTTGTGTGTATTCAACTCACAGAGTTGAACGATCCTTTACACAGAGCAGACTTGAAACACTCTTTTTGTGGAATTTGCAAGTGGAGATTTCAGCCGCTTTGAGGTCTATAGTAGAAAAGGAAATATCTTCGTAGAAAAACTAGACAGAATGATTCTCAGAAACTCCTTTGTGATGTGTGCGTTCAACTCACAGAGTTTAACCTTTCTTTTCATAGAGCAGTTAGGAAACACTCTGTTTGTAAAGTCTGCAGGTAGATATTCAGACATCTTTGAGGCTTTCGTTGGAAACGGGATTTCTTCATATTCTGCTAGACAGAAGAATTCCCAGTAAATTCCTTGTGTTGTGTGTGTTCAACTCACAGAGTTGAACTTTCATTTACACAGAGCAGATTTGAAACACTCTTTTTGTGGAATTTGCAAGTGGAGATTTCAAGCGCTTTGAGGCCAAAGGCAGAAAAGGAAATATCTTCGTTTCAAAACTAGACAGAATCATTCTCAGAAACTGCTGCGTGATGTGTGCGTTCAACTCTCAGAGTTTAACTTTTCTTTTCATTCAGCGGTTTGGAAACACTCTGTTTGTAAAGTCTGCACGTGGAAATTTTGACCACTTAGAGGCCTTCGTTGGAAACGGGTTTTTTTCATGTAAGGCTTGACAGAAGAATTCCCAGTAACTTCCTTGTGTTGTGTGCATTCAACTCACAGAGTTGAACGTTCCCTTAGACAGAGCAGATTTGAAACACTCTATTTGTGCAATTTGCAAGTGTAGATTTCAAGCGCTTTAAGGTCAACGGCAGAAAAGGAAATATCTTCGTTTCAAAACTAGACAGAATGATTCTCAGAAACTTCATTGTGATGTGTGCGTTCAACTCACAGAGTTTAACCTTTCTTTTCATAGAGCAGTTGGGAAACAGTCTGTTTGTAAATTCTGTAAGTGGATATTCTGACATCTTGTGGCCTTCGTTGGAAACGGGATTTCTTCATATTCTGCTAGACAGAAGAATTCTCAGTAACTTCCTTGTGTTGTGTGTATTCAACTCACAGAGTTGAAAGATCCTTTACACAGAGCAGACTTGAAACACTCTTTTTGTGGAATTTGCAAGTGGAGATTTCAGCCGCTTTGAGGTCAATGGTAGAAAAGGAAATATCTTCGTATAAAAACTAGACAGAATGATTCTCAGAAACTCCTTTGTGATGTGTGCGTTCAACTCACAGAGTTCAACCTTTCTTTTCATAGAGCAGTTGGGAAACACTCTGTTTGTAAAGTCTGCAAGTGGATATTCAGACCTCTTTGAGGCCTTCGTTGGAAGCGGGATTTCTTCATATTCTGCTAGACAGAAGAATTCCCAATAACTTCCTTGTGTTGTGTGTGTTCAACTCACAGAGTTGAACTTTCATTTACACAGAGCAGATTGGAAACACTCTTTTTGTGGAATTTGCAAGTGGAGATTTCAAGTGCTTTGAGGCCAAAGGCAGAAAAGGAAATATCTTCTTATAAAAACTAGACAGAATCATTCTCAGAAACTGCTGCATGATGTGTGCGATCAACTCTCAGAGTTTAACTTTTCTTTTCATTCAGCGGTTTGGAAACACTCTGTTTGTAAAGTCTGCACGTGGAAATTTTGACAACTTAGAGACCTTCGTTGGAAACGGGATTTTTTCATGTAAGGCTAGACAGAAGAATTCTCAGTAACTTCCTTGTGTTGTGTTTATTCAACTCACAGAGTTGAATGATCCTTTACACAGAGCAGACTTGAAACACTCTTTTTGTGGAATTTGCAAGTGGAGATTTCAGCCGCTTTGAGGTCAATGGTAGAATAGGAAATATCTTACTATAGAAACTAGACAGAATGATTCTCAGAAACTCCTTTGTGATGTGTGCATTCAACTCACAGAGTTTAACCTTTCTTTTCATAGAGCAGTTAGGAAACACTCTGTTTGTAAAGTCTGCAAGTGGATATTCAGACCTCTTTGAGGCCTTCGTTGGAAACGGGTTTTCTTCATATTCTGCTAGACAGAAGAATTCTCAGTAACTTCCTTGTGTTGTGTGTATTCAACTCACAGAGTTGAACGATCCTTTACACAGAGCAGAGTTGTAACACTCTTTTTGTGGAATTTGCAAGTGGAGAATTCAGCCGCTTTGAAGTCAAAGGTAGAAAAGGAAATATCTTCCTATAAAAACTAGACAGAATGATTCTCAGAAACTCCTTTGTGATGTGTGCGTTCAACTCACAGAGTTTAACCTTTCTTTTCATAGAGCAGTTAGGAAACACTCTGTTGGTAAAGTCTGCAAGTGGATATTCAGACCTCCTTGAGGCCTTCGTTGGAAACGGGATTTCTTCATATTATGCTAGACAGAACTATTCTCAGTAACTTCCTTGTGTTGTGTGTATTCAACTGACAGAGTTGAAATTTCATTTAGAGAGAGCAGATTTGAAACACTGTTTTTGTGGAATTTGCAAGTGGAGATTTCAAGCGCTTTGGGGCCAAAGGCAGAAAAGGAAATATCTTCGTATAAAAACTAGACAGAATAATTCTCAGAAACTGCTGCGTGATGCGTGCGTTCAACTCTCAGAGTTTAACTTTTCTTTTCATTCAGCGGTTTGGAAACACTCTGTTTGTAAAGTCTGCAAGTGGATATTCAGACCTCTTTGAGGCCTTCGTTGGAAACGGGATTTCTTCCTATTATGCTAGACAGAAGAATTCCCAATAACTTCCTTGTGTTGTGTACATTCAACTCACAGAGTTGAACGTTCCCTTAGACAGAGCAGATTTGAAACACTCTTTTTGTGCAATTGGCAAGCGGAGATTTCAAGCGCTTTAAGGTCAATGGCAGAAAAGGAAATATCTTCGTTTCAAAACTAGACAGAATCATTCCCACAAACTGCGTTGTGATGTGTTCGTTCAACTCACAGAGTTTAACCTTTCTTTTCATAGAGCAGTTAGGAAACAGTCTGTTTGTCAATTCTGTAAGTGGATATTCTGACATCTTGTGGCCTTCGATGGAAACGGGATTTCTTCATATTCTGCTAGACAGAAGAATTCTCAGTAACTTCCTTGTGTTGTGTGTATTCAACTCACAGAGTGGAACGATCCTTTACACAGAGCAGACTTGAGACACTCTTTTTGTGGAATTTGCAAGTGGAGATTTCAGCCGCTTTGAGGTCAATAGTGGAAAAGGAAATATCTTCATAGAAAAACTAGACAGAATGATTCTCAGAAACTCCTTTGTGATGTGTGCGTTCAACACACAGAGTTAAACTTTTCTTTTCATAGAGCAGTTAGGAAACACTCTGTTTGTAAAGTCTGCAAGTGGATATTCAGACCTCTTTGAGGCCTTCGTTGGAAACAAGATTTCTTCATATTATGCTAGACAGAAGAATTCTCAGTAACTTCCTTGTGTTGTGTGTATTCAACTGACAGAGTTGAACTTTCATTTAGAGAGAGCAGATTTGAAACACTGTTTTTGTGGAATTTGCAAGTGGAGATTTCAAGCGCTTTCGGGCCAAAGGCAGAAAAGGAAATATCTTCGTATAAAAACTAGACAGAATCATTCTCAGAAACTGCTGCGTGATGTGTGCGTTCAACTCTCAGTGTTTAACTTTTCTTTTCATTCAGCGGTTTGGAAACACTCTGTTTGTAAAGTCTGCACGTGGATATTTTGACCACTTAGAGGCCTTCGTTGGAAACGGGTTTATTTCATGTAAGGCTAGACAGAAGAATTCCCAGTAACTTCTTTGTGTTGTGTGCATTCAACTCACACAGTTGAACGTTCCCTTAGACAGAGCAGATTTGAAACACTCTATTTGTGCAATTTGCAAGTGTAGATTTCAAGCGCTTTAAGGTCAATGGCAGAAAAGGAAATATCTTCGTTTCAAAACTAGACAGAATCATTCCCACAAACTGCGTTGTGATGTGTTTGTTCAACTCACAGAGTTTAACCTTTCTTTTCATAGAGCAGTTAGGAAACAGTCTGTTTGTTAATTCTGTAAGTGGATATTCTGACATCTTGTGGCCTTCGTTGGAAACGGGATTTCTTCATATTCTGCTAGACAGAAGAATTCTCAGAAACTTCCTTGTGTTGTGTGTTTTCAACTCACAGAGTTGAACGATCCTTTACACAGAGTAGACTTGAAACACTCTTTTTGTGTAATTTGCAAGTGGAGATTTCAGCCGCTTTGAGGTCAATGGTAGAAAAGGAAATATCTTCGTATAAAAACTAGACAGAGTGATTCTCAGAAACTCCTTTGTGATGTCTGCGTTCAACTCACAGAGTTGAACCTTTCTTTTCATAGAGCAGTTAGGAAACACTCTGTTTGTAAAGTCTGCAAGTGGATATTCAGACATCTTTGAGGCCTTCGTTGGAAACGGGATTTCTTCATATAATGCTAGAGAGAAGAATTCTCAGTAACTTACCTTGTGTTGTGTGTATTCAACTGACAGAGTTGAACTTTCATTTAGAGAGAGCAGATTTGAAACACTGTTTTTGTGGAATTTGCAAGTGGAGATTTCAAGCACTTTGGGGCCAAAGGCAGAAAAGGAAATATCTTCGTATAAAAACTAGACAGAATCATTCTCAGAAACTGCTCTGCGATGTGTGCGTTCAACTCTCAGAGTTTAACTTTTCTTTTCATTCAGCAGTTTGGAAACACTCTGTTTGTAAAGTCTGCACGTGCATAATTTGACCACTTAGAGGCCTTCGTTGGAAACGGGTTTTTTTCATGTAAGGCTAGACAGAAGAATTCTCAGTAACTTCCTTGTGTTGTGTGTATTCAACTCACAGAGTTGAACGATCCTTTACACAGAGCAGACTTGAAACGCTCGTTTTGTGGAATTTGCAAGTGGAGATTTCAGCCGCTTTGAGGTCAATGGTAGAAAAGGAAATATCTTCGTATAAAAACTAGACAGAATGATTCTCAGAAACTCCTTTGTGATGTGTGCGTTCAACTCACAGAGTTTACCCTTTCTTTTCATAGAGCAGTTAGGAAACACTCTGTTTGTAAAGTCTGCAAGTGGATATTCAGACATCCTTGAGGCTTTCGTTGGAAACGGGATTTCTTCATATTCTGCTAGACAGAAGAATTCTCAGTAACTTCCTTGTGTTGTGTGTATTCAACTCACAGAGTTGAACGATCCTTTACACAGAGCGGAGTTGAAACACTCTTTTTGTGGAATTTGCAAGTGGAGATTTCAGCCGCTTTGAGGTCAATGGTAGAAAAGGAAATATCTTCTTATACAGACTATACAGAATGATTCTCAGAAACTCCTTTGTGATGTGTGCGTTCAACTCACAGAGTTTAACCTTTCTGTTCATAGAGCAGTTAGGAAACACTCTGTTTGTAAAGTCTGCAAGTGGATATTCAGACCTCCTTGAGGCCTTCGTTGGAAACGGGATTTCTTCCTATTCTGCTAGACAGAAGAATTCTCAGTAACTTCCTTGTGTTGTGTGTATTCAACTCACAGAGTTGAACGATCCTTTACACAGAGCAGACTTGAAACACTCTTTTTGTGGAATTTGCAAGTGGAGATTTCAGCCGCGTTGAGGTCAATAGTAGAAAAGGAAATATCTTCGTAGAAAAACTAGACAGAATGATTCTCAGAAACTGCTCTGCGATGTGTGCGTTCAACTCTCAGAGTTTAACTTTTCTTTTCATTCAGCAGTTTGGAAACACTCTGTTTGTAAAGTCTGCACGTGGATATTTTGACCACTTAGAGGCCTTCGTTGGAAACGGGTTTTTTTTCCTGTAAGGCTAGACAGAAGAATTCCCAGTAACTTGCTTGTGTTGTGTACATTCAACTCACAGAGTTGAACGTTCCCTTAGACAGAGCAGATTTGAAACACTCTTTTTGTGCAATTGGCAAGTGGAGATTTCAAGCGCTTTAAGGTCAATGGCAGAAAAGGAAATATGTTCGTTTCAAAACTAGACAGAATCATTCCCACAAACTGCGTTGTGATGTGTTCGTTCACCTCACAGAGTTTAACCTTTCTGTTCATAGAGCAGTTAGGAAACACTCTGTTTGTAAAGTCTGCAAGTGGATATTCAGACCTCTTTGAGGCCTTCGTTGGAAACGGGATTTCTTCATATTCTGCTAGACAGAAGAATTCTCAGTAACTTCCTTGTGTTGTGTGTATTCAACTCACAGAGTTGAACGATCCTTTACACAGAGCAGACTTGAAACACTCTTTTTGTGGAATTTGCAATTGGAGATTTCAGCCGCTTTGAGGTCAATAGTAGAAAAGGAAATATCGTCGTAGAAAAACTAGACAGAATGATTCTCAGAAACTCCTTTGTGATGTGTGTGTTCAACTCACAGAGTTTAACCTTTCTTTTCATAGAGCAGTTAGGAATCACTCTGTTTGTAAAGTCTGCAAGTGGATATTCAGACCTGTTTGAGGCCTTCGTTGGAAACGGGTTTTTTTCATATAAGGCTAGACAGAAGAATTCTCAGTAACTTCCTTGTGTTGTGTGTATTCAACTGACAGAATTGAACTTTCATTTAGAGAGAGCAGATTTGAAACACTGTTTTTGTGGAATTTGCAAGTGGAGATTTCAAGCGCTTTGGGGCCAAAGGCAGAAAAGGAAATATCTTCGTATAAAAAGTAGACAGAATGATTCTCAGAAACTCCTTTGTGATGTGTACGTTCAACACACAGAGTATAACTTTTCTTTTCATAGAGCAGTTAGGAAACACTCTGTTTGTAAAGTCTGCAAGTGGATATTCAGACCTCCTTTGAGGCCTTCGTTGGAAACGGGATTTCTTCATATTATGCTAGACAGAAGAATTCCCAGTAACTTCCTTGTGTTGTGTACATTCAACTCACAGAGTTGAACGTTCCCTTAGACAGAGCAGATTTGAAACACTCTTTTTGTGCAATTGGCAAGTGGAGATTTCAAGCGCTTTAAGGTCAATGGCAGAAAAGGAAATATCTTCGTTTCAAAACTAGACAGAATGATTCTCAGAAACTCCTTTGTGATGTGTGCCGTTCAACTCAGAGAGTTTAACCTTTCTTTTCATAGAGCAGTTAGGAAACACGCTGTTTATAAAGTCTGCAAGTGGATATTCAGACCCCTTTGAGGCCTTCGTTGGAAACGGGATTTCTTCATATTATGCTAGACAGAAGAATTCTCAGTAACTTCCTTGTGTTGTGTGTATTCAACTCACAGAGTTGAACGATCCTTTACACAGGAGCAGACTTGAAACACTCTTTTTGTGGAATTTGCAAGTGGAGATTTCAGCCGCTTTGAGGTCAATGGTAGAATAGGAAATATCTTCCTATAGAAAATAGACAGAATGATTCTCAGAAACTCCTTTGTGATGTGTGCGTTCAACTCACAGAGTTTAACCTTTCTTTTCATAGAGCAGTTAGGAAACACTCTGTTTGTAAAGTCTGCAAGTGGATGTTCAGACCTCTTTGAGGCCTTCGTTGGAAACGGGTTTTTTTCATATAAGGCTAGACAGAAGAATTCCCACTAACATCCTTGTGTTGTGTGTGTTCAACTCACAGAGTTGAACTTTCATTTACACAGAGCAGATTTGAAAGACTCTTTTTGTGGAATTTGCAAATGGAGATTTCAAGCGCTTTGAGGCCAAAGACAGAAAAGGAAATATCTTCGTTTCAAAACTAGACAGAATCATTCTCAGAAACTGCTGCGTGATGTGTGCGTTCAACTCTCAGAGTTTAACTTTTCTTTTCATTCAGCGGTTTGGAAACACTCTGTTTGTAAAAACTGCACGTGGATATTTTGACCACTTAGAGGCCTTCGTTGGAAACGGGTTTTTTTTCATGTAAGGCTAGACAGAAGAATTCCCAGTAACTTCCTTGTGTTGTGTGCATTCAACTCACAGAGTTGAACGTTCCCTTAGACAGAGCAGATTTGAAACACTCTATTTGCGCAATTTGCAAGTGTAGATTTCAAGCGCTTTCAGGTCAATGGCAGAAAAGGAAATATCTTCGTTTCAAAACTAGACAGAATGATTCTCAGAAACTCCTTTGTGATGTGTGTGTTCAACTCACAGAGTTTAACCTTTCTTTTCATAGAGCAGTTAGGAAACACTCTGTTTGTAAAGTCTGCAAGTGGATATTCAGACCTCGTTGAGGCCTTCGTTGGAAACTGGATTTCTTCATATTCTGCTAGACAGAAGAATTCTCACAATCTTCCTTGTGTTGTGTGTATTCAACTCACAGAGTTGAACGATGGTTTACACAGAGCAGATTTGAAACACTCTTTTTGTGGAATTTGCAAGTGGAGATTTCAGCCGCTTTGAGGTCAATGGTAGAAAAGGAAATATCTTCATATAAAAACTAGACAGAATGATTCTCATAAACTCCTTTGTGATGTGTGCGTTCAACTCACAGAGTTTAACTTTTCTTTTCATAGAGCAGTTAGGAAACACTCTGTTTGTAAAGTCTGCAAGTGGATATTCAGACCTCTTTGAGGCCTTCGTTGGAAACGGGATTTCTTCATATTATGCTACACAGAAGAATTTTCAGTAACTTCCTTGTGTTGTGTGTATTCAACTCACAGAGTTGAACTTTCATTTAGAGAGAGCAGATTTGAAACACTGTTTTTGTGGAATTTGCAAGTGGAGATTTCAAGCGCTTTGGGGCCAAAGGCAGAAAAGGAAATATCTTCGTATAAAAACTAGACAGAATCATTCTCAGAAACTGCTGCGTGATGTGTGCGTTCAACTCTCAGAGTTTAACTTTTCTTTTCATTCAGCGGTTTGGAAACACTCTGTAAAGTCTGCACGTGGATATTTTGACCACTTAGAGGCCTTCGTTGGAAACGGTTTTTTTTTATGTAAGGCTAGACAGAAGAATTCCCAGTAACTTCCTTGTGTTGTGTGCATTCAACTCACAGAGTTGAACGTTCCCTTAGACAGAGCAGATTTGAAACACTCTATTTGTGCAATTTGCAAGTGTAGTTTTCAAGCTCTTTAAGGTCAACGGCAGAAAAGGAAATATCTTCGTTTCAAAACTAGACAGAATCATTCCCACAAACTGCGTTGTGATGTGTTCGTTCAACTCACAGAGTTTAACCTTTCTGTTCATAGAGCAGTTAGGAAACACTCTGTTTGTAAAGTCTGTAAGTGGATATTCTGACATCTTGTGGCCTTCGTGGGAATCGGGATTTCTTCATATTCTGTTAGACAGAAGAATTCTCAGAATCTTCCTTGTGTTGTGTGTATTCAACTCACAGAGTTGAACGATGGTTTACACGAGCAGATTTGAAACACTCTTTTTGTGGAATTTGCAAGTGGAGATTTCAGCCGCTTTGAGGTCAATGGTAGAAAAGGAAATATCTTCGTATAAAAACTAGACAGAATGATTCTCAGAAACTTCATTGTGATGTGTGCGTTCAACTCACAGAGTTTAACCTTTCTTTTCATAGAGCGGTTAGGAAACACTCTGTTTGTAAACTCTGCAAGTGGATATTCAGACCTCTTTGAGGCCTTCGTTGGAAACGGGATTTCTTCATACTGTGCTAGACAGAAGAATTCTCAGTAACTTCCTTGTGTTGTGTGTATTCAACTGACAGAGTTGAACTTTCATTTAGAGAGAGCAGATTTGAAACACTGTTTTTGTGGAATTTGCAAATGGAGATTTCAAGCGCTTTGGGGCCAAAGGCAGAAAAGAAATATCTTCGTATAAAAACTAGACAGAATCATTCTCAGAAACTGCTCTACGATGTGTGCGTTCAACTCTCAGAGTTTAACTTTTCTTTTCATTCAGCAGTTTGGAAACACTCTGTTTGTAAAGTCTGCACGTGGATAATTTGACCACTTAGAGGCCTTCGTTGGAAACGGGTTTTTTTCATGTAAGGCTAGACAGAAGAATTCTCAGTAACTTCCTTGTGTTGTGTGTATTCAACTCACACAGTTGAACGATCCTTTACACAGAGCAGACTTGTAACACTCTTTTTGTGGAATTTGCAAGTGGAGATTTCAGCCGCTTTGAAGTCAAAGGTAGAAAAGGAAATATCTTCCTATTAAAACTAGACAGAATGATTCTCAGAAACTCCTTTGTGATGTGTGCGTTCAACTCACAGAGTTTAACCTTTCTTTTCATAGAGCAGTTAGGAAACACTCTGTTTGTAAAGTCTGCAAGTGGATATTCAGACATCCTTGAGGCCTTCGCTGGAAAAGGGATTTCTTCATATTATGCTGGACAGAAGAATTCTCAGTAACTTCCTTGTGTTGTGTTTATTCAACTCACAGAGTTGAATGATCCTTTACAAAGAGCAGACTTGAAACACTCTTTTTGTGGAATTTGCAAGTGGAGATTTCAGCCGCTTTGAGGTCAACGGTAGAAAAGTAAATATCTTCGTATAAAGACTAGACAGAATGATTCTCAGAAACTTCATTGTGATGTGTGCAGTTCAACTCACAGAGTTTAACCTTTCTTTTCATAGAGCAGTTAGGAAACACTCTGTTTGTGAACTCTGCAAGTGGATATTCAGACGTCTTTGAGGCCTTCGTTGGAAATGGGATTTCTTCATACTGTGCTAGACAGAAGAATTCTCAGTAACTTCCTTGTGTTGTGTGTATTCAACTGACAGAGTTGAACTTTCATTTGGAGAGAGCAGATTTGAAACACTGTTTTTGTGGAATTTGCAAGTGGAGATTTCAAGCGCTTTGCGGCCAAAGGCTGAAAAGGAAATATCCTCGTATAAAAACAAGACAGAATCATTCTCAGAAACTGCTCTGCGATGTGTGCGTTCAACTCTCAGAGTTTAACTTTTCTTTTCATTCAGCAGTTTGGAAACACTCTGTTTGTAAAGTCTGCACGTGGATATTTTGACCACTTAGAGGCCTTCGTTGGAGACGGGTTTTTTTCCTGTAAGGCTAGACAGAAGAATTCCCAGTAACTTCCTTGTGTTGTGTACATTCAACTCACAGAGTTGAACGTTCCCTTAGACAGAGCAGATTTGAAACACACTTTTTGTGCAATTGGCAAGTGGAGATTTCAAGCGCTTTAAGGTCAATGGCAGAAAAGCAAATATCTTCGTTTCAAAACTAGACAGAATCATTCCCACAAACTGCGTTGTGATGTGTTCGTTCAACTCACAGAGTTTAACCTTTCTGTTCATAGAGCAGTTAGGAAACACTCTGTTTGTAAAGTCTGCAAGTGGATATTCTGACATCTTGTGGCCTTCGTTGGAAACGGGATTTCTTCATATTCTGCTAGACAGAAGAATTCTCAGTAACTTCCTTGTGTTGTGTGTATTCAACTCACAGAGTTGAACGATCCTTTACACAGAGCAGACTTGTAACACTCTTTTTGTAGAATTTGGAAGTGGAGATTTCAGCCGCTTTGAAGTCAAAGGTAGAAAAGGAAATATCTTCCTATAAAAACTAGACAGAATGATTCTCAGAAATTCCTTTCTGATGTGTGCGTTCAACTCACAGAGTTCAACCTTTCTTTTCATAGAGCAGTTGGGAAACACTCTGTTTGTAAAGTCTGCAAGTGGATATTCAGACTTCTTTGAGGCCTTCGTTGGAAGCGGGATTTCTTCATGTTCTGCTTGACAGAAGAATTCCCAGTAACTTCCTTGTGTTGTGTGTGTTCAACTCACAGAGTTGAACTTTCATTTACACAGAGCAGATTTGAAACACTCTTTTTGTGGAATTTGCAGGTGGAGATTTCAAGCGCTTTGAGGCCAAAGGCAGAAAAGGAAATATCTTCCTATAAAAACTAGACAGAATGATTCTCAGAAACTCCTTTGTGATGTGGGCGTTCAACTCACAGAGTTTAACCTTTCTTTTCATAGAGCAGTTAGGAAACACTCTGTTTGTAACGTCTGCACGTGGATATTTGGACTTCTTTGAGGTCTTCGTTGGAAACGGGTTTTTTTCATGTAAGGCTAGACAGAAGAATTCCCAGTAACTTCCTTGTGTTGTGTGCATTCAACTCACAGAATTGAACGTTCCCTTAGACAGAGCAGATTTTAAACACTCTATTTGTGCAATTTGCAAGTGTAGATTTCAAGCGCTTTAAGGTCAACGGCAGAAAAGAAAATATCTTCGTTTCAAAACTAGACAGAATCATTCCCACAAACTGCGTTGTGATGTGCTCGTTCAACTCACAGAGTTTAACCTTTCTTTTCATAGAGCAGTTAGGAAACACTCTGTTTGTAAAGTCTGTAAGTGGATATTCTGACATCTTGTGGCCTTCGTTGGAAACGGGATTTCTTCATATTATGCTAGACAGAAGAATTCTCAGAATCTTCCTTGTGTTGTGTGTATTCAACTCACACAGTTGAACGATTGTTTACACAGAGCAGATTTGAAACACTCTTTCTGTGGAATTTGCAAGTGGAGATTTCAGCCGCTTTGAGGTCCATGGTAGAAAAGGAAATATCTTCGTATAACAACTAGACAGAATGATTCTGAGAAACTCCTTTGTCATGTGTGCGTTCAACTCACATAGTTTAACCTTTCTTTTCATAGAGCAGTTAGGAAACACTCTGTTTGTAAAGTCTGCAAGTGGATATTCAGACCTCCTTGAGGCATTCGTTGGAAACGGGATTTCTTCATATTATGCTAGACAGAAGAATTCCCAGTAACTTCCTTGTGTTGTGTGTGTTCAACTCACAGAGTTGAACTTTCATGTACACAGAGCAGATTTGAAACACTCTTTTCGTGGAATTTGCAAATGGAGATTTCAAGCGCTTTGAGGCCAAAGGCAGAAAAGGAAATATCTTCGTATAAAAACTAGACAGAATCATTCTCAGAAACTGCTGCGTGATGTGTGCGTTCAACTCTCAGAGTTTAACTTTTCTTTTCATTCAGCGGTTTGGAAACACTCTGTTTGTAAAGTCTGCACGTGGATATTTTGACCACTTAGAGGCCTTCATTGGAAACGGGTTTTTTTCATGTAAGGCTAGACAGAAGAATTCCCAGTAACTTCCTTGTGTTGTGTGCATTCAACTCACAGAGTTGAACGTTCCCTTAGACAGAGCAGATTTGAAACACTCTATTTGTGCAATTTGCAAGTGTAGATTTCAAGCGCTTTAAGGTCAATGGCAGAAAAGGAAATATCTTCGTTTCAAAACTACACAGAACGATTGTCAGAAACTCCTTTATGATGTGTGCGTTCAACTCACAGAGTTTAACCTTTCTTTTCATAGAGCAGTTAGGAAACACTCTGTTTGTAAATTCTGCAAGTGGATAATGAGACCTCTTTGAGGCCTTCGTTGGAAACGGGATTTCTTCATATTCTGCTAGACAGAAGAATTCTCAGTAACTTCCTCGTGTTGTGTGTATTCAACTCACAGAGTTGAACGATCCTTTACACAGAGCAGACTTGAAACACTCTTTTTGTGGAATTTGCATATGGAGATTTCAGCCGCTTTGAGGTCAATGGTTGAAAAGGAAATATCTTCATATAAAAATTAGACAGAATGATTCTCAGAAACTCCTTTGTGATGTGTGCGTTCAACTCACAGAGTTTAACCTTTCTTTTCATAGAGCAGTTAGGAAACACTCTGTTTGTAAAGGCTGCACGTGGATATTTGGACTTCTTTGAGGCCTTCATTGGAAACGGGTTTTTTTCATGTAAGGCTAGACAGAAGAATTCTCAGTAACTTCCTTGTGTTGTGTGTATTCAACTGACAGAGTTGAACTTTCATTTATAGAGAGCAGATTTGAAACACTGTTTTTGTGGAATTTGCAAGTGGAGATTTCAAGCGCTGTGGGGCCAAAGGCAGAAAAGGAAATATCTTCGTATAAAAACAAGACAGAATCATTCTCAGAAACTGCTCTGTGATGTGTGCGTTCAACTCTCAGAGTTTAACTTTTCTTTTCATTCAGCAGTTTGGAAACACTCTGTTTGTAAAGTCTGCACGTGGATATTTTGAACACTTCGAGGCCTTCGTTGGAAACGGGTTTTTTTCATGTAAGGCTAGACAGAAGAATTCCCAGTAACTTCCTTGTGTTGTGTGCATTCAACTCACAGAGTTGAACGTTCCCTTAGACAGAGCAGATTTGAAACACTCTATTTGTCCAATTTGCAAGTGTAGATTTCAAGCGCTTTAAGGTCAACGGCAGAAAAGGAAATATCTTCGTTTCAAAACTAGACAGAATGATTCTCAGAAACTCCTTTGTGATGTGTGCATTCAACTCACAGAGTTTAACCTTTCTTTTCATAGAGCAGTTAGGAAACACTCTGTTTGTAAAGTCTGCAAGTGGATATTCAGACCTCCTTGAGGCCTACGTTGGAAACGGGATTTCTTCATATTATGCTAGACAGAAGAATTCTCAGTAACTTCCTTGTGTTGTGTGTATTCAACTCACAGAGTTGAACGATCCTTTACACAGAGCAGACTTGAAACACTCTTTTTGTGGAATTTGCAAGTGGAGATTTCAGCCGATTTGAGGTCAATGGTAGAATAGGAAATATCTTCCTTTAGAAACTAGACAGAATGATTCTCAGAATCTTCTTTGTGATGTGTGCGTTCAACTCACAGAGTTTAACCTTTCTTTTCATAGAGCAGGTAGGAAACACTCTGTTTGTAAACTCTGCAAGTGGATATTCAGACCTCATTGAGGCCTTCGTTGGAAACGGGATTTCTTCATACTATGCTAGACAGAAGAATTCCCAGTAACTTCCTTGTGTTGTGTGTGTTCAACTCACAGAGTTGAGCTTTCATTTACACAGAGCAGATTTGAAACACTCTTTTTGTGGAATTTGCAAGTGGAGATTTCAAGCGCTTTGAGGCCAAAGGCAGAAAAGGAAATATCTTCGTATAAAAACTAGACAGAATCATTCTCAGAAACTGCTGCGTGATGTGTGCGTTCAACTCTCAGAGTTTAACTTTTGTTTTCATTCAGCGGTTTGGAAACACTCTGTTTGTAAAGTCTGCACGTGGATATTTTGACCACTTAGAGGCCTTCGTTGGAAACGGGTTTTTTTTCATGTAAGGCTACACAGAAGAATTCCCATTAACTTCCTTGTGTTGTGTGCATTCAACTCACAGAGTTGAACGTTCCCTTAGACAGAGCAGATTTGAAACACTCTATTTGTGCAATTTGCAAGTGTAGATTTCAAGCGCTTTAAGGTCAACGGCAGAAAAGGAAATATCTTCGTTTCAAAACTAGACAGAATGATTATCATAAACTCCTTTGTGATGTGTGCCTTCAACTCACAGAGTTTAACCTTTCTTTTCATAGAGCAGTTAGGAAACACTCTGTTTGTAAAGTCTGCAAGTGGATATTCAGACCTCCTTGAGGCCTTCGTTGGAAACGGGATTTCTTCATATTCTGCTAGACAGAAGAATTCTCAGTAACTTCCTTGTGTTGTGTGTATTCAACTCACAGAGTTGAACGATCCTTTACACAGAGCAGACTTGAAACACTCTTTTTGTGGAATTTGCAAGTGGAGATTTCAGCCGCTTTGAGGTCAATGGTAGAAAAGGAAACTATCTTCGTATAAAGACTAGACAGAACGATTCTCAGAAACTCCTTTGTGATGTGTGCGTTCAACTCACAGAGTTTAACCTTTCTTTTCATAGAGCAGTTAGGAAACACTCTGTTTGTAAAGTCTGCAAGTGGATATTCAGACCTCCTTGAGGCCTTCGTTGGAAACGGGATTTCTTCATATTCTGCTAGACAGAAGAATTCTCAGTAACTTCCTTGTGTTGTGTGTATGCAACTCACAGAGTTGAACGATCCTTTACACAGAGCAGACTTGAAACACTCTTTTTGTGGAATTTGCAAGTGGAGATTTCAGCCGCTTTGAGGTCAATAGTAGAAAAGGAAATATCTTCGTAGAAAAACTACACAGAATCATTCTCAGAAACTGCTGTGTGATGTGTGCGTTCAACTCTCAGAGTTTAACTTTTCTTTTCATTCAGCGGTTTGGAAACACTCTGTTTGTAAAGTCTGCACGTGGATATTTTGACCACTTAGAGGCCTTCGTTGGAAACGGGTTTTTTTCATGTAAGGCTAGACAGAAGAATTCTCAGTAACTTCCTTGTGTTGTGTGTATTCAACTCACAGAGTTGAACGATCCTTTACACAGAGCAGACTTGAAACACTCTTTTTGTGGAATTTGCAAGTGGAGATTTCAGCCGCTTTGAGGTCAATGGTAGAAAAGAAAATATCTTCGTAGAAAAACTAGACAGAATGATTCTCAGAAACTCCTTTGTGATGTGTGTGTTCAACTCACAGAGTTTAACCTTTCTTTTCATACAGCAGTTAGTAAACACTCTGTTTATAAAGTCTGCATGTGGATATTCAGAACCCTTTGAGGCCTTCGTTGGAAACGGGATTTCTTCATATTATGCTAGACAGAAGAATTCTCAGTAACTTCCTTGTGTTGTGTGTATTCAACTCACAGAAGTTGAACGATCCTTTACACAGAGCAGACTTGAAACATTCTTTTTGTGGAATTTGCAAGTGGAGATTTCAGCCGCTTAGAGGTCAATGGTAGAATAGGAAATATCTTCCTATAGAAACTAGACAGAATGATTCTCAGAAACTCCTTTGTGATGTGTGCGTTCAACTCACAGAGTTTAACCTTTCTGTTCATAGAGCAGTTAGGAAACACTCTGTTTGTAAAGTCTGCAAGTGGATATTCAGACCTCCTTGAGGCCTTCTTTGGAAACGGGATTTCTTCATATTCTGCTAGACAGAAGAATTCCCAGTAACTTCCTTGTGTTGTGTGTGTTCAACTCACAGAGTTGAACTTTCATTTACACAGAGCAGATTTGAAACACTCTTTTTGTGGAATTTGAAAGTGGAGATTTCAAGCGCTTTGAGGCCAAAGGCAGAAAAGGAAATATCTTCGTATAAAAACTAGACAGAATGATTCTCAGAAACTGCTCTGCGATGTGTGCGTTCAACTCTCAGAGTTTAACTTTTCTTTTCATTCAGCAGTTTGGAAACACTCTGTTTGTAAAGTCTGCACGTGGATATTTTGACCACTTAGAGGCCTTCGTTGGAAACGGGTTTTTTTCCTTTAAGGCTAGACAGAAGAATTCCCAGTAACTTCCTTGTGTTGTGTACATTCAACTCACAGAGTTGAACGTTCCCTCAGACAGAGCAGATTTGAAACACTCTTTTTGTGCAATTGGCAAGTGGTGATTTCAGCCGCTTTGAGGTCAATGGTAGAAAAGGAAATATCTTCGTATAAAAACTAGACAGAATGATTCTAAGAAAATATTTTGTGATGTGTGCGTTCAACTCACAGAGTTTAACTTTTCTTCTCATAGAGCAGTTAGGAAACACTCTGTTTGTAAAGTGTGCAAGTGGATATTCAGACCTCTTTGAGGCCTTCGTTGGAAAAGGGATTTCTTCATATTATGCTAGACAGAATAATTCTCAGTAACTTGCCTTGTGTTGTGTGTATTCAACTCACAGAGTTGAAAGACCCTTTACAGAGAGCAGGCTTGAAACACTCTTTTTGTCGAATTTGCAAGTGGAGATTTCAGCCGCTTTGAGGTCAATGGTAGAATAGGAAATATCTTCTTATAGAAACTAGACAGAATCATTCTCAGAAACTCCTTTGTGATGTGTGTGTTCAACTCACAGAGTTTAACCTTTCTTTTCATAGAGCAGTTAGTAAACACTCTGTTTATAAAGTCTGCAAGTGGATATTCAGACCCCTTTGAGGCCTTCGTTGGAAACGGGGATTTCTTCATATTATGCTAGACAGAAGAATTCTCAGTAACTTCCTTGTGTTGTGTGTATTCAACTGACAGAGTTGAACTTTCATTTAGAGAGAGCAGATTTGAAACACTGTTTTTGTGGAATTTGCAAGAGGAGATTTCAAGCGCTTTGGGGCCAAAGGCAGAAAAGGAAATATCTTCGTATAAAAACTAGACAGAATCATTCTCAGAAACTGCTGCGTGATGTGTGCGTTCAACTCTCAGAGTTTAACTTTTCTTTTCATTCAGCGGTTTGGAAACACTCTGTTTGTAAAGACTGCACGTGGATATTTTGACCACTTAGAGGCCTTCGTTGGAAAGGGGTTTTTTTTCATGTAAGGCTAGACAGAAGAATTCCCAGTAACTTCCTTGTGTTGTGTGCATTCAACTCACAGAGTTGAACGTTCCCTTAGACAGAGCAGATTTGAAACACTCTATTTGTGCAATTTGCAAGTGTAGATTTCAAGCGCTTTAAGGTCAATGGCAGAAAAGGAAATATCTTCGTTTGAAAACTAGACAGAATGATTCTCAGAAACTCCTTTGTGATGTGTGCGCTCAACTCACAGAGTTTAACCTTTCTTTTCATAGAGCAGTTAGGAAACACTCTGTTTGTAAAGTCTGTAAGTGGATATTCTGACATCTTGTGGCCTTCGTTGGAAACGGGATTTCTTCATATTCTGCTAGACAGAAGAATTCTCAGTAACTTCCTTGTGTTGTGTGTATTGAACTCACAGAGTTGAACGATCCTTTACACAGAGCAGACTTGAAACACTCTTTTTGTGGAATTTGCAAGTGGAGATTTCAGCCGCTTTGAGGTCAACAGTAGAAAAGGAAATATCTTCGTAGAAAAACTAGACAGATTGATTCTCATAAACTCCTTTGTGATGTGTGCGTTCAACTCACAGAGTTTAACCTTTCTTTTCATAGAGCAGTTAGGAAACACTCTGTTTGTAAAGTCTGCAAGTGGATATTCAGACCTCTTTGAGGCCTTCGTTGGAAACGGGATTTCTTCATATTCTGCTAGACAGAAGAATTCCCAGTAACTTCCTTGTGTTGTGTGTGTTCAACTCACAGAGTTGAACTTTCATTTACACAGAGCAGATTTGAAACACTCTTTTTGTGGAATTTGCAAATGGAGATTTCAAGCACTTTGAGGCCAAAGGCAGAAAAGGAAATGTCTTCGTTTCAAAACTAGACAGAATCATTCTCAGAAACTGCTGCGTGATGTGTGCGTTCAACTCTCAGAGTTTAACTTTTCTTTTCATTCAGCGGTTTGGAAACACTCTGTTTGTAAAGTCTGCACGTGGATATTTTGACCACTTAGAGGTCTTCGTTGGAAACGGGTTTTTTTTAATGTAAGGCTAGACAGAAGAATTCCCAGTAACTTCCTTGTGTTGTGTGTATTCAACTCACAGAGTTGAACGTTCCCTTAGACAGAGCAGATTTGAAACACTCTATTTGTGCAATTTGCAAGTGTAGATTTCAAGCGCTTTAAGGTCAATGGCAGAAAAGGAAATATCTTCGTTTGAAAACTAGACAGAATCATTCCCACAAACTGCGTTGTGATGTGTTCGTTCAACTCACAGAGTTTAACCTTTCTTTTCATAGAGCAGTTAGGAAACAGTCTGTTTGTCAATTCTGTAAGTGGATATTCTGACATCTTGTGGCCTTAGTTGGAAACGGGATTTCTTCATATTCTGCTAGACAGAAGTATTCTCTTTAACTTCCTTGTGTTGTGTGTATTCAACTCACAGAGTTGAACGATCCTTTACACAGAGCAGACTTGAAACACTCTTTTTGTGGAATTTGCAAGTGGAGATTTCAGCCGCTTTGAGGTCAATGTTAGAATAGGAAATATCTTCCTATAGAAACTAGACAGAATGATTCTCAGAAACTCCTTTGTGATGTGTGCGTTCAACTCACAGAGTTTAACCTTTCTTTTCATAGAGCAGTTAGGAAACACTCTGTTTGTAAAGTCTGCAAGTGGATATTCAGACCTCTTTGAGGCCTTCGCTGGAAACGGGTTTTTTTCATATAAGGCTAGACAGAAGAATTCCCAGTAACTTCCTTGTGTTGTGTGTGTTCAACTCACAGAGTTGAACTTTCATTTACACAGAGCAGATTTGAAACACTCTTTTTGTGGAATTTGCAGGTGGAGATTTCAAGCGCTTTGAGGCCAAAGGCAGAAAAGGAAATATCTTCGTTTCAAAACTAGACAGAATCATTCTCAGAAACTGCTGCGTGATGTGTGCGTTCAACTGTCAGAGTTTAACTTTTCTTTTCATTCAGCGGTTTGGAAACACTCTGCAAAGTCTGCACGTGGATATTTTGACCACTTAGAGGCCTTCGTTGGAAACGGGTTTTTTTTATGTAAGGCTAGACCGAAGAATTCCCCGTAACTTCCTTGTGTTGTGTGCATTCAACTCACAGAGTTGAACGTTCCCTTAGACAGAGCAGATTTGAAACACTCTATTTGTGCAATTTGCAAGTGTAGTTTTCAAGCTCTTTAAGGTCAACGGCAGAAAAGGAAATATCTTCGTTTCAAAACTAGACAGAATCATTCCCACAAACTGCGTTGTGATGTGTTCGTTCAACTCACAGAGTTTAACCTTTCTTTTCATAGAGCAGTTAGGAAACAGTCTGTTTGTCAATTCTGTAAGTGGATATTCTGACATCTTGTGGCCTTAGTTGGAAACGGGATTTCTTCATATTCTGCTAGACAGAAGAATTCCCAGTAATTTCCTTGTGTTGTGTGGATTCAACTCACAGAGTTGAACGATACTTTAAACAGAGCAGATTAGAAACACTCTTTTTGTGGAATTTGCAAGTGGAGATTTCAGCCGCTTTGAGGTCAATGGTAGAAAAGGGAATATCTTCGTATAAAAACTAGACAGAATGATTCTCAGAAACTCCTTTGTAATGTGTGTGTTCAACTCACAGAGTTTAACCTTTCTGTTCATAGAGCAGTTAGGAAACACTCTGTTTGTAAAGTCTGCAAGTGGATATTCAGACCTCTTTGAGGCCTTCGTTGGAAACGGGATTTCTTCATATTCTGCTAGACAGAAGAATTCTCAGAAACTTCCTTGTGTTGTGTGTTTTCAACTCACAGAGTTGAACGATGCTTTACACAGAGTAGACTTGAAACACTCTTTTTGTGTAATTTGCAAGTGGAGATTTCAGCCGCTTTGAGGTCAATGGTAGAAAAGGAAATATCTTCGTATAAAAACTAGACAGAATGATTCTCAGAAACTCCTTTGTGATGTGTGCGTTCAACTCACAGAGTTTATCCTTTCTTTTCATAGAGCAGTTAGGAAACACTCTGTTTGTAAAGTCTGCAAGAGAATATTCAGACATCTTTGAGACTTTCGTTGGAAACGGGATTTCATCATATTCTGCTAGACAGAAGAATTCTCAGTAACTTCCTTGTGTTGTGTGTATTCAACTGACAGAGTTGAACTTTCATTTAGAGAGAGCAGATTTGAAACACTGTTTTTGTGGAATTTGCAAGTGGAGATTTCAAACGCTTTGGGGCCAAAGGCAGAAAAGGAAATATCTTCGTATAAAAACTAGACAGACTCATTCTCAGAAACTGCTCTGCGATGTGTGCGTTCAACTCTCAGAGTTTAACTTTTCTTTTCATTCAGCAGTTTGGAAACACTCTGTTTGTAAAATCTGCACGTGGATATTTTGACCACTTAGAGGCCTTCGTTGGAAACGGGTTTCTTTCCTGTAAGGCTAGACAGAAGAATTCCCAGTAACTTCCTTGTGTTGTGTACATTCAACTCACAGAGTTGAACGTTCCCTTAGACAGAGCAGATTTGAAACACTCTTTTTGTGCAATTGGCAAGTGGAGATTTCAAGCGCTTTAAGGTCAATGGCAGAAAAGGAAATATCTTCGTTTCAAAACTAGACAGAATCATTCCCAAAAACTGCGTTGTGATGTGTTCGTTCATCTCACAGAGTTTAACCTTTCTTTTCATAGAGCAGTTAGGAAACAGTCTGTTTGTAAATTCTGTAAGTGGATATTCTGACATCTTGTGGCCTTCGTTGGAAACGGGATTTCTTCATATTCTGCTAGACAGAAGAATTCTCAGTAACTGCCTTGTGTTGTGTGTATTCAACTCACAGAGTTGAACGATCCTTTACACAGAACAGACTTGAAACACTCTTTTTGTGGAATTTGCAAGTGGAGATTTCAGCCGCTTTGAGGTCAATGGTAGAATAGGAAATATCTTCCTGTAGAAACTAGACAGAATGATTCTCAGAAACTCCTTTGTGATGTGTGCGTTGAACTCACAGAGTTTAACCTTTCTTTTCATAGAGCAGTTAGGAAACACTCTGTTTGTAAAGTCTGCAAGTGGATATTCAGACCTCCTTGAGACCTTCGTTGGAAACGGGATTTCTTCATATTATGCTAGACAGAAGAATTCTCAGTAACTTCCTTGTGTTGTGTGTATTCAACTGACAGAGTTGAACTTTCATTTAGAGAGAGCAGATTTGAAACACTCTTTTTGTGGAATTTGCAAGTGGAGATTTCAAGCGCTTTGTGGCCAAAGGCAGAAAACGAAATATCTTCGTATAAAAACTAGACAGAATCATTCTCAGAAACTGCTGAGTGATGTGTGCGTTCAACTCTCAGAGTTTAACTTTTCTTTTCATTCAGCGGTTTGGAAACACTCTGTTTGTAAAGTCTGCACGTGGACATTTTGACCACTTAGAGGCCTTCGTTGGAAACGGGTTTTTTTCATGTAAGGCTAGACAGAAGAATTCCCAGTAACTTCCTTGTGTTGTGTGCATTCAACTCACAGAGTTGGACGTTCCCTTAGAAAGAGCAGATTTGAAACACTCTATTTGTGCAATTTGCAAGTGTAGATTTCAAGCTCTTTAAGGTCAATGGCAGAAAAGGAAATATCTTCGTTTCAAAACTAGACAGAATCATTCCCACAAACTGCGTTGTGAGGTGTTCGTTCAACTAACAGAGTTTAACCTTTCTGTTCATAAAGCAGTTAGGAAATACTCTGTTTGTAAAGTCTGAAAGTGGATATTCTGACATCTTGTGGCCTTCGTTGGAAACGGGATTTCTTCATATTCTGCTAGACAGAAGAATTCT
Organism: Homo sapiens; assembly: GCF_000001405.40. Classification (NCBI taxonomy): domain Eukaryota; kingdom Metazoa; phylum Chordata; class Mammalia; order Primates; family Hominidae; genus Homo; species Homo sapiens. The sequence continues at coordinate 26,392,905 of NC_000019.10, forward strand.
CAGAAACTTCCTTGTGTTGTGTGTATTCAACTCACACAGTTGAACGATGGTTTACACAGAGCAGATTTGAAACACTCTTTTTGTGGAATTTGCAAGTGGAGATTTCAGCCGCTTTGAGGTCAATGGTAGAAAAGGAAATATCTTCGTATAAAAACTAGACAGAATGATTCTCAGAAACTCCTTTGTGATGTGTGCGTTCAACTCACAGAGTTTAACCTTTCTGTTCATAGAGCCGTTAGGAAACACTCTGTTTGTAAAGTCTGCAAGTGGATATTCAGACCTCTTTGAGGCCTTCGTTGGAAACGGGATTTCTTCATATTCTGCTAGACAGAAGAATTCCCAGTAACTTCCTTGTGTTGTGTGTGTTCAACTCACAGAGTTGAACTTTCATTTACACAGAGCAGATTTGAAACACTCTTTTTGTGGAATTTGCAAGTGGAGATTTCAAGCGCTTTGAGGCCAAAGCAGAAAAGGAAATATCTTCGTATAAAAACTAGACAGAATCATTCTTAGAAACTGCTCTGCGATGTGTGCGTTCAACTCTCAGAGTTTAACTTTTCTTTTCATTCAGCAGTTTGGAAACACTCTGTTTGTAAAGTCTGCACGTGGATAACTTGACCACTTAGAGGCCTTCGTTGGAAACGGGTTTTTTTCATGTAAGGCTAGACAGAATTCCCAGTAACTTCCTTGTGTTGTGTACATTCAACTCACAGAGTTGAACGTTCCCTTAGACAGAGCAGATTTGAAACACTCTTTTTGTGCAATTGGCAAGTGGAGATTTCAAGCGCTTTAAGGTCAATGGCAGAAAAGGAAATATCTTCGTTTCAAAACTAGACAGAATCATTCCCACAAACTGCGTTGTGATGTGTTCGTTCATCTCACAGAGTTTAACCTTTCTTTTCATAGAGCAGTTAGGAAACAGTCTGTTTGTAAATTCTGTAAGTGGATATTCTGACATCTTGTGGCCTTCGTTGGAAACGGGATTTCTTCATATTCTGCTAGACGGAAGAATTCTCAGTAACTTCCTTGTGTTGTGTGTATTCAACTCACAGAGTTGAACGATCCTTTACACAGAGCAGACTTGAAACACTCTTTTTGTGGAATTTGCAAGTGCAGATTTCAGCCGCTTTGAGGTCAATGGTAGAAAAGGAAACTATCTTCATATAAAGACTAGACAGAATGATTCTCAGAAACTCCTTTGTGATGTGTGTGTTCAACTCACAGAGTTTAACCTTTCTTTTCATAGAGCAGTTAGTAAACACTCTGTTTATAAAGTCTGCAAGTGGATATTCAGACCCCTTTGTGGCCTTCGTTGGAAACGGGATTTCTTCATATTATGCTAGACAGAAGAATTCCCAGTAACTTCCTTGTGTTGTGTGTGTTCAACTCACAGAGTTGAACTTTCATTTACACAGAGCAGGTTTGAGACACTCTTTTTGTGGAATTTGCTAATGGAGATTTCAAGCGCTTTGAGGCCAAAGGCAGAAAAGGAAATATCTTCGTATAAAAACTAGACAGAATCATTCTCAGAAACTGCTCTGCGATGTGTGCGTTCAACTCTCAGAGTTTAACTTTTCTTTTCATTCAGCAGTTTGGAAACACTCTGTTTGTAAAGTCTGCACGTAGATAATTTGACCACTTAGAGGCCTTCATTGGAAACGGGTTTTTTTCCTGTAAGGCTAGACAGAAGAATTCCCAGTAACTTCCTTGTGTTGTGTACATTCAACTCACAGAGTTGAACGTTCCCTTAGACAGAGCAGATTTGAAACACTCTTTTTGTGCAATTGGCAAGTGGAGATTTCAAGCGCTTTGAGGTCAATGGCAGAAAAGGAAATATCTTCGTTTCAAAACTAGACAGAATCATTCCCACAAACTGCGTTGTGATGTGTTCGTTCAACTCACAGAGTTTAACCTTTCTGTTCACAGAGCAGTTAGGAAACACTCTGTTTCTAAAGTCTGTAAGTGGATATTCTGACATCTTGTGGCCTTCGTTGGAAACGGGATTTCTTCATATTCTGCTAGACAGAAGAATTCTCACTAACTTCCTTGTGTTGTGTGTATTCAACTCACAGAGTTGAACGATCCTTTACAGAGAGCAGACTTGAAACACTCTTTTTGTGGAATTTGCAAGTGGAGATTTCAGCCGCTTTGAGGTCAATGGTAGAAAAGGAAATATCTTCGTATAAAGACTAGACAGAATGATTCTCAGAAACTCCTTTGTGATGTGTACGTTCAACTCACAGAGTTTAACCTTTCTTTTCTTAGAGCAGTTAGGAAACACTCTGTTTGTAAAGTCTGCAAGTGGATATTCAGACCTCCTTGAGGCCTTCGTTGGAAACGGGTTTTTTTCATATAAGGCTAGACAGAAGAATTCCCAGTAACTTCCTTGTGTTGTGTGTGTTCAACTCACAGAGTTGAACTTTCATTTACACAGAGCAGATTTGAAACACTCTTTTTGTGGAATTTGAAAGTGGAGATTTCAAGCGCTTTGAGGCCAAAGGCAGAAAAGGAAATATCTTCGTTTCAAAACTAGACAGAATCATTCTCAGAAACTGCTGCGTGATGTGTGCGTTCAACTCTCAGAGTTTAACTTTTCTTTTCATTCAGCGGTTTGGAAACACTCTGTTTGTAAAGTCTGCACGTGGATATTTTGACCACTTAGAGGCCTTCATTGGAAACGGGTTTATTTCATGTAAGGCTAGACAGAAGAATTCTCAGTAACTTCCTTTTGTTGTGTACATTCAACTCACAGAGTTGAACGTTCCCTTACACAGAGCAGATTTGAAACACTCTTTTTGTGCAATTGGCAAGTGGAGATTTCAAGCGCTTTGAGGCCAAAGGCAGAAAAGGAAATATCTTCGTATAAAAACTAGACAGAATCATTCCCACAAACTGCGTTGTAATGTGTGCGTTCAACTCACAGAGTTTAACCTTTCTTTTCATAGAACAGTTAGGAAACACTCTGTTTGTAAAGTCTGCAAGTGGATATTCAGACCTCTTTGAGGCCTTCGTTGGAAACGGGATTTCTTCATATTCTGCTAGACAGAAGAATTCTCAGTAACTTCCTTGTGTTGTGTGTATTCAACTCCCAGAGTTGAACGTTCCCTTAGACAGAGCAGATTTGAAACACTCTTTTTGTGCAATTGGCAAGTGGTGATTTCAGCCGCTTTGGGGTCAATGGTAGAAAAGGTAATATCTTCGTATAAAAACTAGACAGAATGATTCTCAGAAACTTCATTGTGACGTGTGCGTTCAACTCAGAGAGTTTAACCTTTCTTTTCATAGAGCAGTTAAGAAACACTCTGTTTGTAAAGTCTGCAAGTGGATATTCAGACCTCTTTGAGGCCTTCGTTGGAAACGGGATTTCTTCATACTGTGCTAGACAGAAGAATTCCGAGTAACTTCCTTGTGTTGTGTGTGTTCAACTCACAGAGTTGAACTTTCATTTACACAGAGCAGATTTGAAACACTCTTTTTGTGGAATTTGCAAGTGGAGATTTCAAGCGCTTTGAGGCCAAAGGCAGAAAAGGAAATATCTTCGTTTCAAAACTAGACAGAATCATTCTCAGAAACTGCTCTGTTATGTGTGCGTTCAACTCTCAGAGTTTAACTTTTCTTTTCATTCAGCAGTTTGGAAACACTCAGTTTGTAAAGTCTGCACGTGGATATTTTGACCACTTAGAGGTCTTCGTTGGAAACGGGTTTTTTTCATGAAAGGCTAGACAGAAGAATTCCCAGTAACTTCCTTGTGTTGTGTACATTCAACTCACAGAGTTGAACGTTCCCTTAGACAGAGCAGATTTGAAACACTCTTTTTGTGCAATTGGCAAATGGAGATTTCAAGTGCTTTAAGGTCAATGGCAGAAAAGGAAATATCTTCGTTTCAAAACTAGACAGATTGATTCTCAGAAACTCCTTTGTGATGTGTGCGTTCAACTCACAGAGTTTAACCTTTCTTTTCATAGAGCAGTTAGGAAACACTCTGTTTGTAAAGTCTGCAAGTGGATATTCAGACCTCTTTGAGGCCTTCGTTGGAAACGGGATTTCTTCCTATTATGCTAGACAGAAGAATTCTCAGTAACTTCCTTGTGTTGTGTGTATTCAAATCACAGAGTTGAACGATCCTTTACACAGAGCAGACTTCAAACACTCTTTTTGTGGAATTTGCAAGTGGAGATTTCAGCCGCTTTGAGGTCAATAGTAGAAAAGGAAATATCTTCGTAGAAAAACTAGACAGAATGATTCTCAGAAACTCCTTTGTGATGTGTGCGTTCAACTCACAGAGTTTAACCTTTCTGTTCATAGAGCTGTTAGGAAACACTCTGTTTGTAAAGTCTGCAAGTGGATATTCAGACCTCCTTCAGGCCTTCGTTGGAAACGGGATTTCTTCATATTCTGCTAGACAGAAGAATTCTCAGTAACTTCCTTGTGTTGTGTGTGTTCAACTCACAGAGTTGAACTTTCATTTACACAGAGCAGATTTGAAACACTCTTTTTGTGGAATTTGCAAGTGGAGATTTCAAGCGCTTTGAGGCCAAAGGCAGAAAAGGAAATATCTTCGTTTCAAAACTAGACAGAATCATTCTCAGAAACTGCTCTGCGATGTGTGCGTTTAACTCTCAGAGTTTAACTTTTCTTTTCATTCAGCAGTTTGGAAACACTCTGTTTGTAAAGTCTGCACGTGGATAATTTGACTACTTAGAGGCCTTCGTTGGAAACGGGTTTTTTTCATGTAAGGCTAGACAGAAGAATTCCCAGTAACTTCCTTGTGTTGTGTACATTCAACTCACAGAGTTGAACGTTCCCTTAAACAGAGCAGATTTGAAACACTCTTTTTGTGCAATTGGCAAGTGGAGATTTCAAGCGCTTTGAAGTCAATGGCAGAAAAGGAAATATCTTCGTTTCAAAACTAGATAGAATCATTCCCACAAACTGCGTTGTGATGTGTTCGTTCAACTCACAGAGTTTAACCTTTCTTTTCATAGAGCAGTTAGGAAACAGTCTGTTTGTAAATTCTGTAAGTGGATATTCTGACAGCTTGTGGCCTTCGTTGGAAACGGGATTTCTTCATACTATGCTAGACAGAAGAATTCTCAGTAACTTCCTTGTGTTGTGTGTATTCAACTCACAGTGTTGAACGATCCTTTACACAGAGCATACTTGAAACACTCTTGTTGTGGAATTTGCAAGTGGAGAATTCAGCCGCTTTGAGGTCAATGGTAGAATAGGAAATATCTTCCTATAGAAACTAGACAGAATGATTCTCAGAAACTTCATTGTGATGTGTGCGTTCAACTCACAGTTTAACCTTTCTTTTCATAGAGCAGTTAGGAAACACTCTGTTTGTAAACTCTGCAAGTGGATATTCAGACCTCTTTGAGGCCTTCGTTGGAAACGGGTTTTTTTCATATAAGGCTAGACAGAAGAATTCCCAGTAACTTCCTTGTGTTGTGTGTGTTCAACTCACAGAGTTGTACTTTCATTTACACAGAGCAGATTTGAAACACTCTTTTTGTGGAATTTGCAAATGGAGATTTCAAGCGCTTTGAGGCCAAAGGCAGAAAAGGAAATATCTTCGTATAAAAACTAGACAGAATCATTCTCAGAAACTGCTCTGCGATGTGTGCGTTCAACTCTCAGAGTTTAACTTTTCTTTTCATTCAGCAGTTTGGAAACACACTGTTTGTAAAGTCTGCACGTGGATACTTTGACCACTTAGAGGCCTTCGTTGGAAACGGGTTTTTTTCCTGTAAGGCTAGACAGAATAATTCCCAGTAACTTCCTTGTGTTGTGTACATTCAACTCACAGAGTTGAACGTTCCCTTGGACAGAGCAGATTTGAAACACTCTTTTTGTGCAATTGGCAAGTGGAGATTTCAAGCGCTTAAGGTCAATGGCAGAAAAGGAAATATCTTCGTTTCAAAACTAGACAGAATCATTCCCACAAACTGCGTTGTGATGTGTTCGTTCAACTCACAGAGTTTAACCATTCTTTTCATAGAGCAGTTAGGAAACACTCTGTTTGTAAATTCTGTAAGTGGATATTCTGACATCTTTTGGCCTTCGTTGGAAACGGGATTTCTTCATATTCTGCTAGACAGAAGAATTCTCAGTAACTTCCTTGTGTTGTGTGTATTCAACTCACAGAGTTGAACGATCCTTTACACAGAGCGGACTTGAAACACTCGTTTTGTGGAATTTGCAAGTGGAGATTTCAGCCGTGTTGAGGTAAATAGTAGAAAAGGAAATATCTTCGTATAAAAACTAGACAGAATGATTCTCATAAACTCCTTTGTGATGTGTGCGTTCAACTCACAGAGTTTAACCTTTCTTTTCATAGAGCAGTTAGGAAACACTCTGTTTGTAAAGTCTGCAAGTGGATATTCAGACCTCTTTGAGGCCTTCGTTGGAAACGGGATTTCTTCCTATTCTGCTAGACAGAAGAATTTCCAGTAACTTCCTTTTGTTGTGTGTGTTCAACTCACAGAGTTGAACTTTCATTTACACAGAGCAGATTTGAAACACTCTTTTTGTGGAATTTGCAAGTGGAGATTTCAAGCGCTTTGAGGCCAAAGGCAGAAAAGGAAATATCTTCGTATAAAAACTAGACAGAATCATTCTCAGAAACTGCTGCGTGATGTGTGCGTTCAACTATCAGAGTTTAACTTTTCTTTTCATTCAGCGGTTTGGAAACACTCTGTTTGTAAAGTCTGCACGTGGATATTTTGACCACTTAGAGGCCTTCGTTGGAAACGGGTTTTTTGCATGTAAGGCTAAACAGAAGAATTCCCAGTAACTTCCTTGTGTTGTGTACATTCAACTCACAGAGTTGAACGTTCCCTTAGACAGAGCAGATTTGAAACACTCTTTTTGTGCAATTGGCAAGTGGTTATTTCAGCCGCTTTGAGGTCAATGGTAGAAAAGGAAATATCTTCGTATAAAAACTAGACAGAATGATTCTCAGAAACTTCATTGTGATGTGTGCGTTCAACTCACAGAGTTTAACCTTTCTTTTTATAGAGCAGTTAGGAAACACTCTGTTTGTAAACTCTGCAAGTGGATATTCAGACCTCTTTGAGGCCTTCGTTGGAAACGGGTTTTCTTCATACTGTGCTAGACAGAAGAATTCTCAGTAACTTCCTTGTGTTGTGTGTATTCAACTCACAGAGCTGAACGATCCTTTACACAGGGCGGACTTGAAACACTCTTTTTGTGGAATTTGCAAGTGGAGATTTCAGCCGCTTTGAGGTCAATGTTAGAAAAGGAAATATCTTCGTATAAAAACTAGACAGAATGATTCTCAGAAACTCCTTTGTGATGTGTGCGTTCAACTCATAGAGTTTAACTTTTCTTTTCATAGAGCAGTTAGGAAACACTCTGTTTGTAAAGTCTTCAAGTGGATATTCAGACCTCTTTGAGGCCTTCGTTGGAAACGGGATTTCTTCATATTCTGCTAGACAGAAGAATTCTCAGTAACTTCCTTGTGTTGTGTGTATTCAACTCACAGAGTTGAACTTTCATTTAGAGAGAGCAGATTTGAAACACTGTTTTTGTGGAATTTGCAAGTGGAGATTTCAAGCGCTTTGGGGCCAAAGGCAGAAAAGGAAATATCTTCGTATAAAAACTAGACAGAATCATTCTCAGAAACTGCTGCATGATGTGTGCGTTCAACTCTCAGAGTTTAACTTTTCTTTTCATTCAGCGGTTTGGAAACACTCTGTTTGTAAAGTCTGCACGTGGATATTTTGACCACTTAGAGGCCTTCGTTAGAAACGGGTTTTTTTCATGTAAGGCTAGACAGAAGAATTCCCAGTAACTTCCTTGTGTTGTGTGCATTCAACTCACAGAGTTGAACGTTCCCTTAGACAGAGCAGATTTGAAACACTCTATTTGTGCAATTTACAAGTGTAGATTTCAAGCGCTTTAAGGTCAACGGCAGAAAAGGAAATATCTTCGTTTCAAACCTAGACAGAATCATTCCCACAAACTGCGTTGTGATGTGTTCGTTCAACTCACAGAGTTTAACCTTTCTGTTCATAGAGCAGTTAGGAAACACTCTGTTTGTAAAGTCTGCAAGTGGATATTCAGACCTCCTAGAGGCCTTCGTTGGAAACGGGATTTCTCCATATTCTGCTAGACAGAAGAATTGTCAGAAACTTCGTTGTGTTGTGTGTTTTCAACTCACAGAGTTGAACGATCCTTTACACAGAATAGACTTGAAACACTCTTTTTGTGGAATTTGCAAGTGGAGATTTCAGCCGCTTTGAGGTCAATGGTAGAAAAGGAAATATCTTCGTATAAAAACTAGACAGAATGATTCTGAGAAACTCCTTTGTGATGTGTGCGTTCAACACACAGAGTTTAACCTTTCTTTTCATAGAGCAGTTAGGAAACACTCTGTTTGTAAAGTCTGCAAGTGGATATTCAGACCTCCTTGAGGCCTTCGTTGGAAACGCGATTTCTTCATATTATGCTAGACAGAAGAATTCTCAGTAACTTCCTTGTGTTGTGTGTATTCAACTGACAGAGTTGAACTTTCATTTGGAGAGAGCAGATTTGAAACACTGTTTTTGTGGAATTTGCAAGTGGAGATTTCAAGCGCTTTGGGGCCAAAGGCAGAAAAGGAAATATCTTCGTAGAAAAACTAGACAGAATCATTCTCAGAAACTGCTGCGTGATGTGTGCGTTGAACTCTCAGAGTTTAACTTTTCTTTTCATTCAGCGGTTTGGAAACACTCTGTTTGTAAAGTCTGCACGTGGATATTTTGACCACTTAGAGGCCTTCGTTGGAAACGGGTTTTTTTCATGTAAGGCTAGACAGAAGAATTCCCAGTAACTTCCCTTGTGTTGGGTGCATTAAACTCACAGAGTTGAACGTTCCCTTAGACAGAGCAGATTTGAAACACTCTATTTGTGCAATTTGCAAGTGTAGATTTCAAGCGCTTTAAGGTCAATGGCAGAAAAGGAAATATCTTCGTTTCAAAACTAGACAGAATCATTCCCACAAACTGCGTTGCGATGTGTTCGTTCAACTCACACAGTTTAACATTTCTTTTCATAGAGCACTTAGGAAACAGACTGTTTGTAAATTCTGTAAGTGGATATTCTGACATCTTGTGGCCTTCGTTGGAAACAGGATTTCTTCATATTCTGCTAGACAGAATAATTCTCAGTAACTTCCTTGTGTTGTGTGTATTCAACTCACAGAGTTGAATGATCCTTTACACAGAGCAGACTTGAAACACTCTTTTTGTGGAATTTGCAAGTGGAGATTTCAGCCGCTTTGAGGTCAATGGTAGAAAAGGAAACTATCTTCATATAAAGACTAGACAGAATGATTCTGAGAAACTCCTTTGTGATGTGTGCATTCAACTCACAAAGTTTAACCTTTCTTTTCATAGAGCAGTTAGGAAACACTCTGTTTGTAAAGTCTGCAAGTGGATATTCAGACCTCCTTGAGGCCTTCGTTGGAAACGGGATTTCTTCATATTATGCTAGACAGAAGAATTGTCAGTAACTTCCTTGTGTTGTGTGTATTCAACTCACAGAGTTGAACGATCCTTTACACAGAGCAGACTTGAAACACTCTTTTTGTGGAATTTGCAAGTGGAGATTTCAGCCGCTTTGAGTTCAAGGGTAGAATAGGAAATATCTTCCTATAGAAACTAGACAGAATCATTCTCAGAAACTGCTCTGCGATGTGTGCGTTCAACTCTCAGAGTTTAACTTTTCTTTTCATTCAGCAGTTTGGAAACACTCTGTTTGTAAAGTCTGCACGTGGATATTTTGACCACTTAGAGGCCTTCGTTGGAAACGGGTTTCTTTCTTGTAAGGCTAGACAGAAGAATTCCCAGTAACTTTCCTTGTGTTGTGTGCGTTCAACTCACAGAGTTGAACTTTCATTTACACAGAGCAGATTTGAAACACTCTTTTTGTGGAATTTGCAAATGGAGATTTCAAGCGCTTTGAGGCCAAAGGCAGAAAAGGAAATGTACTTCGTTTCAAAACTAGACAGAATCATTCCCACAAACTGCGTTGTGATGTGTTCGTTCAACTCACAGAGTTTAACCTTTCGGTTCATAGAGCAGTTAGGAAACACTCTGTTTGTAAAGTCTGTAAGTGGATATTCTGACGTCTTGTGGCCTTCGTTTGAAAAGGGATTTCTTCATATTCTGCTAGACAGAAGAATTCTCGGTAACTTCCTTGTGTTGTGTGTATTCAACTCACAGAGTTGAACGATCCTTTACACAGAGCAGACTTGAAACACTCTTTTTGTGGAATTTGCAAGTGGAGATTTCAGCCGCTTTGAGGTCAATGTTAGAATAGGAAATATCTTCATATAGAAACTAGACAGAATGATTCTCAGAAACTCCTTTGTGATGTGTGCGTTCAACTCACAGAGTTTAACCTTTCTTTTCATAGAGCAGTTAGGAAACACTGTGTTTGTAAAGTCTGCAAGTGGATATTCAGACCTCCTTGAGGCATTCGTTGGAAACGGGATTTCTTCATATTATGCTAGACAGAAGAATTCCCAGTAACTTCCTTGTGTTGTGTGTGTTCTACTCACAGAGTTGAACTTTGATTTACACAGAGCAGATTTGAAACACTCTTTTTGTGGAATTTGCAAGTGGAGATTTCAAGCGCTTTGAGGCCAAAGGCAGAAAAGGAAATATCTTCGTATAAAAACTAGACAGAATCATTCTCAGAATCTGCTGCGTGATGTGTGCGTTCAACTCTCAGAGTTTAACTTTTCTTTTCATTCAGCGGTTTGGAAACACTCTGTTTGTACAGTCTGCACGTGGATATTTTGACCACTTAGAGGCCTTCGTTGGAAACGGGTTTTTTTCATGTAAGGCTAGACAGAAGAATTCCCAGTAACTTCCTTGTGTTGTGTGCATTCAACTCACAGAGTTGAACGTTCCCTTAGACAGAGCAGATTTGAAACACTCTATTTGTGCAATTTGCAAGTGTAGTTTTCAAGCTCTTTAAGGTCAACGGCAGAAAAGGAAATATCTTGGTTTCAAAACTAGACAGAATCATTCCCACAAACAGCGTTGTGATGTGTTCGCTCAACTCACAGAGTTTAACCTTTCTTTTCATAGAGCAGTTAGGAAACAGTCTGTTTGTCAATTCTGTAAGTGGATATTCTGACATCTTGTGGCCTTCGTTGGAAACGGGATTTCTTCATATTCTGCTAGACAGAAGAATTCTCAGTAACTTCCTTGTGTTGTCTGTATTCAACTCACAGAGTTGAACGATCCTTTACACAGAGCAGACTTGAAACACTCTTTTTGTGGAATTTGCAAGTGGAGATTTCAGCCGCTTTGAGGTCAATAGTAGAAAAGGAAATATCTTCGTATAAAGACTAGACAGAATGATTCTCAGAAACTCCTTTGTGATGTGTGCGTTCAACTCACAGAGTTTAACCTTTCTTTTCATAGAGCAGTTGGGAAACACTCTGTTTGTAAAGTCTGCAAGTGGATATTCAGACATCCTTGAGGCTTTCGTTGGAAACGGGATTTCTTCATATTCTGCTAGAAGGAAGAATTCTCAGTAACTTCCTTGTGTTGTGTGTATACAACTCACAGAGTTGAACGATCCTTTACACAGAGCGGACTTGAAACACACTTTTTGTGGAATTTGCAAGTGGAGATTTCAAGCGCTTTGAGGCCAAAGGCAGAAAAGGAAATATCTTCGTATAAAAACTAGACAGAATCATTCTCAGAAACTGCTGTGTGATGTGTGCCTTCAACTCTCACAGTTTAACTTTTCTTTTCATTCAGCGGTTTGGAAACACTCTGTTTGTAAAGTCTGCACGTGGATATTTTGACCACTTAGAGGCCTTCGTTGGAAACGGGTTTTTTTCATGTAAGGCTAGACAGAAGAATTCTCAGTAACTTCCTTGTGTTGTGTGTATTCAACTCACACAGTTGAACGATCCTTTACACAGAGCAGACTTGTAACACTCTTTTTGTGGAATTTGCAAGTGGAGATTTCAGCCGCTTTGAAGTCAAATGTAGAAAAGGAAATATCTTCCTATAAAAACTAGACAGATGATTCTGAGAAACTCCTTTGTGATGTGTGCGTTCAACTCACAGAGTTCAACCTTTCTTTTCATAGAGCAGTTAGGAAACACTCTGTTTGTAAAGTCTGCAAGTGGATATTCAGACATCTTTGAGGCTTTCGTTGGAAACAGGATTTCTTCATATTCTGCTAGACAGAAGATTCTCAGTAACTTCCTTGTGTTGTGTGTATTCAACTCACAGAGTTGAACGATCCTTTACACAGAGCAGACTTGAAACACTCTTTTTGTGGAATTTGCAAGTGGAGATTTCAGCCGCTTTGAGGTCAATGGTAGAATAGGAAATATCTTCCTATAGAAACTAGACAGAATGATTCTCAGAAACTCCTTTGTGATGTGTGTGTTCAACTCACAGAGTTTAACCTTTCTTTTCATAGAGCAGTTAGGAAACACTCTGTTTGTAAAGTCTGCAAGTGGATATTCAGACCTCTTTGAGGCCTTCGTTGGAAACGGGATTTTTTCGTATAAGGCTAGACAGAAGAATTCCCAGTAACATCCTTGTGTTGTGTGTGTTCAACTCACAGAGTTGAACTTTCATTTACACAGAGCAGATTTGAAACACTCTTTTTGTGGAATTTGCAAATGGAGATTTCAAGCGCTTTGAGGCCAAAGGCAGAAAAGGAAATATCTTCGTATAAAAACTAGACAGAATCATTCTCAGAAACTGCTCTGCGATGTGTGCGTTCAACTCTCAGAGTTTAACTTTTCTTTTCATTCAGCAGTTTGGAAACACTCTGTTTGTAAAGTCTGCACGTGGATATTTTGACCACTTAGAGGCCTTCGTTGGAAACGGGTTTTTTTCCTGTAACGCTAGACAGAAGAATTCCCAGTAACTTCCTTGTGTTGTGTACATTCAACTCACAGAGTTGAACGTTCCCTTAGACAGAGCAGATTTGAAACACTCTTTTTGTGCAATTGGCAAGTGGAGATTTCAAGCGCTTTGAGGTCAATGGCAGAAAAGGAAATATCTTCGTTTCAAAACTAGACAGAGTGATTCTCAGAAACTCCTTTGTGATGTCTGCGTTCAACTGACAGAGTTTAACCTTTCTTTTCATAGAGCAGTTAGGAAACACTCTGTTTGTAAAGTCTGCAATTGGATATTGAGACCTCCTTGAGGCCTTCGTTGGAAACGGGATTTCTTCATATTCTGCTATACAGAAGAATTCTCAGAAACTTCCTTGTGTTGTGTGTATTCAACTCACAGAGTTGAACGATCCTTTACACAGAGCAGACTTGAAACACTCTTTTTGTGGAATTGGCAAGTGGAGATTTCAGCCGCTTTGAGGTCAATGGCAGAAAAGGAAATATCTTCGTATAAAAACTAGACAGAATGATTCTCAGAAACTTCATTGTGATGTGTGCGTTCAACTCACAGAGCTTAACCTTTCTTTTCATAGAGCAGTTAGGAAACACTCTGTTTGTAAACTCTGCAAGTGGATATTCAGACCTCTTTGAGGCCTTCGTTGGAAACGGGATTTCTTCATACTGTGCTAGACAGAAGAATTCCCAGTAACTTCCTTGTGTAGTGTGTGTTCGACTCACAGAGTTGAACTTTCCTTTACACAGAGCAGATTTGAAACACTCTTTTTGTGGAATTTGCAAGTGGAGATTTCAAGCGCTTTGAGGCCAAAGGCAGAAAAGGAAATATCTTCGTTTCAAAACTAGACAGAATCATTCTCAGAAACTGCTGCGTGATGTGTGCGTTCAACTCTCAGAGTTTAACTTTTCTTTTCATTCAGCGGTTTGGAAACACTGTGTTTGTAAAGTCTGCACGTGGATATTTTGACCACTTAGAGGCCTTCGTTGGAAACGGGTTTCTTTCATGTAAGGCTAGACAGAAGAATTCCCAGTAACTTCCTTGTGTTGTGTGCACTCAACTCACAGAGTTGAACGTTCCCTTAGACAGAGCAGATTTGAAACACTCTATTTGTGCAATTTGCAAGTGTAGATTTCAAGCGCTTTAAGGTCAATGGCAGAAAAGGAAATATCTTCGTTTCAAAACTAGACAGAATCATTCCCACAAACTGCGTTGTGATGTGTTCGTTCAACTCACAGAGTTTAACCTTTCTGTTCATAGAGCAGTTAGGAAACACTGTGTTTGTAAAGTCTGTAAGTGGATATTCTGACATCTTCTGGCCTTCGTTGGAAACGGGATTTCTTCATATTCTGCTAGACAGAAGAATTCTCAGAATCTTCCTTGTGTTGTGTGTATTCAACTCACAGAGTTGAACGATGGTTTACACAGAACAGATTTGAAACACTCTTTTTGTGGAATTTGCAAGTGGAGATTTCAGCCGCTTTGAGGTCCGTGGTAGAAAAGGAAATATCTTCGTATAAAAACTAGACAGAATGATTCTCAGAAACTCCTTTGTGATGTGTGCGTTCAACTCACAGAGTTTAACCTTTCTTTTCATAGAGCAGTTAGGAAACACTCTGTTGGTAAAGTCTGCAAGTGGATATTCAGACCTCTTTGAGGCCTTCGTTGGAAACGGGTTTTTTTCATATAAGGCTAGACAGAAGAATTCCCAGTAACTTCCTTGTGTTGTGTGTGTTCAACTCACAGAGTTGAACTTTCATTTACACAGAGCAGATTTGAAACACTCTTTTTGTGGAATTTGCAAGTGGAGATTTCAGGCGCTTTGAGGCCAAAGGCAGAAAAGGAAATATCTTCGTATAAAAACTAGACAGAATCATTCTCAGAAACTGCTGTGTGATGTGTACGTTCAACTCTCAGAGTTCAACTTTTCTTTTCATTCAGCGGTTTGGAAACACTCTGTTTGTAAAGTCTGCACGTGGATATTTTGACCACTTAGAGGCCTTCGTTGGAAACGGTTTTTTTTCATGTAAGGCTAGACAGAAGAATTCCCAGTAACTTCCTTGTGTTGTGTGTGTTCAACTCACAGAGTTGAACTTTCATTTACACAGAGCAGATTTGAAACACTCTTTTTGTGGAATTTGCAAATGGAGATTTCAAGCGCTTTGAGGCCAAAGGCAGAAAAGGAAATATCTTCGTTTCAAAACTAGACAGAATCATTCTCAGAAACTTCTTTGTGATGTGTGCGTTCAACTCACAGAGTTTAACCTTTCTTTTCATAGAGCAGTTAGGAAACACTCTGTTTGTAAAGTCTGCAAGTGGATATTCATACCTCTTTGAGGCCTTCGTTGGAAACGGGATTTCTTCATACTATGCTAGACAGAAGAATTCTCAGTAACTTCCTTGTGTTGTGTGTATTCAACTCACAGTAGTTGAACGATCCTTTACACAGAGCAGTCTTGAAACACTCTTTTTGTGGAATTTGCAAGTGGAGATTTCTGCCGCTTTGAGGTCAATGGTAGAATAGGAAATATCTTCCTATAGAAACTAGACAGAATGATTCTCAGAAAATCTTTTGTGATGTGTGCGTTCAACTCACAGAGTTTCACTTTTCTTCTCATGGAGCAGTTAGGAAACACTCTGTTTGTAAAGTCTGCAAGTGGATATTCAGACCCCTTTGAGGCCTTCGTTGGAAACGGGATTTCTTCATATTCTGCTAGACAGAAGAATTCTCAGTAACTTCCTTGTGTTGTGTGTATTCAACTGACAGAGTTGAACTTTCGTTTAGAGAGAGCAGATTTGAAACACTGTTTTTGTGGAATTTGCAAGTGGAGATTTCAAGCGCTTTGGGGCCAAAGGCAAAAAACGAAATATCTTCGTATAAAAACTAGACAGAATCATTCTCAGAAACTGCTGCGTGATGTGTGCGTTCAACTCTCAGAGTTTAACTTTTCTTTTCATTCAGCGGTTTGGAAACACTCTGTTTGTAAAGTCTGCACGTGGACATTTTGACCACTTAGAGGCCTTCGTTGGAAACGGGTTTTTTTCATGTAAGGCTAGACAGAAGAATTCCCAGTAACTTCCTTGTGTTGTGTACATTCAACTCACAGAGTTGAACGTTCCCTTAGACAGAGCAGATTTGAAACACTCTTTTTGTGCAATTGGCAAGTGGAGATTTCAAGCGCTTTAAGGTCAATGGCAGAAAAGGAAATATCTTCGTTTCAAAACTAGACAGAATCATTCCCACAAACTGCGTTGTGATGTGTTCGTTCATCTCACAGAGTTTAACCTTTCTTTTCATAGAGCAGTTAGGAAACACTCTGTTTGTAAATTCTGTAAGTGGATATTCTGACATCGTGTGGCCTTCGTTGGAAACGGGATTTCTTCATATTCTGCTAGACAGAAGAATTCTCAGTAACTTCCTTGTGTTGTGTGTATTCAACTCACAGAGTTGAACGATCCTTTACACAGAGCAGACTTGAAACACTCTTTTTGTGGAATTTGCAAGTGGAGAATTCAGCCGCTTTGAGGTCAATGGTAGAAAAGGAAACTATCTTCGTATAAAGAATAGACAGAATGATTCTCAGAAACTCCTTTGTGATGTGTGCGTTCAACTCACAGAGTTTAACCTTTCTTGTTCATAGAGCAGTTAGGAAACACTCTGTTTGTAAAGTCTGCAAGTGGATATTCAGACATCCTTGAGGCTTTCGTTGGAAACGGGATTTCTTCATATTCTGCTAGACAAGATAATTCTCAGTAACTTCCTTGTGTTGTGTGTATTCAACTGACAGAGTTGAACGTTCATTTAGAGAGAGCAGATTTGAAACACTGTTTTTGTGGAATTTGCAATTGGAGATTTCAAGCGCTTTGGGGCCAAAGGCAGAAAAGGAAATATCTTCGTATAAAAACTAGACAGAATCATTCTCAGAAACTGCTGCGTGATGTTTGCGTTCAACTCTCAGAGTTTAACTTTTCTTTTCATTCAGCGGTTTGGAAACACTCTGTTTGTAAAGTCTGCACGTGGAAATTTTGACCACTTAGAGGCCTTCGTTGGAAAAGGGTTTTTTTCATGTAAGGCTAGACAGAAGAATTCTCAGTAACTTCCTTGTGTTGTGTGTATTCAAGTGTCACAGTTGAACTTTCATTTAGGCCAAGCAGATTTGAAACACTCTTTTTGTGCAATTGGCAAGTGCAGATTTCAAGCGCTTTAAGGTCAATGGCAGAAAAGGAAATATCTTCGTTTCAAAACTAGACAGAATCATTCCCACAAACTGCGTTGTGAGGTGTTCGTTCAACTCACAGAGTTTAACCTTTCTTTTCATAGAGCAGTTAGGAAACAGTCTGTTTGTAAATTCTGTAAGTGGATATTCTGACATCTTGTGGCCTTCGTTGGAAACGGGATTTCTTCATATTCTGCTAGACAGAATAATTCTCAGTAACTTCCTTGTGTTGTGTGTATTCAACTCACAGAGTTGAAGGATCCTTTACAGAGAGCAGGCTTGAAACACTCTTTTTGTGGAATTTGCAAGTGGAGATTTCAGCCGCTTTGAGGTCAATGGTAGAATAGGAAATATCTTCCTATAGAAACTAGACAGAATGATTCTCAGAAACTCCTTTGTGATGTGTGCGTTCAACTCACAGAGTTTAACCTTTCTTTTCATAGAGCAGTTAGGAAACACTCTGTTTGTAAAGTCTGCAAATGGATATTCAGACCTCTTTGAGGCCTTCGTTGGAAACGGGATTTCTTCATATTCTGCTAGACAGAAGAATTCTCAGTAACTTCCTTGTGTTGTGTGTATTCAACTGACAGAGTTGAACTTTCATTTAGAGAGAGCAGATTTGAAACACTGTTTTTGTGGAATTTGCAAGTGGAGATTTCAAGCGCTTTGGGGCCAAGGGCAGAAAAGGAAATATCTTCGTATAAAAACTAGACAGAAGCATTCTCAGAAACTGCTGCGTGATGTGTGCGTTCAACTCTCAGAGTTTAACTTTTCTTTTCATTCAGCGGTTTGGAAACACTCTGTTTGTAAAGTCTGCACGTGGATATTTTGACCACTTAGAGGCCTTCGTTGGAAACGGGTTTTTTGCAAGTAAGGCTAGACAGAAGAATTCTCAGTAAATTCCTTGTGTTGTGTGTATTCAACTCACAGAGTTGAACGATCCTTTACACAGAGCAGACTTGAAACACTCTTTTTGTGGAATTTGCAAGTGGAGATTTCAGCCGCTTTGAGGTCAATGGCAGAAAAGGAAATATCTTCGTATAAAGACTAGACAGAATTATTCTCAGAAACTCCTTTGTGATATGTGCGTTCAACTCACAGAGTTTAACCTTTCTTTTCATAGAGCAGTTAGGAAACACTCTGTTTGTAAAGTCTGCAAGTGGATATTCAGACCTCTTTGAGGCCTTCGTTGGAAACGGGATTTCTTCATATTCTGCTAGAGAGAAGAATTCTCAGTAACTTCCTTGTGTTGTGTGTATTCAACTCACAGAGTTCAACGATCCTTTACACAGAGCAGACTTGAAGCACTCTTTTTGTGGAATTTGCGAGTGGAGATTTCAGCCGCTTTGAGGTCAATGGTAGAATAGGAAATATCTTCCTATAGAAACTAGACAGAGTGATTCTCAGAAACTCCTTTGTGATGTTTGCGTTCAACTCACAGAGTTTAACCTTTCTTTTCATAGAGCAGTTAGGAAACACTCTGTTTGTAAAGTCTGCAAGTGGATATTCAGACCTCCTTGTGGCCTTCGTTGGAAACGGGATTTCTTCATATTCTGCTATACAGAAGAATTCTCAGTAACTTCCTTGTGTTGTGTGTATTCAACTGACAGAGTTGAACTATCATTTAGAGAGAGCAGATTTGAAACACTGTTTTTGTGGAATTTGCAAGTGGAGATTTCAAGCGCTTTGGGGCCAAAGGCAGAAAAGGAAATATCTTCGTATAAAAACTAGACAGAATCATTCTCAGAAACTGCTGCGTGATGTGTGCGTTCAACTCTCATAGTTTAACCTTTCTTTTCATTCAGCGGTTTGGAAACACTCTGTTTGTAAAGTCTGCACGTGGATATTTTGACCACTTAGAGGCCTTCGTTGGAAACGGGTTTTTTTCATGTAAGGCTAGACAGAAGAATTCCCAGTAACTTCCTTGTGTTGTGTGCATTCAACTCACAGAGATGAACATTCCCTTAGACACAGCAGATTTGAAACACTGTATTTGTGTAATTTGCAAGTGTAGATTAAAAGCGCTTTAAGGTCAATGGCAGAAAAGGAAATATCTTCGTTTCAAAACTAGACAGAATCATTCCCACAAACTGCGTTGTGATGTGTTCGTTCAACTCACAGAGTTTAACCTTTCTGCTCATAGAGCAGTTAGGAAACACTCTGTTTGTAAAGTCTGTAAGTGGATATTCTGACCTCTTGTGGCCTTCGTTGGAAACGGGATTTCTTCATATTCTGCTAGACAGAATAATTCTCAGTAACTTCCTTGTGTTGCGTGTATTCAACTCACAGAGTTGAACGATCCTTTACAGAGAGCAGACTTGAAACACTCTTTTTGTGGAATTTGCAAGTGGAGATTTCAGCCGCTTTGAGGTCAATGATAGAATAAGAAATATCTTCCTATAGAAACTAGACAGAATGATTCTCAGAAACTCCTTTGTGATGTGTGCGTTCAACTCACAGAGTTCAAACTTTCTTTTCATAGAGCAGTTGGGAAACACTCTGTTTGTAAAGTCTGCAAGTGGATATTCAGACTTCTTTGAGGCCTTCGTTGGAAGCGGGATTTCTTCATATTCTGCTAGACAGAAGAATTCTCAGTAACTTCCTTGTGTTGTGTGTATTCAACTGACAGAGCTGAACTTTCATTTAGAGAGAGCAGATTTGAAACACTGTTTTTGTGGAATTTGCAAGTGGAGATTTCAAGCGCTTTGGGGCCAAAGGCAGAAAAGGAAATATCTTCGTATAAAAACTAGACAGAATCATTCTCAGAAACTGCTCTGCGATGTGTGCGTTCAACTCTCAGAGTTTAACTTTTCTTTTCATTCAGCAGTTTGGAAACACTGTGTTTGTAAAGTCTGCACGTGGATATTTTGACCACTTAGAGGCCTTCGTTGGAAACGGGTTTTTTTCCTGTAAGGCTAGAGAGAAGAATTCCCAGTAACTTCCTTGTGTTGTGTACATTCAACTCACAGAGTTGAACGTTCCCTTAGACAGAGCAGATTTGAAACACTCTTTTTGTGCAATTGGCAAGTGCTGATTTCAGCCGCTTTGAAGTCAATGGTAGAAAAGGAAATATCTTCGTATAAAAACTAGACAGAATCATTCCCACAAACTGCGTTGTGATGTGTTCGTTCAACTCACAGCAGTTTAACCTTTCTGTTCATAGAGCAGTTAGGAAACACTCTGTTTGTAAAGTCTGTAAGTGGATATTCTGACATCTTGTGGCCTTCGTTGGAAACGGGATTTCTTCATTTTCTGCTAGACAGAAGAATTCTCAGAAACTTCCTTGTGTTGTGTGTTCTCAACTCACAGAGTTGAACGATGCTTTACACAGAGTAGACTTGAAACACTCTTTTTGTGTAATTTGCAAGTGGAGATTTCAGCCGCTTTGAGGTCAATGGTAGAAAAGGAAATATCTTCGTATAAAAACTAGACAGAATGATTCTCAGAAACTCCTTTGTGATGTGTGCATTCAACTCACAGAGTTTAACTTTTCTTTTCATAGAGCAGTTAGGAAACACTCTGTTTGTAAAGTCTGCAAGAGGATATTCAGACCTCTTTGAGGCCTTCGTTGGAAACGGGTTTTTTTCATATAAGGCTAGACAGAAGAATTCCCAGTAACTTCCTTGTGTTGTGTGTGTTCAACTCACAGAGTTGAACTTTCATTTACACAGAGCAGATTTGAAACACTCTTTTTGTGGAATTTGCAAATGGAGGTTTGAAGCGCTTTGAGGCCAAAGGCAGAAAAGGAAATATCTTCGTATAAAAACTAGACAGAATCATTCTCAGAAACTGCTCTGCGATGTGTGCGTTCAACTCTCAGAGTTTAACTTTTCTTTACATTCAGCAGTTTGGGAACACTCTGTTTGTAAAGTCTGCACGTGGATATTTTGACCACTTAGAGGCCTTCGTTGGAAACGGGTTTTTTTCCTGTAAGGCTAGACAGAAGAATTCTCAGTAACTTCCTTGTGTTGTGTGTATTCAACTCACAGAGTTGAACGATCCTTTACAGAGAGCAGACTTGAAACACTCTTTTTGTGGAATTTGCAAGTGGAGATTTCAGCCGCTTTGAGGTCAATAGTAGAAAAGGAAATATCTTCGTATAAAGACTAGACAGAATGATTCTCAGAAACTCCTTTGTGATGTGTGCGTTCAACACACAGATTTTAACTTTTCTTTTCATACAGCAGTTAGGAAACACTCTGTTTGTAAAGTCTGCAAGTGGATATTCAGACCTCTTTGAGGCCTTCGTTGGAAACGGGATTTCTTAATATTATGCTAGACAGAATAATTCTCAGTAAATTCCTTGTGCTGTGTGTATTCAACTCACAGAGTTGAACGATCCTTTACAGAGAGCAGACTTGAAACACTCTTTTTGTGGAATTTGCAAGTGGAGATTTCAGCCTCTTGGAGGTCAATGGTAGAATAGGAAATATCTTCCTATAGAAACTAGACAGAATGATTCTCAGAAACTCCTTTGTGATGTGTGCGTTCAACTCACAGAGTTTAACCTTTCTTTTCATAGAGCAGTTCAGGAAACACTCTGTTTGTAAAGTCTGCAAGTGGATATTCAGACTTCTTTGAGGCCTTCGTTGGAAACGGGATTTCTTCATATTCTGCTAGACAGAAGAATTCTCAGTAACTTCCTTGTGTTGTGTGTATTCAACTCACGGAGTTGAATGATCCTTTACACAGAGCAGACTTGAAACACTCTTTTTGTGGAATTTGCAAGTGGAGATTTCAGCCGCTTTGAGGTCAATAGTAGAAAAGGAAATATCTTCGTAGAAAAACTAGACAGAATCATTCTCAGAAACTGCTCTGCGATGTGTGCGTTCAACTCTCAGAGTTTAACTTTGTTTTTCATTCAGCAGTTTGGAAACACTCTGTTTGTAAAGTCTGCACGTGGATAATTTGACCACTTAGAGGCCTTCGTTGGAAACGGGTTTTTTTCATGTAAGGCTAGACAGAAGAATTCCCAGTAACTTCCTTGTGTTGTGTGCATTCAACTCACAGAGTTGAACGTTCCCTTAGACAGAGCAGATTTGAAACACTCTATTTGTGCAATTTGCAAGTGTAGTTTTCAAGCTCTTTAAGGTCAACGGCAGAAAAGGAAATATCTTCGTTTCAAAACTAGACAGAATCATTCCCAAAAACTGCGTTGTGATGTGTTGGTTCAACTCACAGAGTTTAACCTTTCTGTTCATAGAGCAGTTAGGAAACACTCTGTTTGTAAAGTCTGTAAGTGGATATTCTGACATCCTGTGGCCTTCGTTGGAAACGGGATTTCTTCATATTCTGCTAGACAGAAGAATTCTCAGTAACTTCCTTGTGTTGTGTGTATTCAACTCACAGAGTTGAACGATCCTTTACACAGAGCGGACTTGAAACACTCTTTTTGTGGAATTTGCAAGTGGAGATTTTAGCCGATTTGAGGTCAATGGTAGAATAGGAAATATCTTCCTATAGAAACTAGACAGAATGATTCTCATAAACTCCTTTGTGATGTGTGCGTTCAACTCACAGAGTTTAACTTTTCTTTTCATAGAGCAGTTAGGAAACACTCTGTTTGTAAAGTCTGCAAGTGGATATTCAGACCTCTTTGAGGCCTTCGTTGGAAACGGGATTTCTTCATATTATGGTAGACAGAATAATTCTCAGTAACTTCCTTGTGTTGTGTGTATTCCACTCACAGAGTTGAACGATCCTTTACAGAGAGCAGACTTGAAACACTCTTTTTGTGGAATTTGCAAGTGGAGATTTCAGCCGCTTTGAGGTCAATGGTAGAAAAGGAAATATCTTCGTATAAAGACTAGACAGAATCATTCTCAGAAACTGCTCTGCAATGTGTGCGTTCAACTCTCAGAGTTTAACTTTTCTTTTCATTCAGCAGTTTGGAAACACTCTGTTTGTAAAGTCTGCACGTGGATATTTTGACCACTTAGAAGCCTTGGTTGGAAACGGGTTTTTTTCCTGTAAGGCTAGACAGAAGAATTCCCAGTAACTTCCTTGTGTTGTGTACATTCAACTCACAGAGTTGAACGTTCCCTTAGACAGAGCAGATTTGAAACACTCTTTTTGTGCAATTGGCAAATGGAGATTTCAAGCGCTTTAAGGTCAATGGCAGAAAAGGAAATATCTCCGTTTCAAAACTAGACAGAATCATTCCCACAAACTGCGTTGTGATGTGTTCGTTCAACTCACAGAGTTTAACCTTTCTTTTCATAGAGCAGTTAGGAAACAGTCTGTTTGTCAATTCTGTAAGTGGATATTCTGACATCTTGTGGCCTTCGTTGGAAACGGGATTTCTTCATATTCTCCTAGACAGAAGAATTCTCAGTAACTTCCTTGTGTTGTGTGTATTCAACTCACAGAGTTGAACGACCCTTTACACAGAGCAGATTACAAACACTCTTTTTGTGGAATTTGCAAGTGGAGATTTCAGCCGCTTTGAGGTCAATGGTAGAAAAGGAAATATCTTCGTACAAAAACTAGACAGAATGTTTCTCAGAAACTTCTTTGTGATGTGTGCGTTCAACTCACAGAGTTTCACCTTTCTTTTCATAGAGCAGTTAGGAAACACTCTGTTTGTAAACTCTGCAAGTGGATATTCAGACCTCTTTGAGGCCTTCGTTGGTAACGGGATTTCTTCATACTGTGCTACACAGAAGAATTCTCAGTAACTTCCTTGTGTTGTGTGTATTCAACTGACAGAGTTGAACTTTCATTTAGAGAGAGCAGATTTGAAGCACTGTTTTTGTGGAATTTGCAAGTGGAGACTTCAAGCGCTTTGGGGCCAAAGGCAGAAAAGGAAATACCTTCGTATAAAAACTAGACAGAATCATTCTCAGAAACTGCTCTGCGATGTGTGCGTTCAACTCTCAGAGTTTAACTTTTCTTTTCATTCAGCAGTTTGGAAACACTCTGTTTGTAAAGTCTGCACGTGGATAATTTGACCACTTAGAGGCCTTCGTTGGAAACGGTTTTTTTTCATGTAAGGCTAGACAGAAGAATTCCCAGTAACTTCCTTGTGTTGTGTGCATTCAACTCACAGAGATGAACGTTCCCTTAGACAGAGCAGATGTGAAACACTCAATTTGTGCAATTTGCAAGTGTAGATTTCAAGCACTTTAAGGTCAATGGCATAAAAGGAAATATCTTCGTTTCAAAACTAGACAGAATGATTCTCATGAACTCCTTTGTGATGTGTGCGTTGAACTCACAGAGTTTAACCTTTCTTTTCATAGAGCAGTTAGGAAACACTCTGTTTGTAAAGTCTGCAAGTGGATATTCAGACCTCCTTGAGGCCTTCGTTGGAAACGGGCTTTCTTCATATTCTGCTAGACAGAAGAATTCTCAGTAACTTCCTTGTGTTGTGTTTATTCAACTCACAGATTTGAATGATCCTTTACACAGAGCAGACTTGAAACACTCTTTTTGTGTAATTTGCAAGTGGAGATTTCAGCCGATTTGAAGTCAATGGTAGAAAAGTAAATATCTTCGTATAAAGACTAGACAGAATGATTCTCAGAAACTTCTTTGTGATGTGTGTGTTCAACTCACAGAGTTTAACCTTTCTTTTCATAGAGCAGTTAGGAAACACTGTGTTTTTAAACTCTGCAAGTGGATATTCAGACCTCTTTGAGGCCTTCGTTGGAAACGGGATTTCTTCATACTGTGCTAGACAGAAGAATTCTCAGTAACTTCCTTGTGTTGTGTGTATTCAACTCACAGAGTTGAACGATCCTTTACACAGAGCAGACTTGAAACACTCTTTTTGTGGAATTTGCAAGTGGAGATTTCAGCCGCCTTGAGGTCAATGGTAGAAAAGGAAATATCTTCGTATAAAAACTAGACAGAATCATTCTCAGAAACTGCTCTGCGATGTGTGCGTTCAATTCTCAGAGTTTAACTTTTCTTTTCATTCAACAGTTTGGAAACACTCTGTTTGTAAAGTCTGCACGTGGATATTTTGACCACTTAGAGGCCTTCGTTGGAAACGGGTTTCTTTCCTGTAAGGCTAGACAGAATAATTCTCAGTAACTTCCTTGTGTTGTGTGTATTCAACTCACAGAGTTGAAGGATCCTTTACAGAGAGCAGGCTTGAAACACTCTTTTTGTCGAATTTGCAAGTGGAGGTTTCAGCCGCTTTGAGGTCAATGGTAGAATAGGAAATATCTTCTTATAGAAACTAGACAAAATGATTCTCATGAACTCCTTTGTGATGTGTGCGTTCAACTCACAGAGTTTAACCTTTCTTTTCATAGAGCAGTTAGGAAACACTCTGTTTGTAAAGTCTGCAAGTGGATATTTAGACCTCCTTGAGGCCTTCGTTGGAAACGGGATTTCTTCATATTCTGCTAGACAGAAGAATTCTCAGTAACTTCCTTGTGTTGTGTTTATTCAACTCACAGAGTTGAATGATCCTTTACACAGAGCAGACTTCAAACACTCTTTTTGTGGAATTTGCAAGTGGAGATTTCAGCCGCTTTGAGGTCAATGGTAGAAAAGTAAATATCTTCGTATAAAGACTAGACAGAATGATTCTCAGAAACTCCTTTGTGATGTGTGCGTTCAACTCACAGAGTTTAACCTTTCTTTTCATAGAGCAGTTGGGAAACACTCTGTTTGTAAAGTCTGCAAGTGGATATTCAGACTTCTTTGAGGCCTTCGTTGGAAGCGGGATTTCTTCATATTCTGCTAGACAGAAGAATTCTCAGTAACTTCCTTGCGTTGTGTGTATTCAACTCACAGAGTTGAACGATCCTTTACACAGAGCAGACTTGAAACACTCTTTTTGTGGAATTTGCAAGTGGAGATTTCAGCCGCTTTGAGGTCAATGGTAGAATAGGAAATATCTTCCTATAGAAACTAGACAGAATCATTCTCAGAAACTGCTGCGTGATGTGTGCGTTCAACTCTCAGAGTTTAACTTTTCTTTTCATTCAGCGCTTTGGAAACACTCTGTTTGTAAAGTCTGCACGTGGATATTTTGACCACTTAGAGGCCTTCGTTGGAAACGGGTTTTTTTCATGTAAGGCTAGACAGAAAAATTCCCAGTAACTTCCTTGTGTTGTGTGCATTCAACTCACAGAGTTGAACGTTCCCTTAGACAGAGCAGATTTGAAACACTCTATTTGTGCAATTTGCAAGTGTAGATTTCAAGCGCTTTAAGGTCAACGGCAGAAAAGGAAATATCTTCGTTTTAAAACTAGACAGAATCATTCCCACAAACTGTGTTGTGATGTGTTCGTTCAACTCACAGAGTTTAACCTTTCTTTTCATAGAGCAGTTAGGAAACAGTCTGTTTGTCAATTCTGTAAGTGGATATTCTGACATCTTGTGGCCTTCGTTGGAAACGGGATTTCTTCATATTCTGCTAGACAGAAGAATTCTCAGTAACTTCCTTGTGTTGTGTGTATTCAACTCACAGAGTTGAACGATCCTTTAAACAGAGCAGACTTGAAACACTCTTTTTCTGGAATTTGCAAGTGGAGATTTCAGCCGCTTTGAGGTCAATGTTAGAATAGGAAATATCTTCCTATAGAAACTAGACAGAATGATTCTCAGAAACTCCTTTGTGATGTGTGCGTTCAACTCACAGAGTTCAAACTTTCTTTTCATAGAGCAGTTGGGAAAAACTCTGTTTGTAAAGTCTGCAAGTGGATATTCAGACTTCTTTGAGGCCTTCGTTGGAAGCGGGGTTTCTTCATATTCTGCTAGACAGAAGAATTCTCAGTAACTTCCCTTGTGTTGTGTGTATTCAACTGACAGAGTTGAACTTTCATTTAGAGAGAGCAGATTTGAAACACTGTTTTTGTGGAATTTGCAAGTGGAGATTTCAAACGCTTTGGGGCCAAAGGCAGAAAAGGAAATATCTTCGTATAAAAACTAGACAGAATCATTCTCAGAAACTGCTCTGCGATGTGTGCATTCAACTCTCAGAGTTTAACTTTTCTTTTCATTCAGCAGTTTGGAAACACTCTGTTTGTAAAGTCTGCACGTGGATAACTTGACCACTTAGAGGCCTTCGTTGGAAACGGGTTTTTTTCATGTAAGGCTAGACAGAAGAATTCCCAGTAACTTCCTTGTGTTGTGTGCATTCAACTCACAGAGTTGAACGTTCCCTTAGACAGAGCAGATTTGAAACACTCTATTTGTGCAATTTCCAAGTGTAGATTTCAAGCGCTTTAAGGTCAACGGCAGAAAAGGAAATATCTTCGTTTCAAAACTAGACAGAATGATTCTGAGAAACTCCTTTGTGATGTGTGCGTTCAACTCCCACAGTTTAACCTTTCTTTTCATAGAGCAGTTAGGAAACACTCTGTTTGTAAAGTCTGCAAGTGGATATTCAGGACCTCCTTGAGGCCTTCGTTGGAAACGGGATTTCTTCATATTATGCTAGACAGAAGAATTCTCAGTAACTTCCTTGTGTTGTGTGTATTCAACTCACAGAGTTGAACGATCCTTTACACAGAGCAGACTTGAAACACTCTTTCTGTGGAATTTGCAAGTGGAGATTTCAGGCGCTTTGAGGTCAATAGTAGAAAAGGAAATATCTTCGTAGAAAAACTAGACAGAATGATTCTCAGAAACTCCTTTGTGATGTGTGTGTTCAACTCACAGAGTTTAACCTTTCTTTTCATAGAGCAGTTAGTAAACAGTCTGTTTATAAAGTCTGCAAGTGGATATTCAGACCCCTTTGAGGCCTTCGTTGGAAACGGGATTTCTTCATATTATGCTAGACAGAAGAATTCTCAGTAACTTCCTTGTGTTGTGTGTATTCAACTGACGGAGTTGAACTATCATTTAGAGAGAGCAGATTTGAAACACTGTTTTTGTGGAATTTGCAAGTGGAGATTTCAAGCGCTTTGGGGCCAAAGGCAGAAAAGGAAATATCTTCGTATAAAAACTAGACAGAATCATTCTCAGAAACTGCTCTGCGATGTGTGCGTTCAACTCTCAGAGTTTAACTTTTCTTTTCATTCAGCAGTTTGGAAACACTCTGTTTGTAAAGTCTGCATGTGGATATTTTGACCACTTAGAGGCCTTCGTTGGAAACGGGTTTTTTTCCTGTAAGGCTAGACAGAAGAATTCCCAGTAACTTCCTTGTGTTGTGTACATTCAACTCACAGAGTTGAACGTTCCCTTAGACAGAGCAGATTTGAAACACTCTTTTTGTGCAATTGGCAAATGGAGATTTCAAGCGCTTGAAGGTCAATGGCAGAAAAGGAAATATCTTCGTTTCAAAACTAGACAGAATCATTCCCACAAACTGCGTTGTGATGTGTGCGTTCAACTCAAAGAGTTTAACCTTTCTTTTCATAGAGCAGTTAGGAAACACTCTGTTTGTAAAGTCTGCAAGTGGATATTCAGACCTCCTTGAGGCCTTCGTTGGAAACGGGATTTCTTCATATTCTGCTAGACAGAATAATTCTCAGTAACTTCATTGTGTTGTGTGTATTCAACTCACAGAGTTGAAGGATCCTTTACAGAGAGCAGGCTTGAAACACTCTTTTTGTCGAATTTGCAAGTGGAGATTTCAGCCGCTTTGAGGTCAATGGTAGAATAGGAAATATCTTCTTATAGAAACTAGACAGAATGATTCTCAGAAACTCCTTTGTGATGTGTGTGTTCAACTCACAGAGTTTAACCTTTCTTTTCATAGAGCAGTTAGTAAACACTCTGTTTATAAAGTCTGCAAGTGGATATTCAGACCCCTTTGAGGCCTTCGTTGGAAACGGGATTTCGTCATATTATGCTAGACAGAAGAATTCTCAGTAACTTCCTTGTGTTGTGTGTATTCAACTCACAGAGTTGAACGATCCTTTACACAGAGCAGATTAGAAACACTCTTTTTGTGGAATTTGCAGGTGGAGATTTCAGCCGCTTTGAGGTCAATAGTAGAAAAGGGAATATCTTCGTATAAAAACTAGACAGAAATCATTCTCAGAAACTGCTCTGCGATGTGTGCGTTCAACTCTCAGGAGTTTAACTTTTCTTTTCATTCAGCAGTTTGGAAACACTCTGTTTGTAAAGTCTGCACGTGGATATTTTGACCACTTAGAGGCCTTCGTTGGAAACGGGTTTTTTTCCTGTAAGGCTAGACAGAAGAATTCCCAGTAACTTCCTTGTGTTGTGTACATTCAACTCACAGAGTTGAACGTTCCCTTAGACAGAGCAGATTTGAAACACTCTTTTTGTGCAATTGGCAAATGGAGATTTCAAGCGCTTTAAGTTCAATGGCAGAAAAGGAAATATCTTCGTTTCAAAAGTAGACAGAATGATTCTCAGAAACTCCTTTGTGATGTGTGCGTGCAACTCACAGAGTTTAACTTTTCTTTTCATAGAGCAGTTAGGAAACACTCTGTTTGTAAAGTCTGTAAGTGGATATTCTGACATCTTGTGGCCTTCGTTGGAAACGGGATTTCTTCATATTCTGCTAGACAGAAGAGTTCTCAGTAACTTCCTTGTGTTGTGTGTATTCAACTCACAGAGTTGAACGATCCTTTACACAGAGCAGACTTGAAACACTCTTTTTGTGGAATTTGCAAGTGGAGATTTCAGCCGCTTTGAGGTCAATAGTAGAAAAGGAAATATCTTCGTAGAAAAACTAGACAGAGTGATTCTCAGAAACTCCTTTGTGATGTCTGCGTTCAACTCACAGAGTTTAACGTTTCTTTTCATAGAGCAGTTAGGAAACACTCTGATTGTAAAGTCTGCAAGTGGATATTCAGACCTCCTTGAGGCCTTCGTTGGATACGGGATTTCTTCATATTCTGCTATACAGAAGAATTCTCAGTAACTTCCTTGTGTTGTGTGTATTCAACTGACATAGCTGAACTTTCATTTAGAGAGAGCAGATTTGAAACACTGTTTTTGTGGAATTTGCAAGTGGAGATTTCAAGCGCTTTGGGGCCAAAGGCAGAAAAGGAAATATCTTCGTATAAAAACTAGACAGAATCATTCTCAGAAACTGCTGCGTGATGTGTGCGTTCAACTCTCAGAGTTTAACTTTTCTTTTCATTCAGCGGTTTGGAAACACTCTGTTTGTAAAGTCTGCACGTGGGTATTTTGACCACTTAGAGGCCTTCGTTGGAAACGGGTTTTTTTCATGTAAGGATAGACAGAAGAATTCCCAGTAACTTCCTTGTGTTGTGTGCATTCAACTCACAGAGTTGAACGTTCCCTTAGACAGAGCAGATTTGAAACACTCTATTTGTGCAATTTGCAAGTGTAGATTTCAAGCGCTTTAAGGTCAACGGCAGAAAAGGAAATATCTTCGTTTCAAAACTAGACAGAATCATTCCCACAAACTGCGTTGTGATCTGTTCGTTCAACTCACAGAGTTTAACCTTTCTGTTCATAGAGCAGTTAGGAAACACTCTGTTTGTAAAGTCTGTAAGTGGATATTCTGACATCTTGTGGCCTTCGTTGGAAACGGGATTTCTTCATATTCTGCTAGACAGAAGAATTCTCAGAAACTTCCTTGTGTTGTGTGTTTTCAACTCACAGAGTTGAACGATGCTTTACACAGAGCAGACTTGAAACACTCATTTTGTGGAATTTGCAAGGGGAGATTTCAGCCGCTTTGAGGTCAATGGTAGAATAGGAAATATCTTCCTATAGAAACTAGCCAGAATGATTCTCAGAAACTCCTTTGTGATGTGTGCGTTCAACTCACGGAGTTTAACCTTTCTTTTCATAGAGCAGTTAGGAAACACTCTGTTTGTAAAGTCTGCAAGTGGATATTCAGACATCCTTGAGGCTTTCGTTGGAAACGGGATTTCTTCATATTCTGCTAGAAAGAAGAATTCCCAGTAACTTCCTTGTGTTGTGTGTGTTCAACTCACAGAGTTGAACTTTCATTTACACAGAGCAGATTTGAAACACTCTTTTTGTGGAATTTGCAAGTGGAGATTTCAAGCGCTTTGAGACCAAAGGCAGAAAAGGAAATATCTTCGTTTCAAAACAAGACAGAATCATTCTCAGAAACTGCTGCGTGATGTGTGCGTTCAACTCTCAGAGTTTAACTTTTCTTTTCATTCAGCGGTTTGGAAACACTCTGTTTGTAAAGTCTGCACGTGGAAATTTTGACCACTTAGAGGCCTTCGTTGGAAACGGGATTTTTTCATGTAAGGCTAGACAGAAGAATTCCCAGTAACTTCCTTGTGTTGTGTGCATTCAACTCACAGAGTTGAACGTTCCTTAGACACAGCAGATTTGAAACACTCTATTTGTGCAATTTGCAAGTGTAGATTTCAAGCGCTTTAAGGTCAATGGCAGAAAAGGAAATATCTTCGTTTCAAAACTAGACAGAATCATTCCCACAAACTGCGTTGTGATGTGTTCGTTCAACTCACAGAGTTTAACCTTTCTTTTCATAGAGCAGTGAGGAAACAGTCTGTTTGTCAATTCTGTAAGTGGATATTCTGACATCTTGTGGCCTTCGTTGGAAACTGGATTTCTTCATATTCTGCTAGACAGAATAATTCTCAGTAACTTCCTTGTGTTGTGTGTATTCAACTCACAGAGTTGAACGATCCTTTACACAGAGCAGACTTGAAACACTCTTTTTGTGGGATTTGCAAGTGGAGATTTCAGCCGCTTTGAGGTCAATGGTAGAATAGGAAATATCTTCCTATAGAAACTAGACAGAATGATTCTCAGAAACTCCTTTGTGATGTGTGTGTTCAACTCACAGAGTTTAACCTTTCTTTTCATAGAGCAGTTAGGAAACACTCTGTTTGTAAAGTCTGCAAGTGGATATTCAGACCTCGTTGAGGCCTTCGTTGGAAACGGGATTTCTTCATATTCTGCTAGACAGAAGAATTCCCAGCTAACTTCCATGTGTTGTGTGTGTTCAACTCACAGAGTTGAACTTTCATTTACACAGAGCAGATTTGAAACACTCTTTTTGTGGAATTTGCAAATGGAGATTTCAAGCGCTTTGAGGCCAAAGGCAGAAAAGGAAATATCTTCGTATAAAAACTAGACAGAAATCATTCTCAGTAAACTGCTGCGTGATGTGTGCGTTCAACTCTCAGAGTTTAACTTTTCTTTTCATTCAGCGGTTTGGAAACACTCTGTTTGTAAAGTCTGCACGTGGAAATTTTGACCACTTAGAGGCCTTCGTTGGAAACGGGTTTTTTTCATGTAAGGCTAGACAGAAGAATTCTCAGTAACTTCCTTGTGTTGTGTGTATTCAACTCACAGAGTTGAACGATCCTTTACACAGAGCAGACTTGAAACACTCTTTTTGTGGAATTTGCAAGTGGAGATTTCAGCCGCTTTGAGGTCAATGGTAGAAAAGGAAATATCCTCGTATAGAAACAAGACAGAATGATTCTCAGAAACTCCTTTGTGATGTTTGCGTTCAACTCACAGAGTTTAACCTTTCTTTTCATAGAGCAGTTAGGAAACACACTGTTTATAAAGTCTGCAAGTGGATATTCAGACCTCCTTGAGGCCTTCGTTGGAAACGGGATTTCTTCATATTCTGCTAGACAGAAGAATTCCCAGTAACTTCCTTGTGTTGTGTGTATTCAACTCACAGAGTTGAACGATCCTTTACACAGAGCAGACTTGAAACACTCTTTTTGTTGAATTTGCAAGTGGAGATTTCAGCCGCTTTGAGGTCAATGGTAGAATAGGAAATATCTTCCTATAGAAACTAGACAGAATGATTCTCAGAAACTCGTTTGTGATGTGTGTGTTCAACTCACAGAGTTTAACCTTTCTTTTCATAGAGCCGTTAGTAAACACTCTGTTTATAAAGTCTGCATGTGGATATTCAGACCCCTTTGAGGCCTTCGTTGGAAACGGGATTTCTTCATATTATGCTAGACAGAAGATTTCTAAGTAACTTCCTTGTGTTGTGTGTATTCAACTGACAGAGTTTAACTTTCATTTAGAGAGAGCAGATTTGAAACACTGTTTTCGTGGAATTTGCAATTGGAGATTTCAAGCGCTTTGGGGCCAAAGGCAGAAAAGGAAATATCTTCGTATAAAAACTAGACAGAATCATTCTCAGAAACTGCTCTGCGATGTGTGCGTTCAACTCTCAGAGTTTAACTTTTCTTTTCATTCAGCAGTTTGGAAACACTCTGTTTCTAAAGTCTGCACGTGGATAATTTGACCACTTAGAGGCCTTCGTTGGAAACGGGTTTTTTTCATGTAAGGCTAGACAGAAGAATTCCCAGTAACTTCCTTGTGTTGTGTGCATTCAACTCACAGAGATGAACATTCCCTTAGACAGAGCAGATTTGAAACACTCTATTTGTGTAATTTGCAAGTGTAGATTTCAAGCGATTTAAGGTCAATGGCCGAAAAGGAGATATCTTCGTTTCAAAACTAGACAGAATGATTCTCTGAAACTCCTTTGTGATGTGTGCGTTCAACTCACAGAGTTTAACCTTTCTTTTCATAGAGCAGTTAGGAAACACTCTGTTTGAAAAGTCTGCAAGTGGATATTCAGACCTCTTTGAGGCCTTCGTTGGAAACGGGATTTCTTCATATTATGCTAGACAGAAGAATTCTCAGTAACTTCCTTGTGTTGTGTGTATTCAACTCACAGAGTTGAACGATCCTTTACACAGAGCAGACTTGAAACACTCTTTTTGTGGAATTTGCAATTTGAGATTACAGCCGCTTTGAGGTCAATAGTAGAAAAGGAAATATCTTCGTAGAAAAACTAGACAGAATGATTCTCAGAAACTCCTTTATGATGTGTGTGTTCAACTCACAGAGTTTAACCTTTCTTTTCATAGAGCAGTTAGTAAACACTCTGTTTATAAAGTCTGCAAGTGGATATTCAGATCCCTTTGTGGCCTTCGTTGGAAACGGGATTTCTTCATATTATGCTAGACAGAAGAATTCCCAGTAACTTCCCTTGTGTTGTGTGTGTTCAACTCACAGAGTTGAACTTTGATTTACACAGAGCAGATTTGAAACACTCTTTTTGTGGAATTTGCAAGTGGAGATTTCAAGCGCTTTGAGGCCAAAGGCAGAAAAGGAAATATCTTCGTATAAAAACTAGACAGAATCATTCTCAGAAACTGCTGCGTGATGTGTGCGTTCAACTCTCAGAGTTTAACTTTTCTTTTCATTCAGCGGTTTGGAAACACTCTGTTTGTAAAGTCTGCAAGTGGATATTTTGACCACTTAGAGGCCTTCGTTGGAAACGGGTTTTTTTCACGTAAGGCTAGACAGAAGAATTCCCAGTAACTTCCTTGTGTTGTGTGCATTCAACTCACAGAGTTGAACGTTCCCTTAGACAGAGCAGATTTGAAACACTCTATTTGTGCAATTGGCAAGTGTAGATTTCAAGCGCTTTAAGGTCAATGGCAGAAAAGGAAATATCGTCGTTACAAAACTAGACAGAATGATTCTCAGAAACTTCTTTGTGATGTGTGCGTTCAACTCACAGAGTTTAACCTTTCTTTTCATAGAGCAGTTAGGAAACAGTCTGTTTGTCAATTCTGTAAGTGGATATTCTGACATCTTGTGGCCTTCGTTGGAAACGGGATTTCTTCATATTCTGCTAGACAGAAGAATTCTCAGTAACTTCCTTGTGTTGTGTGTATTCAACTCACAGGAGTTGAACGATCCTTTACACAGAGCAGACTTGAAACACTCTTTTTGTGGAATTTGCAAGTGGAGATTTCAGCCGCTTTGAGGTCAATGGTAGAAAAGGAAATATCTTCGTATAAAAACTAGACAGAATGATTCTCAGAAACTCCTTTGTGATGTGTGTGTTCAACTCACAGAGTTTAACCTTTCTTTTCATAGAGCAGTTAGTAAACACTCTGTTTATAAAGTCTGCAAGTGGATATTCAAACCCCTTTGAGGCCTTCGTTGGAAACGGGATTTCTTCATATTCTGCTAGACAGAAGGATTCCCAGTAACTTCCTTGTGTTGTGTGTGTTCAACTCACAGAGTTGAACTTTCATTTACAAAGAGCAGATTTGAAACACTCTTTTTGTGGAATTTGCAAGTGGAGATTTCAAGCGCTTTGAGGCCAAAGGCAGAAAAGGAAATATCTTCGTATAAAAACTAGACAGAATCATTCTCAGAAACTGCTCTGCGATGTGTGCGTTCAACTCTCAGATTTTAACTTTTCTATTCATTCAGCAGTTTGGAAACACTCTGTTTGTAACGTCTGCACGTGGATAATTTGACCACTTAGAGGCCTTCGTTGGAAACGGGTTTTTTTCATGTAAGGCTAGACAGAAGAATTCTCAGTAACTTCCTTGTGTTGTGTGCATTCAACTCAAAGAGTTGAACGTTCCCTTAGACAGAGCAGATTTGAAACACTCTACTTGTGCAATTTGCAAGTGTAGATTTCAAGCGCTTTAAGGTCAATGACAGAAAAGGAAATATCTTCGTTTCAAAACTAGACAGAATCATTCCCAGAAACTGCGTTGTCATGTGTTCGTTCAACTCACAGAGTTTAACCTTTCTGTTCATAGAGCAGTTAGGAAACACTCTGTAAAGTTTGTAAGTGGATATTCTGACATCTTGTGGCCTTCGTTGGAAACGGGATTTCTTCATATTCTGCTAGACAGAAGAATTCTCAGTAACTTCCTTGTGTTGTGTGTATTCAACTCACAGAGTTGAACGATCCTTTTCACAGAGCAGACTTGAAACACTCTTTTTGTGGAATTTGCAAGTGGAGATTTCAGCCGCTTTGAGGTCAATGGTAGAAAAGGAAATATCTTCGTATAAAGACTAGACTGAAAGATTCTCAGAAACTCCTTTGTGATGTGTGTGTTCAACTCACAGAGTTTAACATTTCTTTTCGTAGTGCAGTTAGTAAACACTCTGTTTATAAAGTCTGCAAGTGGATATTCAGACCCCTTTGAGGCCTTCGTTGGAAACGGGATTTCTTCATATTCTGCTAGACAGAAGAATTCTCAGTAACTTCCTTGTGTTGGGTGTATTCAACTGACAGAGTTGAACTTTCATTTAGAGAGAGCAGATTTGAAACACTGTTTTTGTGGAATTTGCAAGTGGAGATTTCAAGCGCTTTGGGGCCAAAGGCAGAAAAGGAAATATCTTCGTATAAAAACTAGACAGAATCATTCTCAGAAACTGCTGCGTGATGTGTGCGTTCAACTCTCAGAGTTTAACTTTTCTTTTCATTCAGCGGTTTGGAAACACTCTGTTTGTAAAGTCTGCACGTTGATATTTTGACCACTTAGAGGCCTTCGTTGGAAACGGGTTTTTTTCATATAAGGCTAGATAGAAGAATTCCCAGTAACTTCCTTGTGTTGTGTGCATTCAACTCACAGAGTTGAACGTTCCCTTAGACAGAGCAGATTTGAAACACTCTATTTGTGCAATTTGCAAGTGTAGATTTCAAGTGTTTAAGGTCAATGGCAGAAAAGGAAATATCTTCGTTTCAAAACTAGACAGAATCATTCCCACAAACTGCGTTGTGATGTGTTCTTTCAACTCACAGAGTTTAACCTTTCTGTTCATAGAGCAGTTAGGAAACACTCTGTTTGTAAAGTCTGTAAGTGGATATTCTGACATCTTGTGGCCTTCGTTGGAAACGGGATTTCTTCATATTCTGCTAGACAGAAGAATTCTCAGTAACTTCCTTGTGTTGTGTGTATTCAACTCACAGAGTTGAACGACCCTTTACACAGAGCAGACTTGTAACACTCTTTTTGTGGAATTTGCAAGTGGAGATTTCAGCCACTTTGAAGTCAAAGGTAGAAAAGGAAATAACTTCCTATAAAAACTAGACAGAATGATTCTCAGAAACTCCTTTGTGATGTGTGCGTTCAACTCACAGAGTTTAACCTTTCTTTTCATAGAGCAGTTAGGAAACACTCTGTTTGTAAAGTCTGCAAGTGGATATTCAGACCTCTTTGAGGCCTTCGTTGGAAATGGGTTTTTTTCATATAAGGCTAGACAGAAGAATTCCCAGTAACTTCCCTTGTGTTGTGTGTGTTCAACTCACAGAGTTGAACTTTCATTTACACAGAGCAGATTTGAAACACTCTTTTTGTGGAATTTGCAAATGGAGATTTCAAGCGCTTTGAGGCCAAAGGCAGAAAAGGAAATATCTTCGTATAAAAACTAGACAGAATCGTTCTCAGAAACTGCTCTGCGATGTGTGCGTTCAACTCTCAGAGTTTAACTTTTCTTTTCATTCAGCAGTTTGGAAACACTCTGTTTGTAAAGTCTGCATGTGGATAATTTGACCACTTAGAGGCCTTCGTTGGAAACGGGTTTTTTTCATGTAAGGCTAGACAGAAGAATTCCCAATAACTTCCTTGTGTTGTGTGCATTCAACTCACAGAGTTGAACGTTCTTTTAGACAGAGCAGATCGGAAACAATCTTTTTGTGCAATTTGCAGGTGGAGATTTCAAGCGCTTTAAGGTCAATGGCAGAAAAAGATATATATCTTCATTTCAAAACTAGACAGAATCATTCCCACAAACTGCGTTCTGATGTGTTCGTTCAACTCACAGAGTTTAACCTTTCTTTTCATAGAGCAGTTAGGAAACAGTCTGTTTGTCAATTCTGTAAGTGGATATTCTGACATCTTGTGGCCTTCGTTGGAAACGGGATTTCTTCATATTCTGCTAGACAGAAGAATTCTCAGTAACTTCCGCGTGTTGTGTGTATTCAACTCACAGAGTTGAACGATCCTTTACACAGAGCAGAGTTGAAACACTCTTTTTGTGGAATTTGCAAGTGGAGATTTCAGCCGCTTTGAGGTCAATGGTAGAAAAGGAAATATCTTCGTATAAAAACTAGACAGAGATGATTCTCAGAACTCCTTTGTGATGTGTGCGTTCAACTCACAGAGTTTAACCTTTCTTTTCATAGAGCAGTTAGGAAACACTCTGTTTGTAAAGTCTGCAAGTGGATATTCAGACCTCTTTGAGGCCTTCGTTGGAAACGGGTTTTTTTCCTATAAGGCTAGACAGAGAATTCTCAGTAACTTCCTTGTGTTGTGTGTATTCAACTGACAGAGTTGAACTTTCATTTAGAGAGAGCTGATTTGAAACACTGTTTTTGTGGAATTTGCAAGTGGAGATATCAAGCGCTTTGGGGCCAAAGGCAGAAAAGGAAATATCTTCGTATAAAAACTAGACAGAATCATTCTCAGAAACTGCTGCGTGATGTGTGCGTTCAACTCTCAGAGTTTAACTTTTCTTTTCATTCAGCGGTTTGGAAACACTCTGTTTGTAAAGACTGCACGTGGATATTTTGACCACTTAGAGGCCTTCGTTGGAAACGGGTTTTTTTTCATGTAAGGCTAGACAGAAGAATTCCCAGTAACTTCCTTGTGTTGTGTGCATTCAACTCACAGAGTTGAACGTTCCCTTAGACAGAGCAGATTTGAAACACTCTATTTGTGCAATTTGCAAGTGTAGTTTTCAAGCTCTTTAAGGTCAACGGCAGAAAAGGAAATATCTTCGTTTCAAAACTAGACAGAATCATTCCCAGAAACTGCGTTGTGATGTGTTCGTTCAACTCACAGAGTTTAACCTTTCTTTTCATAGAGCAGTTAGGAAACAGTCTGTTTGTCAATTCTGTAAGTGGATATTCTGACATCTTGTGGCCTTCGTTGGAAACGGGATTTCTTCATATTCTGCTAGACAGAAGAATTCTCAGTAACTTCCTTGTGTTGTGTGTATTCTACTCACAGAGTTGAACGATCCTTTACACAGAGCAGACTTGAAACACTCTTTTTGTGGAATTTGCAAGTGGAGATTTCAGCCGCTTTGAGGTCAATGGTAGAATAGGAAATATCTTCCTATAGAAACTAGACAGAACGATTCTCAGAAACTCCTTTGTGATGTGTGCGTTCAACTCACAGAGTTTAACTTTTCTTTTCATAGAGCAGTTAGGAAACACTCTGTTTGTAAAGTCTGCAAGTGGATATTCAGACCTCTTTGAGGCCTTCGTTGGAAACGGGATTTCTTCATATTCTGCTAGACAGAAGAATTCTCAGTAACTTCCTTGTGTTGTGTGTATTCAACTGACAGAGTTGAACTTTCATTTAGAGAGAGCAGATTTGAAACACTGTTTTTGTGGAATTTGCAAGTGGTGACTTCAAGCGCTTTGGGGCCAAACGCAGAAAAGGAAATATCTTCGTATAAAAACTAGACAGAATCATTCTCAGAAACTGCTGCGTGATGTGTGCGTTCAACTCTCAGACTTTAACTTTTCTTTTCATTCAGCGGTTTGGAAACACTCTGTTTGTAAAGTCTGCACGTGGATATTTTGACCACTTAGAGGCCTTCGTTGGAAACGGGTTTTTTTCATATAAGGCTAGACAGAAGAATTCCCAGGAACTTCCTTGTGTTGTGCACATTCAACTCACAGAGTTGAACGTTCCCTTAGACAGAGCAGATTTGAAACACTCTTTTTGTGCAATTGGCAAGTGGTGATTTCAGCCGCTTTGAGGTCAATGGTAGAAAAGGAAATATCTTCGTATAAAAACTAGACAGAATCATTCCCACAAACTGCGTTGTGATGTGTTCGTTCAACTCACAGAGTTTAACCTTTCTTTTCATAGAGCAGTTAGGAAACACTCTGTTTGTAAATTCTGTAAGTGGATATTCTGACATCTTTTGGCCTTCGTTGGAAACGGGATTTCTTCATATTCTGCTAGACAGAAGAATTCTCAGAATCTTCCTTG
The DNA here is from genome assembly GCF_000001405.40 of Homo sapiens. NCBI lineage: Eukaryota > Metazoa > Chordata > Mammalia > Primates > Hominidae > Homo > Homo sapiens. Next base: position 26,432,682 of record NC_000019.10, read on the forward strand.
TGTTGTGTGTCTTCAACTCACAGAGTTGAACGTTGGTTTACACAGAGCAGATTTGAAACACTCTTTTTGTGGAATTTGCAAGTGGAGATTTCAGCCGCTTTGAGGTCAATGGTAGAAAAGGAAATGTCTTCGTATAAAAACTAGACAGAATGATTCTCAGAAACTCCTTTGTGATGTGTGCGTTCAACTCACAGAGTTTAACCTTTCTTTTCATAGAGCAGTTAGGAAACACTGTGTTTGTAAAGTCTGCAAGTGGATATTCAGACCTCTTTGAGGCCTTCGTTGGAAACGGGATTTTTTCATATAAGGCTAGACAGAAGAATTCCCAGTAACTTCCTTGTGTTGTGTTTGTTCAACTCACAGAGTTGAACTTTCATTTACCCAGAGCAGATTTGAAACACTCTTTTTGTGGAATTTGCAAGTGGAGATTTCAAGCGCTTTGAGGCCAAAGGCAGAAAAGGAAATATCTTCGTTTCAAAACTAGACAGAATCATTCTCAGAAACTGCTCTGCGATGTGTGCGTTCAACTCTCAGAGTTTAACTTTTCTTTTCATTCAGCAGTTTGGAAACACTCTGTAAAGTCTGCACGTGGATATTTTGACCATTTAGAGGCTTTCGTTGGAAACGGGTTTTTTTCTTGTAAGGCTAGACAGAAGAATTCCCAGTAACTTCCTTGTGTTGTGTGCATTCAACTCACAGAGTTGAACGTTCCCTTAGACAGAGCAGATTTGAAACACTCTATTTGTGCAATTTGCAAGTGTAGATTTCAAGCGCTTTAAGGTCAATGGCAGAAAAGGAAATTTCTTCGTTTTAAAACTAGACAGAATGATTCTCAGAAAATCTTTTGTGATGTGTGCGTTCAACTCACAGAGTGTAACTTTTCTTCTCATAGAGCAGTTAGGAAACACTCTGTTTGTAAAGTCTGCAAGTGGATATTCAGACCTCTTTGAGGTCTTCGTTGGAAACGGGATTTCTTCATATTATGCTAGACAGAAGAATTCTCAGTAACTTCCTTGTGTTGTGTGTATTCAACTCACCGAGTTGAACGATCCTTTACACAGAGCAGACTTGAAAGACTCTTTTTGTGGAATTTGCAAGTGGAGATTTCAGCCGCTTTGAGGTCAATGGCAGAAAAGGAAATATCTTCCTATAGAAACTAGACAGAATGATTCTCAGAAACTTCTTTGTGATGTGTGCGTTCAACTCACAGAGTTTAACCTTTCTTTTCATGGAGCAGTTAGGAAACACTCTGTTTGTAAACTCTGCAAGTGGATATTCAGACCTCTTTGAGGCCTTCGTTGGAAACGGGATTTCTTCATACTGTGCTAGACAGAAGAATTCCCAGTAACTTCCTTGTGTTGTGTGTGTTCAACTCACAGAGTTGAACTTTCATTTACAGAGAGCAGATTTGAAACACTCTTTTTGTGGAATTTGCAAGTGGAGATTTCAAGCGCTTTGAGGCCAAAGGCAGAAAAGGAAATATCTTCGTATAAAAACTAGACAGAATCATTCTCAGAAACTGCTGCGTGATGTGTGCGTTCAACTCTCAGAGTTTAACTTTTCTTTTCATTCAGCGGTTTGGAAACACTCTGTTTGTAAAGTCTGCACGTGGAAATTTTGACCACTTAGAGGCCTTCGTTGGAAACGGGTTTTTTTCATGTAAGGCTAGACAGAAGAATTCCCAGTAACTTCGTTGTGTTGTGTACATTCAACTCACAGAGTTGAACGTTCCCTTAGACAGAGCAGATTTGAAACACTCTTTTTGTGCAATTGGCAAGTGGAGATTTCAAGCGCTTTAAGGTCAATGGCAGAAAAGGAAATATCTTCGTTTCAAAACTAGACAGAATCATTCCCACAAACTGCGTTGTGATGTGTTCGTTCAACTCACAGAGTTTAACCTTTCTTTTCATAGAGCAGTTAGGAAACACTCTGTTGGTAAATTCTGTAAGTGGATATTCTGACATCTTGTGGCCTTCGTTGGAAACGGGATTTCTACATATTCTGCTAGACAGAAGAATTCTCAGAAACTTCCTTGTGTTGTGTGTTTTCAACTCACAGATTTGAACGATGCTTTACAAAGAGTAGACTTGAAACACTCTTTTTGTGGAATTTGCAAGTGGAGATTTCAGCCGCTTTGAGGTCAATGGTAGAATAGGAAATATCTTCCTATAGAAACTAGACAGAATGATTCTCAGAAAATCCTTTGTGATGCGTGCGTTCAACTCACAGAGTTTAACTTTTCTTTTCATAGAGCAGTTAGGAAACACTCTGTAAAGTCTGCAAGTGGATATTGAGACCCCTTTGAGGCCCTCGTTGGAAACGTGATTTCTTCATATTCTGCTAGACAGAAGAATTCCCAGTAACTTCCTTGTGTTGTGTGTGTTCAACTCACAGAGTTGAACGTTCCCTTAGACAGAGGAGATTTGAAACACTCTTTTTGTGGAATTTGCAAGTGGAGATTTCAAGCGCTTTGAGGCCAAAGGCAGAAAAGGAAATATCTTCGTATAAAAACTAGACAGAATCATTCTCAGAAACTGCTCTGTGATGTGTGCGTTCAACTCTCAGAGTTTAACTTTTCTTTTCATTCAGCAGTTTGGAAACACTCTGTTTGTAAAGTCTGCACGTGGATAATTTGACCACTTAGAGGCCTTCGTTGGAAACGGGTTTTTTTCATGTAAGGCTATACAGAAGAATTCCCAGTAACTTCCTTGTGTTGTGTACATTCAACTCACAGAGTTGAACGTTCCCTTAGACAGAACAGATTTGAAACACTCTTTTTGTGCAATTGGCAAGTGGTGATTTCAGCCGCTTTGAGGTCAATGGTAGAAAAGGAAATATCTTCGTATAAAAACTAGACAGAATGATTCTCAGACACTCCTTTGTGATGTGTGCGTTCAACTCACAGAGTTTAACCTTTCTTTTCATAGAGCAGTTAGGAAACACTCTGTTTGTAAAGTCTGCAAGTGGATATTCAGACCTCTTTGAGGCCTTCGTTGGAAACGGGATTTCTTCATATTATGCTAGACAGAAGAATTCTCAGTAACTTCCTTTTGTTGTGTGTATTCAACTCACAGAGTTGAACGATCCTTTACACAGAGCAGACTTGAAACACTCTTTTTGTGGAAATTGCAAGTGGAGATTTCAGCCGCTTTGAGGTCAATGGTAAAAAAGGAAATATCTTCGTATAAAAACTAGACAGAATGATTCTCAGAAACTCCTTTGTGATTTGTGTGTTCAACCCACAGAGTTTAACATTTCTTTTCATAGAGCAGTTAGGAAACACTCTGTTTGTAAAGTCTGCAAGTGGATATTCAGACCTCTTTGAGGCCTTCGTTGGAAACGGGTTTTTTTCATATAAGGCTAGACAGAAGAATTCCCAGTAACTTCCTTGTGTTGTGTGTGTTCAACTCACAGAGTTGAACTTTCATTTACACAGAGCAGATTTGAAACACTCTTTTTGTGGAATTTGCAAGTGGAGATTTCAAGCGCTTTGAGGCCAAAGGCAGAAAAGGAAATATCTTCGTTTCCAAACTAGACAGAATCATTCTCAGAAACTGCTCTGTGATGTGTGCGTTCAACTCTCAGAGTTTAACTTTTCTTTTCATTCAGCAGTTTGGAAACACTCTGTTTCTAAAGTCTGCACGTGGATAATTTGACCACTTAGAGGCCTTCGTTGGAAACGGGTTTTTTTCATGTAAGGCTAGACAGAAGAATTCCCAGTAACTTCCTTGTGTTGTGTGCATTCAACTCACAGAGTTGAACGTTCCCTTAGACAGAGCAGATTTGAAACAGCCTATTTGTGCAATTTGCAAGTGTAGATTTCAAGCTCTTTAAGGTCAACGGCAGAAAAGGAAATATCTTCGTTTCAAAACTAGACAGAATTATTCCCACAAACTGCGATGTGATGTGTTCGGTCAACTCACAGAGTTTAACCTTTCTGTTCATAGAGCAGTTAGGAAACACTCTGTTTGTAAAGTCTGTAAGTGGATATTATGACATCATGTGGCCTTCTTTGGAAACGGGATTTCTTCATATTATGCTAGACAGAAGAATTCTCAGTAACTTCCTTGTGTTGTGTGTATTCAACTCACAGAGTTGAACCATCCTTTACACAGAGCAGACTTGAAACACTCTTTTTGTGGAATTTGCAAGTGGAGATTTCAGCCGCTTTGAGGTCAATAGTAGAAAAGGAAATATCTTCGTAGAAAAACTAGACAGAATGATTCTCAGAAACTCCTTTGTGATGTGGGTGTTCAACTCACAGGGTTTAACCTTTCTTTTCATAGAGCAGTTAGGAAACACTCTGTTTGTAAAGTCTGCAAGTGGATATTTTCACCTCTTTGAGGCCTTCGTTGGAAACGGGTTTTTTTTCATGTAAGGCTAGACAGAAGAATTCTCAGTAACTTCCTTGTGTTGTGTGTATTCAACTGACAGAGTTGGACTTTCATTTAGAGAGAGCAGATTTGAAACACTGTTTTTGTGGAATTTGCAAGTGGAGATTTCAAGCGCTTTGGGGCCAAAGGCAGAAAAGGAAATATCTTCGTATAAAAACTAGACAGAATCATTCTCAGAAACTGCTGCGTGATGTGTGCGTTCAACTCTCAGAGTTTAACTTTTCTTTTCATTCAGCGGTTTGGAAACACTCTGTTTGTAAAGTCTGCACGTGGATATTTTGACCACTTAGAGGCCTTCGTTGGAAACGGGTTTTTTTCATGTAAGGCTAGACAGAAGGAATTCCCAGTAACTTCCTTGTGTTGTGTGCATTCAACTCACAGAGTTGAACGTTCCCTTAGACAGAGCAGATTTGAAACACTCTATTTGTGCAATTTGCAAGTGTAGATTTCAAGCGCTTTAAAGTCAATGGCAGAAAAGGAAATATCTTCGTTTCAAAACTAGACAGAATCATTCCCACAAACTGCGTTGTGATGTGTTCGTTCAACTCACAGAGTTTAACCTTTCTTTTCATAGAGCACTTAGGAAACAGTCTGTTTGTAAATTCTGTAAGTGGATATTCTGACATACTTGTGGCCTTCGTTGGAAACGGGATTTCTTCATATTCTGCTAGACAGAATAATTCTCAGTAACTTCCTTGTGTTGTGTGTATTCAACTCTCAGAGTTGAACGATCCTTTACAGAGAGCAGACTTGAAACACTCTTTTTGTGGAATTTGCAAGTGGAGATTTCAGCCGCTTTGAGGTCAATGGTAGAATAGGAAATATCTTCCTATAGAAACTAGACAGAATGATTCTCAGAAACTCCTTTGTGATGTGTGCGTTCAACTCACAGAGTTTAACCTTTCTTTTCATAGAGCAGTTAGGAAACACTCTGTTTGTAAAGTCTGCAAGTGGATATTCAGACCTCTTTGAGGCCTTCGTTGGAAACGGGTTTTTTTCATGTAAGGCTAGACAGAAGAATTCCCAGTAACTTCCTTGTGTTGTGTGTGTTCAACTCACAGAGTTGAACTTTCATTTACACAGAGCAGATTTGAAACACTCTTTTTGTGGAATTTGCAAGTGGAGATTACAAGCGCTTTGAGGCCAAAGGCAGAAAAGGAAATATCTTCGTTTCAAAACTAGACAGAATAATTCTCAGAAACTGCTGCGTGATGTGTGCGTTCAACTCTCAGAGTTTAACTTTTCTTTTCATTCAGCGGTTTGGAAACACTCTGTTTGTAAAGTCTGCACGTGGATATTTTGGCCACTTAGAGGCCTTCGTTGGAAACGGGTTTTTTTCATGTAAGGCTAGACAGAAGAATTCCCAGTAACTTCCTTGTGTTGTGTGCATTCAACTCACAGAGTTGAACGTTCCCTTAGACAGAGGAGATTTGAAACACTCTATTTGTGCAATTTGCAAGTGTAGTTTTGAAGCTCTTTAAGGTCAACGGCAGAAAAGGAAATATCTTCGTTTCAAAACTAGACAGAATCATTCCCACAAACTGCGTTGTGATGTGTTCGTTCAACTCACAGAGTTTAACCTTTCTGTTCATAGAGCAGTTAGGAAACACTCTGTTGTAAAGTCTGTAAGTGGATATTCTGACATCTTGTGGCCTTCGCTGGAAACGGGATTTCTTCATATTCTGCTAGACAGAAGAATTCTCAGTAACTTCCTTGTGTTGTGTGTATTCAACTCACAGAGTTGAACGATCCTTTACACAGTGCAGACTTCAAACACTCTTTTTGTGGAATTTGCAAGTGGAGATTTCAGCCGCTTTGAGGTCAATGGTAGAAAAGGAAACTATCTTCATATAAAGACTAGACAGAATGATTCTCATAAACTCCTTTGTGATGTGTGCGTTCAACTCACAGAGTTTAACCTTTCTTTTCATAGAGCAGTTAGGAAACACTCTGTTTGTAAAGTGTGCAAGTGGATATTCAGACCTCCTTGAGGCCTTCGTTGGAAACGGGATTTCTTCATATTCTGCTAGACAGAAGAATTCTCAGTAACTTCCTTGTGTTGTGTGTATTCAACTCACAGAGTTGAACGATCCTTTACACAGAGCAGACTTGAAACACTCCTTTTGTGGAATTTGCAAGTGGAGATTTCAGCCGCTTTGAGGTCAATGGTAGAAAAGGAAACTATGTTCTTACAAAGACTAGACAGAATCATTCTCAGAAACTGCTCTGCGATGTCTGCGTTCAACTCTCAGAGTTTAACTTTTCTTTTCATTCAGCAGTTTGGAAACACTCTGTTTGTAAAGTCTGCACGTGGATATTTTGACCACTTAGAGGCCTTCGTTGGAAACGGGTTTTTTTCCTGTAAGGCTAGACAGAAGAATTCCCAGTAACTTCCTTGTGTTGTGTGCATTCAACTCACAGAGTTGAACGTTCCCTTAGACAGAGCAGATTTGAAACACTCTATTTGTCCAATTTGCAAGTGTAGATTTCAAGCGCTTTAAGGTCAACGGCAGAAAAGGAAATATCTTCGTTTCAAAACTAGACAGAATCATTCCCACAAACTGCGTTGTGATGTGTTCGTTCAACTCACAGAGTTTAACTTTTCTGTTCATAGAGCAGTTAGGAAACACCCTGTTTGTAAAGTCTGCAAGTGGATATTCAGACCTCCTTGAGGCCTTCGTTGGAAACGGGATTTCTTCATATTCTGCTAGACAGAAGAATTCTCAGTAACTTCCTTTTGTTGTGTGTATTCAACTCACAGAGTTGAACGATCCTTTACACAGAGCAGACTTGAAACACTCTTTTTGTGGAATTTGCAAGTGGAGATTTCAGCCGCTTTGAGTTCAATGGTAGAATAGGAAATATCTTTCTATAGAAACTAGACAGAATGATTCTCAGAAACTCCTTTGTGATGTGTGCGTTCAACTCACAGAGTTTAACCTTTCTTTTCATAGAGCAGTTAGGAAACACTCTGTTTGTAAAGTCTGCAAGTGGATATTCAGACATCTTTGAGGCTTTCGTTGGAAACGGGATTTCTTCATATTCTGCTAGACAGAAGAATTCTCAGAAACTTCCTTGTGTTGTGCGTTTTCAACTCACAGAGTTGAACGATCCTTTACACAGAGCAGACTTGAAACACTCCTTTTGTGGAATTTGCAAGTGGAGATTTCAGCCGCTTTGAGGTCAATGTTAGAATAGGAAATATCTTCCTATAGAAACTAGACAGAATCATTCTCAGAAACTGCTGCGTGATGTGTGCATTCAACTCTCAGAGTTTAACTTTTCTTTTCATTCAGCGGTTTGGAAACACTCTGTTTGTAAAGTCTGCACGTGGAAATTTTGACCACTTAGAGGCCTTCGTTGGAAACGGGTTTTTTTCATGTAAGGCTAGACAGAAGAATTCCCAGTAACTTCCTTGTGTTGTGTGCATTCAACTCACAGAGTTGAACGTTCCCTTAGACAGAGCAGATTTGAAACACTCTATTTGTGCAATTTCCAAGTGTAGATTTCAAGCGCTTTAAGGTCAACGGCAGAAAAGGAAATATCTTCGTTTCAAAACTAGACAGAATCATTCCCACAAACTGCGTTGTGAGGTGTTCGTTCAACTCACAGAGTTTAACCTTTCTTTTCATAGAGCAGTTAAGAAACAGTCTGTTTGTAAATTCTGTAAGTGGATATTCTGACATCTTGTGGCCTTCGTTGGAAACGGGATTTCTTCATATTCTGCTAGACAGAAGAATTCTCAGAATCTTCCTTGTGTTGTGTGTATTCAACTCACACAGTTGAACGATTGTTTACACAGAGCAGATTTGAAACACTCCTTTTGTGGAATTTGCAAGTGGAGATTTCAGCCGCTTTGAGGTCCATGGTAGAAAAGGAAATATCTTCGTATAAAAACTAGACAGAAGGATTCTCAGAAACTTCATTGTGACGTGTGCGTTCAACTCACAGAGTTTAACCTTTCTTTTCATAGAGCAGTTAGGAAACACTCTGTTTGTAAAGTCTGCAAGTGGATATTCAGACCTCTTTGAGGCCTTCGTTGGAAAAGGGATTTCTTCATACTGTGCTAGACAGAAGAATTCTCAGTAACTTCCTTGTGTTGTGTGTATTCAACTGACAGAGTTGTAATTTCGTTTAGAGAGAGCAGATTTGAAACACTGTTTTTGTGGAATTTGCAAGTGGAGATTTCAAGCGCTTTGGGGCCAAAGGCAGAAAAGGAAATATCTTCGTATAAAAACTAGACAGAGTCATTCTCAGAAACTGCTGTGTGATGTGTGCGTTCAACTCTCAGAGTTTAACTTTTCTTTTCATTCAGCGGTTTGGAAACACTCTGTTTGTAAAGTCTGCACGTGGAAATTTTGACCACTTAGAGGCCTTCGTTGGAAACGGGTTTTTTTCATGTAAGGCTAGACAGAAGAATTCCCAGTAACTTCCTTGTGTTGTGTACATTCAACTCACAGAGTTGAACGTTCCCTTAGACAGAGCAGATTTGAAACACTCTTTTTGTGCGATTGGCAAGTGGAGATTTCAAGCGCTTTGAGGTCAATGGCAGAAAAGGAAATATCTTCGTTTCAAAACTAGACAGAATGATTCTCAGAAACTCCTTTGTGATGTGTGCGTTCAACTCACAGAGTTTAACATTTCTTTTCATAGAGCAGTTAGGAAACACTTTGTTTGTAAACTCTGCAAGTGGATATTCAGACCTCATTGAGGCCTTCTTTGGAAACGGGATTTCTTCATACTATGCTAGACAGAAGAATTCTCAGTAACTTCCTTGTGTTGTGTGTATTCAACTCAAAGAGTTGAACGATCCTTTACACAGAGCAGACTTGAAACACTCTTTTTGTGGAATTTGCAATTGGAGATTTCAGCCGCGTTGAGGTCAATGGTAGAAAAGGAAATATCTTCGTATAAAAACTAGACAGAATGATTCTCAGAAACTCCTTTGTGATGTGTGTGTTCAACTCACAGAGTTTAACCTTTCTTTTCATAGAGCAGTTAGGAAACACTCTGTTTGTAAAGTCTGCAAGTGGATATTCAGACCTCTTTGGGGCCTTCGTTGGAAACGGGTTTTTTTCATGTAAGGCTAGACAGAAGAATTCTCAGTAACTTCCTTGTGTTGTGTGTATTCAACTCACAGAGTTGAACGATCCTTTACACAGAGCAGACTTGAAACACTCTTTTTGCGGAATTTGCAAGTGGAGATTTCAGCCGCTTTGAAGTCCATGGTAGAAAAGGAAATATCTTCGTATAAAAACTAGACAGAATCATTCTCAGAAACTGCTCTGCGATGTGTGCGTTCAACTCTCAGAGTTTAACTTTTCTTTTCATTCAGCAGTTTGGAAACACTCTGTTTGTAAAGTCTGCACGTGGATATTTTGACCATTTAGAGGCCTTCGTTGGAAACGGGTTTTTTTCTTGTAAGGCTAGACAGAAGAATTCCCAGGAACTTCCTTGTGTTATGTACATTCAACTCACAGAGTTGAACGTTTCCTTAGACAGAGCAGATTTGAAACACTCTTTTTGTGCAATTGGCAAGTGGTGATTTCACCCGCTTTGAGGTCAATGGTAGAAAAGGAAATATCTTCGTATAAAAACTAGACATAATCATTCCCACAAACTGCGTTGTGATGTGTTCGTTCAACTCACAGAGTTTAACCTTTCTGTTCATAGAGCAGTTAGGAAACACTCTGTTTGTAAAGTCTGTAAGTGGATATTCTGACATCTTGTGGCCTACGTTGGAAACGGGATTTCTCCATATTCTGCTAGACAGAAGAATTCTCAGTAACTTCCTTGTGTTGTGTGTATTTAACTCACAGAGTTGAACGATCCTTTACACAGAGCAGAGTTGAAACACTCTTTTTGTGGAATTTGCAAGTGGAGATTTCAGCCGCTTTGAGGTCAATGGTAGAAAAGGAAATATCTTCGTATAAAGACTAGACAGAATGATTCTCAGAAACTCCTTTGTGATGTGTGCGTTCAACACACAGAGTTTAACTTTTCTTTTCATAGAGACGTTAGTAAACACTCTGTTTATAAAGTCTGCAAGTGGATATTCAGACCCCTTTGAGGCCTTCGTTGGAAACGGGATTTCTTCATATTATGCTAGACAGAAGAATTCCGAGTAACTTCCTTGTGTTGTGTGTGTTCAACTCACAGAGTTGAACTTTCATTTACACAGAGGAGATTTGAAACACTCTTTTTGTGGAATTTGCAAGTGGAGATTTCAAGCGCTTTGAGGCCAAAGGCAGAAAAGGAAATATCTTCGTATAAAAACTAGACAGAATCATTTTCAGAAACTGCTGCGTGATGTGTGCGTTCAACTCTCAGAGTTTAACTTTTCTTTTCATTCAGCGGTTTGGAAACACTCTGTTTGTAAAGTCTGCACGTGGATATTTTGACCACTTAGAGGCTTTCGTTGGAAACGGGTTTTTTTCATGTAAGGCTAGACAGAAGAATTCCCAGTAACTTCATTGTGTTGTGTGCATTCAACTCACAGAGTTGAACGTTCCCTTAGACAGAGCAGATTTGAAACACTCTATTTGTGCAATTTGCAAGTGTAGATTTCAAGCGCTTTAAGGTCAATGGCAGAAAAGGAAATATCTTCGTTTCAAAACTAGACAGAATGATTCTCAGAACCTCCTTTGTGATGTGTGCGTTCAACTCACAGAGTTTAACCTTTCTTTTCATAGAGCAGTTAGGAAACACTCTGTTTGTAAAGTCTGCAAGTGGATATTCAGACCTCCTTGAGGCCTTCGTTGGAAACGGGATTTCTTCATATTATGCTAGACAGAATAATTCTCAGTAACTTCCTTGTGTTGTGTGTATTCAACTCACAGAGTTGAACGATCCTTTACACAGAGCAGACTTGAAACACTCTTTTTGTGGAATTTGCAAGTGGAGATTTCAGCCGCTTTGAGGTTAATGGTAGAAAAGGAAATATCTTCGTATAAAGACTAGACAGAATGATTCTCAGAAACTCCTTTGTGATGTGTGTGTTCAACTCACAGAGTTTAACCTTTCTTTTCATAGAGCAGTTAGGAAACACTCTGTTTGTAAAGTCTGCAAGTGGATATTCAGCCCTCTTTGAGGCCTTCGTTGGAAACGGGTTTTTTTCATATAAGGCTAGACAGAAGAATTCTCAGTAACTTCCTTGTGTTGTGTGTATTCAACTGACAGAGTTGAACTTTCATTTAGAGAGAGCAGATTTGAAACACTGTTTTTGTGGAATTTGCAAGTGGAGATTTCAAGCGCTTTGGGCCAAAGGCAGAAAAGGAAATATCTTCGTATAAAAACTAGACAGAATCATTCTCAGAAACTGCTGCGTGATGTGTGCGTTCAACTCTCAGAGTTTAACTTTTCTTTTCATTCAGCGGTTTGGAAACACTCTGTTTGTAAAGTCTGCAAGTGGATATTTTGACCACTTAGAGGCCTTCGTTGGAAACGGGTTTTTTTCATGTAAGGCTAGACAGAAGAATTCCCAGTAACTTCCTTGTGTTGTGTGCGTTCAACTCACAGAGTTGAACTTTCATTTACACAGAGCAGATTTGAAACACTCTTTTTGTGGAATTTGCAAATGGAGATTTCAAGCGCTTTGAGGCCAAAGGCAGAAAAGGAAATGTCTTCGTTTCAAAACTAGACAGAATCATTCCCACAAACTGCGTTGTGATGTGTTCGTTCAACTCACAGAGTTTAACCTTTCTGTTCATAGAGCAGTTAAGAAACACTCTGTTTGTAAAGTCTGCAAGTGGATATTCAGACCTCCTAGAGGCCTTCGTTGGAAACGGGATTTCTTCATATTCTGCTAGACAGAAGAATTCTCAGTAACTTCCTTGGGTTGTGTGTATTCAACTCACAGAGTTGAACGATCCTTTACACAGAGCAGACTTGAAACACTCTTTTTGTGGAATTTGCAAGTGGAGATTTCAGCCGCTTTGAGGTCAATGGTAGAAAAGGAAATATCTTCGTATAAAGACTAGACATTATGATTCTCATAAACTCCTTTGTGATGTGTGCGTTCAACTCACAGTGTTTAACCTTTCTTTTCATAGAGCAGTTAGGAAACACTCTGTTTGTAAAGTCTGCAAGTGGATATTCAGACCTCTTTGAGGCCTTCGTTGGAAACGGGATTTCTTCATATTCTGCTACACAGAAGAATTCTCAGTAACTTCCCTTGTGTTGTGTGTATTCAACTCAGAGAGTTGAACGATCCTTTACACAGAGCAGACTTGAAACACTCTTTTTGTGGAATTTGCAATTGGAGATTTCAGGCGCTTTGAGGTCAATAGTAGAAAAGGAAATATCTTCGTAGAAAAACTAGACAGAATCATTCTCAGAAACTGCTCTGCGATGTGTGCGTTCAACTCTCAGAGTTTAACTTTTCTTTTCATTCAGCAGTTTGGAAACACTCTGTTTGTAAAGTCTGCACGTGGATATTTTGACCACTTAGAGGCCTTCGTTGGAAACGGTTTTTTTTCCTGTAAGGCTAGACAGAAGAATTCCCAGTAACTTCCTTGTGTTGTGTACATTCAACTCACAGAGTTGAACGTTCCCTTAGACAGAGCAGATTTGAAACACTCTTTGTGCAATTGGCAAGTGGAGATTTCAAGCGCTTTAAGGTCAATGGCAGAAAAGGAAATATCTTCGTTTCAAAACTAGACAGAACGATTCTCAGAAACTCCTTTGTGATGTGTGCGTTCAACTCACAGAGTTTAACCTTTCTTTTCATAGAGCAGTTAGGAAACACTCTGTTTGTAAAGTCTGCAAGTGGATATTCAGACCTCTTTGAGGCCTTCGTTGGAAACGGGATTTCCTCATATTCTGCTAGACAGAAGAATTCTCAGTAACTTCCTTGTGTTGTGTGTATTCAACTCACAGAGTTGAACGATCCTTTACACAGAGCAGACTTGAAACTCTCTTTTTGTGGAATTTGCAAGTGGAGATTTCAGCCGCTTTGAGGTCAATAGTAGAAAAGGAAATATCTTCGTAGAAAAACTAGACAGAATGATTCTCAGAAACTCCTTTGTGATGTGTGCGTTCAACTCACAGAGTTTAACCTTTCTTTTCATAGAGCAGTTAGGAAACACTCTGTTTGAAAAGTCTGCAAGTGGATACTCAGACCTCCTTGAGGCCTTCGTTGGAAACGGGATTTCTTCATATTATGCTAGACAGAAGAATTCTCAGTAACTTCCTTGTGTTGTGTGTATTCAACTGACAGAGTGGAACTTTTATTTAGAGAGAGCAGATTTGAAACACTGTTTTTGTGGAATTTGCAAGTGGAGATTTCAAGCGCTATGGGGCCAAAGGCAGAAAAGGAAATATCTTTGTATAAAAACTAGACAGAATCATTCTCAGAAACTGCTCTGTGATGTGTGCGATCAACTCTCAGAGTTTAACTTTTCTTTTCATTCAGCAGTTTGGAAACACTCTGTTTGTAAAGTCTGCACGTGGATAATTTGACCACTTAGAGGCCTTCATTGGAAACGGGTTTTTTTCATGTAAGGCTAGACAGAAGAGTTCTCAGTAACTTCCTTGTGTTGTGTGTATTCAACTCACACAGTTGAACGATCCTTTACAGAGAGCAGACTTGTAACACTCTTTTTGTGGAATTTGCAAGTGGAGATTTCAGCCGCTTTGAAGTCAAAGTAGAAAAGGAAATATCTGCCTATAAAAACTAGACAGAATCATTCCCACAAACTGCGTTGTGATGTGTTCGTTCAACTCACAGAGTTTAACCTTTGTTTTCATAGAGCAGTTAGGAAACACTCTGTTTGTAAAGTCTGTAAGTGGATATTCTGACATCTTGTGGCCTTCGTTGGAAACGGGATTTCTTCATATTCTGCTAGACAGAGAATTCTCAGTAACTTCCTTGTGTTGTGTGTATTCAACTCACAGAGTTGAACGATCCTTTACACAGAGCAGACTTGAAACACTCTTTTTGTGGAATTTGCAAGTGGAGATTTCAGCCGCTTTGAGGTCAATGGTAGAATAGGAAATATCTTCCTATAGAAACTAGACAGAATGATTCTCAGAAACTACTTTGTGATGTGTGCGTTCAACTCACAGAGTTTAACCTTTCTTTTCATAGAGCAGTTAGGAAACACTCTGTTTGTAAAGTCTGCAAGTGGATATTCAGACCTCTTTGAGGCCTTCGTTGGAAACGGGATTTCTTCATATTCTGCTAGACAGAAGAATTCCCAGTAACTTCCTTGTGTTGTGTGTGTTCAACTCACGGAGTTGAACTTTGATTTACACAGAGCAGATTTGAAACACTCTTTTTGTGGAATTTGCAAGTGGAGATTTCAAGCGCTTTGAGGCCAAAGGCAGGAAAGGGAATATCTTCATATAAAAACTAGACAGAATCATTCTCAGAAACTGCTCTGCGATGTGTGCGTTCAACTCTCAGAGTTTAACTTTTCTTTTCATTCAGCAGTTTGGAAACACTCTGTAAAGTCTGCACGTGGATATTTTGACCACTTAAAGGCGTTCGTTGGAAACGGGTTTTTTTCCTGTAAGGCTAGACAGAAGAATTCCCAGTAACTTCCTTGTGTTGTGTACATTCAACTCACAGAGTTGAACGTTCCCTTAGACAGAGCAGATTTGAAACACTCTTTTTGTGCAATTGGCAAGTGGAGATTTCAAGCGCTTTGAGGTCAATGGCAGAAAAGGAAATATCTTCGTTTCAAAACTAGACAGAATCATTCCCACAAACTGCGTTGTGATGTGTTCGTTCAACTCACAGTTTAACCTTTCTGTTCATAGAGCAGTTAGGAAACACTCTGTTTGTAAAGTCTGTAAGTGGATATTCTGACATCTTGTGGCCTTCGTTGGAAACGGGATTTCTTCATATTCTGCTAGACAGAAGAATTCTCAGTAACTTCCTTTTGTTGTGTGTATTCAACTCACAGAGTTGAACGATCCTTTACACAGAGCAGACTTGAAACACTCTTTTTGTGGAATTTCCAAGTGGAGATTTCAGCCGCTTTGAGGTCAATGGTAGAATAGGAAATATCTTCGTAGAAAAACTAGACAGAATGATTCTCAGAAACTCCTTTGTGATGTGTGCGTTCAACTCACAGAGTTTAACCTTTCTTTTCATAGAGCAGTTAGGAAACACTCTGTTTGTAAAGTCTGCAAGTGGATATTCAGACCTCTTTGAGGCCTTCGTTGGAAACGGGTTTTTTTCATATAAGGTTAGACAGAAGAATTCCCAGTAACTTCCTTGTGTTGTGTGTGTTCAACTCACAGAGTTGAACTTTCATTTACACAGAGCAGATTTGAAACACTCTTTTAGTGGAATTTGCAAATGGAGATTTCAAGCGCTTTGAGGCCAAAGGCAGAAAAGGAAATATCTTCGTATAAAAACTAGACAGAATCATTCTCAGAAACTGCTGCGTGATGTGTGCGTTCAACTCTCAGAGTTTAACTTTTCTTTTCATTCAGCGGTTTGGAAACACTCTGTTTGTAAAGTCTGCACGTGGATATTTTGACAACTTAGAGGCCTTCGTTGGAAACGGGTTTTTTTCATGTAAGGCTAGACAGAAGAATTCTCAGTAACTTCCTTGTGTTGTGTGTATTCAACTCACAGAGTTGAACGATCCTTTACACAGAGCAGACTTGTAACACTCTTTTTGTGGAATTTGCAAGTGGAGATTTCAGCCGCTTTCAAGTCAAAGGTCGAAAAGGAAATATCTTCCTATAAAAACTAGACAGAATGATTCTCAGAAACTCCTTTGTGATGTGTGCGTTCAACTCACAGAGTTTAACCTTTCTGTTCATAGAGCTGTTAGGAAACACTCTGTTTGTAAAGTCTGCAAGTGGATATTCAGAACTCCTTGAGGCCTTCGTTGGAAACGGGATTTCTTCATATTCTGCTAGACAGAAGAATTCTCAGTAACTTCCTTGTGTTGTGTGTATTCAACTCACAGAGTTGAACAATCCTTTACACAGAGCAGACTTGAAACACTCTTTTTGTGGAATTTGCAAGTGGAGATTTCAGCCGCTTTGAGGTCAATGGTAGAAAAGGAAACATCTCCGTATAAAGACTAGACAGAATGATTCTCAGAAACTCCTTTGTGATGTGTGCGTTCAACTCAAAGAGTTTAACCTTTCTTTTCATAGAGCAGTTAGGAAACACTCTGTTTGTAAAGTCTGCAAGTGGATATTCAGACATCCTTGAGGCTTTCTTTGGAAACGGGATTTCTTCATATTCTGCTAGAAAGAAGAATTCTCAGAAACTTCCTTGTGTTGTGTGTTTTCAACTCACAGAGATGAACGATCCTTTACACAGAGCAGACTTGAAACACTCCTTTTGTGGAATTTGCAAGTGGAGATTTCAGCCGCTTTGAGGTCAATGGTAGAATAGGAAATATCTTCCTATAGAAAGTAGACAGAATCATTCTCAGAAACTGCTCTGCGATGTGTGCGTTCAACTCTCAGAGTTTAACTTTTCTTTTCATTCAGCAGTTTGGAAACACTCTGTTTGTAAAGTCTGCACGTTGATAATTTGACCACTTAGAGGCCTTCGTTGGAAACGGGTTTTTTTCATATAAGGCTAGACAGAAGAATTCCCAGTAACTTCCTTGTGTTGTGTGTATTCAACTCACAGAGTTGAACGATCCTTTACACAGAGCAGACTTGTAACACTCTTTTTCTGGAATTTGCAAGTGGAGATTTCAGCCTCTTTGAAGTCAAAGGTAGAAAAGGAAATATCTTCCTATAAAAACTAGACAGAACGATTCTCAGAAACTCCTTTGTGATGTGTGCGTTCAACTCACAGAGTTTAACCTTTCTTTTCATAGAGCAGTTAGGAAACACTCTGTTTGTAAAGTCTGCAAGTGGATATTCAGACCTCCCTGAGGCCTTCGTTGGAAACGGGATTTCTTCATATTCTGCTACACAGAAGAATTCTCAGTAACTTCGTTGTGTTGTGTGTATTCAACTCACAGAGTTGAACGATCCTTTACACAGAGCAGACTTGAAACACTCTTTTTGTGGAATTTGCAAGTGGAGATTTCAGCCGCTTTGAGGTCAAAGGTAGAAAAGGAAATATCTTCGTATAAAGACTAGACAGAATGATTCTCAGAAACTCCTTTGTGATGTGTGCGTTCAACTCACAGAGTTTAACCTTTCTTTTCATAGAGCAGTTAGGAAACACTCTGATTGTAAAGTCTGCAAGTGGATATTCAGACCTCCTTGAGGCCTTCGTTGGAAACGGGATTTCTTCATATTCTGCTAGACAGAAGAATTCTCAGTAACTTCCTTGTGTTGTGTGTATTCAACTCACAGAGTTGAACGATCCTTTACACAGAGCAGACTTGAAACACTCTTTTTGTGGAATTTGCAAGTGGAGATTTCAGCCGCTCTGAGGTCAATGGTAGAATAGGAAATATCTTCCTATAGAAAATAGACAGAATCATTCTCAGAAACTGCTCTGTGATGTGTGCGTTCAACTCTCAGAGTTTAACTTTTCTTTTCATTCAGCAGTGTGGAAAAACTCTGTTTGTAAAGTCTGCACGTGGATATTCTGACCACTTAGAGGCCTTCGTTGGAAACGGGTTTTTTTCCTGTAAGGCTAGACAGAAGAATTCCCAGTAACTTCCCTGTGTTGTGTACATTCAACTCACAGAGTTGAACGTTCCCTTAGACAGAGCAGATTTGAAACACACTTTTTGTGCAATTGGCAAATGGAGATTTCAAGCGCTTTAAGTTCAATGGCAGAAAAGGAAATATCTTCGTTTCAAAACTAGACAGAATCATTCCCACAAACTGCGTTGTGATGTGTTCGTTCAACTCACAGAGTTTAACATTTCTGTTCATAGAGCAGTTAGGAAACACTCTGTTTGTAAAGTCTGCAAGTGGATATTCAGACCTCCTTGAGGCCTTCGTTGGAAACGGGATTTCTTCTTATTCTGCTAGACAGAAGAATTCCCAGTAACTTCCTTGTGTTGTGTGTATTCAACTCACAGAGTTGAATGATCCTTTACACAGAGAGGACTTGAAACACTCTTTTTGTGGAATTTGCAAGTGGAGATTTCAGCCGCTTTGAAGTCAAAGGTAGAAAAGGAAATATCTTCGTATAAAAACTAGACAGAATGATTCTCAGAAACTCCTTTGTGATGTGTGCGTTCAACTCACAGAGTTTAACCTTTCTTTTCTTAGAGCAGTTAGGAAACACTCTGTTTGTAATGTCTGCAAGTGGATATTCATACCTCCTTTAGGCCTTCGTTGGAAACGGGTTTTTTTCATATAAGGCTAGACAGAAGAATTCTCAGTAACTTACCTTGTGTTGTGTGTATTCAACTGACAGAGTTGAACTTTCATTTAGAGAGAGCAGATTTGAAACACTGTTTTTGTGGAATTTGCAAGTGGAGATTTCAAGCGCTTTGCGGCCAAAGGCAGAAAAGGAAATATCTTCGTATAAAAACTAGACAGAATCATTCTCAGAAACTACTGCGTGATGTGTGCGTTCAACTCTCAGAGTTTAACTTTTCTTTTCATTCAGCGGTTTGGAAACACTTTGTTTGTAAAGTCTGCACGTGGATATTTTGACCACCTAGAGGCCTTCGTTGGAAACGGGTTTTTTTCATGTAAGGCTAGACAGAAGAATTCCCAGTAACTTCCTTGTGTTGTGTACATTCAACTCACAGAGTTGAACGATCCCTTAGACAGAGCAGATTTGAAACACTCTTTTTGTGGAATTTGCAAATGGAGATTTCAAGCGCTTTGAGGCCAAAGGCAGAAAAGGAAATATCTTCGTATAAAAACTAGACAGAATCATTCCCACAAACTGCGTTGTGATGTGTTCGTTCAACTCACAGAGTTTAACCTTTCTGTTCATAGAGCAGTTAGGAAACACTCTGTTTGTAAAGTCTGCAAGTGGATATTCAGACCTCCTTGAGGCCTTCGTTGGAAACGGTATTTCTTAATATTCTGCTAGACAGAAGAATTCTCAGTAACTTCCTTGTGTTGTGTGTATTCAACTCACAGAGTTGAACGATCCTTTACACAGAGCAGACTTGAAACACTCTTTTTGTGGAATTCGCAAGTGGATATTTCAGCCGCTTTGAGGTCAATGGTAGAATAGGAAATATCTTCCTATAGAAACTAGACAGAATGATTCTCAGAAACTCCTTTGTGATGTGTGCGTTCAACTCACAGAGTTCAACTTTTCTTTTCATAGAGCAGTTAGGAAACACTCTGTTTGTAAAGTCTGCAAGTGGATATTCAGACCTCTTTGAGGCCTTCGTTGGAAGCGGGATTTCTTCATATTATGCTAGACAGAAGAATTCTCAGTAACTTCCTTGTGTTGTGTGTATTCAACTAACAGAGTTGAACTTTCATTTAGAGAGAGCAGATTTGAAACACTGTTTTTGTGGAATTTGCAAGTGGAGATTTCAAGCGCTTTGGGGCCAAAGGCAGAAAAGGAAATATCTTCGTATAAAAACTAGACAGAATCATTCTCACAAACTGCTCTGCGATGTGTGCGTTCAACTCTCAGAGTTTAACTTTTCTTTTCATTCAGCAGTTTGGAAACACTCTGTTTGTAAAGTCTGCACGTGGATATTTTGACCACTTAGAGGCCTTCGTTGGAAACGGGTTTTTTTCCTGTAAGGCTAGACAGAAGAATTCCCAGTAACTTCCCTTGTGTTGTGTACATTGAACTCACAGAGTTGAACGTTCCCTTAGACAGAGCAGATTTGAAACACTCTTTTTGTGCAATTGGCAAGTGGAGATTTCAAGCGCTTTAAGGTCAATGGCAGAAAAGGAAATATCTTCGTTTCAAAACTAGACAGAATCATTCCCACAAACTGTATTGTGATGTGTTCGTTCAACTCACAGAGTTTAACCTTTCTTTTCATAGAGCAGTTAGGAAACAGTCTGTTTGTAAATTCTGTAAGTGGATATTCTGACATCTTGTGGCCTTCGTTGGAAACGGGATTTCTTCATATTCTGCTAGTCAGAAGAATTCTCAGTAACTTCCTTGTGTTGTGTGTTTTCAACTCACAGAGTTGAACGATCCTTTACACAGAGCAGACTTGAAACACTCTTTTTTTGGAATTTGAAAGTGGAGATTTCAGCCGCTTTGAGGTCAATGGTAGAAAAGGAAACTATCTTCGTATAAAGACTAGACAGAATGATTCTCAGAAACTCCTTTGTGATGTGTGCGTTCAACTCACAGAGTTTAACCTTTCTTTTCATAGAGCAGTTAGGAAACACTCTGTTTGTAAAGTCTGCAAGTGGATATTCAGACCTCTTTGAGGCCATCGTTGGAAACGGGATTTGTTCATATTCTGCTAGAGAGAAGAATCCCCAGTAACTTCCTTGTGTTGTGTGTGTTCAACTCACAGAGTTGAACTTTCATTTACACAGAGCAGATTTGAAACACTCTTTTTGTGGAATTTGCAAGTGGAGATTTCAAGCGCTTTGAGGCCAAAGGCAGAAAAGGAAATATCTTCGTTTCAAAACTAGACAGAATCATTCTCAGAAACTGCTGCGTGATGTGTGCGTTCAACTCTCAGAGTTTAACTTTTCCTTTTCATTCAGCGGTTTGGAAACACTCTGTTTGTAAAGTCTGCACGTGGATATTTTGACCACTTAGAGGCCTTCGTTGGAAACGGGTTTTTTTCATGTAAGGCTAGACAGAAGAATTCTCAGTAACTTCCTTGTGTTGTGTGTATTCAACTCACAGAGTTGAACGATCCTTTACACAGAGCAGAACGATCCTTTACACAGAGCAGACTTGAAACATTCTTTTTGTGGAATTTGCAAGTGGAGATTTCAACCGCTTTGAGGTCAATGGTAGAATAGGAAATATCTTCCTATAGAAACTAGACAGAACGATTCTCAGAAACTCCTTTCTGATGTGTGCGTTCAACTCACAGAGTTTAACCTTTCTTTTCATATAGCAGTTAGGAAACACTCTGTTTGTAAAGTCTGCAAGTGGATATTCAGACCTCTTTGAGGCCTTCGTTGGAAACGGGATTTCTTCATATTCTGCTAGACAGAATAATTCTCAATAACTTCCTTGTGTTGCGTGTATTCAACTCTTAGAGTTGAACGATCCTTTACAGAGAGCAGACTTGAAACACTCTTTTTGTGGAATTTGCAAGTGGAGATTTCAGCCGCTTTGAGGTCAATGGTAGAATAGGAAATATCTTCCTATAGAAACTAGACAGAATGATTCTCATAAACTCCTTTGTGATGTGTGCGTTCAACTCACAAAGTTTAACTTTTCTTTTCATAGAGCAGTTAGGAAACACTCTGTTTGTAAAGTCTGCAAGTGGATATTCAGACCTCTTTGAGGCCTTCGTTGGAAACGGGATTTCTTCATATTATGCTAGACAGAAGAATTCTCAGTAACTTCCTTGTGTTGTGTGTATTCAACTCACAGAGTTGAACGATCCTTTACACAGAGCAGACTTGAAACATTCTTTTTGTGGAATTTGCAACTGGAGATTTCAGCCGCTTAGAGGTCAATGGTAGTATAGGAAATATCTTCCTATAGAAACTAGACACAATCATTCTCAGAAAGTGCTCTGCGATGTGTGCGTTCAACTCTCAGAGTTTAACTTTGCTTTTCATTCAGCAGTTTGGAAACACTCTGTTTGTAAAGTCTGCACGTGGATAATTTGACCACTTAGAGGCCTTCGTTGGAAACGGGTTTTTTTCATGTAAGGCTAGACAGAATAATTCCCAGTAACTTCCTTGTGTTGTGTACATTCAACTCACAGAGATGAACGTTCCCTTAGACAGAGCAGATTTGAAACACTCTTTTTGTGCAATTGACAAGTGGAGATTTCAAGCGCTTTAAGGTCACTGGCAGAAAAGGAAATATCTTCGTTTCAAATGTAGACAGAATGATTCCCACAAACTGCGTTGTGATGTGTTCGTTCAACTCACAGAGTTTAACCTTTCTTTTCATAGAGCAGTTAGGAAACACTCTGTTTGTAAATTCTGCAAGTGGATATTCAGACCTCTTTGAGGCCTTCGTTGCAAACGGGATTTCTTCATATTATGCCTGACAGAAGAATTCTCAGTAACTTCCTTGTGTTGTGTGTATTCAACTCACAGAGTTGAACGATCCTTTACACAGAGCAGACTTGAAACTCTCTTTTTGTGGAATTTGCAAGTGGAGATTTCAGCCGCTTTGAGTTCAATGGTAGAATAGGAAATATCTTCCTATAGAAACTAGACAGAATGATTCTCAGAAACTCCTTTGTGATGTGTGCGTTCAACTCACAGTAGTTTAACGTTTCTTTTCATAGAGCAGTTAGGAAACACTCTGTTTCTAAAGTATGCAAGTGGATATTCAGACCTCTTTGAGGCCTTCGTTGGAAACGGGTTTTTTTCATATAAGGCTAGAGAGAAGAATTCTCAGTAACTTCCTTGTGTTGTGTGTATTCAACTGACAGAGTTGAACTTTCATTTAGAGAGAGCTGATTTGAAACACTGTTTTTGTGGAATTTGCAAGTGGAGATTTCAAGCGCTTTGGGGCCAAAGGCAGAAAAGGAAATATCTTCGTATAAAAACTAGACAGAATCATTCTCAGAAACTGCTGCATGATGTGTGCGTTCAACTCTCAGAGTTTAACTTTTCTTTTCATTCAGCGGTTTGGAAACACTCTGTTTGTAAAGTCTGCACGTGGATATTTTGACCACTTAGAGGCCTTCGTTGGAAACGGGTTTTTTTTCATGTAAGGCTAGACAGAAGAATTCCCAGTAACTTCCTTGTGTTGTGTACATTCAACTCACAGAGTTGAACGTTCCCTTAGACAGAGCAGATTTGAAACACTCTTTTTGTGCAATTGGCAAGTGGAGATTTCAAGCGCTTTGAGGTCAATGGCAGAAAAGGAAATATCTTCGTTTCAAAACTAGACAGAATGATTCTCAGAAACTCCTTTGTGATGTGTGCGTTCATCTCACAGAGTTTAACTTTTCTTTTCATAGAGCAGTTAGGAAACACTCTGTTTGTAAAGTCTGCAAGTGGATATTCAGACCTCTTTGAGGCCTTCGTTGGAAACGGGATTCTTCATATTATGCTAGACAGAATAATTCTCAGTAACTTCCTTGTGTTGTGTGTATTCAACTCACAGAGATGAACGATCCTTTACAGAGAGCAGACTTGAAACACTCTTTTTGTGGAATTTGCAAGTGGAGATTTCAGCCGCTTTGAGGTCAATGGTAGAAAAGGAAATATCTTCGTATAAAGACTAGACAGAATGATTCTCAGAAACTCCTTTCTGATGTGTGTGTTCAACTCACAGAGTTTAACCTTTCTTTTCATAGAGCAGTTAGTAAACAGTCTGTTTATAAAGTCTGCAAGTGGATATTCAGACCCCTTTGAGGCCTTCGTTGGAAACGGGATTTCTTCATATTATGCTAGACAGAAGAATTCCCAGTAACTTCCTTGTGTTGTCTGTGTTCAACTCACGGAGTTGAGCTTTCATTTACACAGAGCAGATTTGAAACACTCTTTTTGTGGAATTTGCAAGTGGAGATTTCAAGCGCTTTGAGGCCAAAGGCAGAAAAGGAAATATCTTCGTATAAAATCTAGACAGAATCATTCTCAGAAACTGCTCTGTGATGTGTGCGTTCAACTCTCAGAGTTTAACTTTTCTTTTCATTCAGCAGTTTGGAAACACTCTGTTTGTAAAGTCTGCACGTGGATATTTTGACCACTTAGAGGCCTTCGTTGGAAACGGGTTTTCTTCATGTAAGGCTAGACAGAAGAATTCCCAGTAACTTCCTTGTGTTGTGTGCATTCAACTCACAGAGTTGAACGTTCCCTTAGACAGAGCAGATTTGAAACAGCCTATTTGTGCAATTTGCAAGTGTAGATTTCAAGCGCTTTAAGGTCAACGGCAGAAAAGGAAATATCTTCCTTTCAAAACTAGACAGAATCATTCCCACAAACTGCGTTGTGATGTGTTCGTTCAACTCACAGGGTTTAACCTTTCTGTTCATAGAGCAGTTAGGAAACACTCTGTTTGTAAAGTCTGCAAGTGGATATTCAGACCTCCTTGAGGCCTTCGTTGGAAACGGGATTTCTTCATATTCTGCTAGACAGAAGAATTCTCAGTAACTTCCTTGTGTTGTGTGTATTCAACTCACAGAGTTGAACGATCCTTTACACAGAGCAGACTTGAAACACTCTTTTTGTGGAATTTGCAAGTGGAGATTTCAGCCGCTTTGAGTTCAATGGTAGAATAGGAAATATCATCCTATAGAAACTAGACAGAATGATTCTCAGAAACTCCTTTGTGATGTGTGCGTTCAACTCACAGAGTTTAACCTTTCTTTTCATAGAGCAGTTAGGAAACACTCTGTTTGTAAAGTCTGCAAGTGGATATTCAGACCTCTTTGAGGTCTTCGTTGGAAACGGGTTTTTTTCATATAAGGCTAGACAGAAGAATTCCCAGTAACTTCCCTTGTGTTGTGTGTGTTCAACTCTGTGAGTTGAACTTTCATTTACACAGAGCAGATTGGAAACACTCTTTTTGTGGAATTTGCAAGTGGAGATTTCAAGCGCTTTGAGGCCAAAGGCAGAAAAGGAAATATCTTCGTATAAAAACTAGACAGAATCATTCTCAGAAACTGCTCTGCGATGTGTGCGTTCAACTCTCAGAGTTTAACTTTTGTTTTCATTCAGCAGTTTGGAAACACTCTGTTTGTAAAGTCTGCACGTGGATATTTTGAGCACTTAGAGGCCTTCGTTGGAAACGGGTTTTTATCCTGTAAGGCTAGACAGAAGAATTCCCAGTAACTTCCTTGTGTTGTGTACATTCAACTCACAGAGTTGAACGTTCCCTTAGACAGAGCAGATTTGAAACACTCTTTTTGTGCAATTGGCAAGTGGAGATTTCAAGCGCTTTAAGGTCAATGGCAGAAAAGGAAATATCTTCGTTTCAAAACTAGACAGAATGATTCTCAGAAACTCCTTTGTGATGTGTGCGTTCAACTCACAGAGTTTAACTTTTCTTTTCATAGAGCAGTTAGGAAACACTCTGTTTGTAAAGTCTGCAAGTGGATATTCAGACCTCTTTGAGGCTTTCGTTGGAAACGGGATTTCTTCATATTCTGCTAGACAGAAGAATTCTCAGAATCTTCCTTGTGTTGTGTGTATTCAACTCACAGAGTTGAACGATCCTTTACACAGAGCAGACTTGTAACACTCTTTTTGTGGAATTTGCAAGTGGAGATTTCAGCCGCTTTGAGGTCCATGGTAGAAAAGGAAATATCTTCGTATAAAAACTAGACAGAATGATTCTCAGAAACTCCTTTGTGATGTGTGCGTTCAACTCACAGAGTTTAACCTTTCTTTTCATAGAGCAGTTAGGAAACACTCTGTTTGTAAAGTCTGCAAGTGGATATTCAGACCTCCTTGAGGCCTTCGTTGGAAACGGGTTTTGTTCATATTATGCTAGACAGAAGAGTTCTCAGTAACTTCCTTGTGTTGTGTGTATTCAACTCACACAGTTGAACTTTCATTTACACAGAGCAGATTTGAAACACTCTTTTTGTGGAATTTGCAGGTGGAGATTTCAAGCGCTTTGAGGCCAAAGGCAGAAAAGGAAATATCTTCGTATAAAAACTAGACAGAATGATTCTCAGAAACTTCTTTGTGATGAGTGCGTTCAACTCACAGAGTTTAACCTTTCTTTTCATCGAGTAGTTAGGAAACACTCTGTTTGTAAAGTCTGCAAGTGGATATTTTGACCTCTTTGAGGCTTTCGTTGGAAACGGGTTTTTTTCCTGTAAGGCTAGACAGAAGAATTCCCAGTAACTTCCTTGTGTTGTGTACATTCAACTCACAGAGTTGAACGTTCCCTTAGACAGAGCAGATTTGAAACACTCTTTTTGTGCAATTGGCAAGTGGAGATTTCAAGCGCTTTAAGGTCAATGGCAGAAAAGGAAATATCTTCGTTTCAAAACTAGACAGAATGATTCTCAGAAACTCCTTTGTGATGTGTGCGTTGAACTCACAGAGTTTAACCTTTCTGTTCATAGAGCAGTTAGGAAACACTCTGTTTGTAAAGTCTGTAAGTGGATATTCTGACATCTTGTGGCCTTCGTTGGAAACGGGATTTCTTCATATTCTGCTAGACAGAAGAATTCTCAGTAACTTCCTTGTGTTGTGTGTATTCAACTCACAGAGTTGAACAATCCTTTACACAGAGCAGACTTGAAACACTCTTTTTGTGGAATTTGCAAGTGGAGATTTCAGCCGCTTTGAGGTCAATGGTAGAAAAGGAAACTATCTTCATATAAAGACTTGACAGAATGATTCTCAGAAACTCCTTTGTGATATGTGCGTTCAACTCACAGAGTTTAACCTTTCTTTTCATAGAGCAGTTAGGAAACACTCTGTTTGTAAAATCTGCATGTGGATATTTGGACTTCTTTGAGGCCTTCGTTGGAAACGGGTTTTTTTCATGTAAGGCTAGACAGAAGAATTCCCAGTAACTTCCTTGTGTTGTGTGTGTTCAACTCACAGAGTTGAACTTTGATTTACACAGAGCAGATTTGAAACACTCTTTTTGTGGAATTTGCAAATGGAGATTTCAAGCGCTTTGAGGCCAAAGGCAGAAAAGGAAATATCTTTGTATAAAAACTAGACAGAATGATTCTCAGAAACTCCTTTGTGATGTGTGCGTTCAACTCACAGAGTTCAACCTTTCTTTTCATAGAGCAGTTGGGAAACACTCTGTTAGTAAAGTCTGCTAGTGGATATTCAGACCTCTTTGAGGCCTTCGTTGGAAGCGGGATTTCTTCATATTCTGCTAGACAAAAGAATTCTCAGTAACTTCCTTGTGTTGTGTGTATTCAACTCACAGAATTGAACGATCCTTTACACAGAGCAGACTTCAAACACTCTTTTTGTGGAATTTGCAAGTGGAGATTTCAGCCGCTTTGAGGTCAATGGTAGAAAAGGAAATATCTTCGTATAAAAACTAGACAGAATGATTCTCAGAAACTCCTTTGTGATGTGTGCGTTCAACTCACAGAGTTTAACCTTTCTTTTCATAGAGCAGTTAGGAAACACTCTGTTTGTAAAGTCTGCAAGTTGATATTCAGACCTCCTTGAGGCCTTCGTTGGAAACGGGATTTCTTCATATTATGCTAGACAGAAGAATTCTCAGTAACTTCCTTGTGTTGTGTGTATTCAACTCACAGAGTTGAACGATCCTTTACACAGAGCAGACTTGAAACACTCTTTTTGTGGAATTTGCAAGTGGAGATTTCAGCCGCTTTGAGGTCAATGGTAGAAAAGGAAATATCTTCGTATAAAAACGAGACAGAATGATTCTCAGAAACTTCTTTGTGATGTGTGCGTTCAACTCACAGAGTTTAACCTTTCTGTTCATAGTGCAGTTAGGAAACACTCTGTTTGTAAACTCTGCAAGTGGATATTCAGACCTCTTTGAGGCCTTCGATGGAAACGGGATTTCTCCATACTGTGCTAGACAGAAGAATTCCCAGTAACTTCCTTGTGTTGTGTGTGTTCAACTCACAGAGTTGAACTTTCATTTACACAGAGCAGATTTGAAACACTCTTTTTGTGGAATTTGCAAGTGGAGATTTCAAGCGGTTTGAGGCCAAAGGTAGAAAAGGAAATATCTTCGTTTCAAAACTAGACAGAATCATTCTCAGAAACTGCTCTGCGATGTGTGCGTTCAACTCTCAGAGTTTAACTTTTCTTTTCATTCAGCAGTTTGGAAACACTCTGTTTGTAAATTCTGCACGTGGATATTTTGACCACTTAGAGGCCTTCGTTGGAAACGGGTTTTTTTCCTGTAAGGCTAGACAGAAGAAATCCCAGTAACTTCCTTGTGTTGTGTGCATTCAACTCACAGAGTTGAACGTTCCCTTAGACAGAGCAGATTTGAAACACTCTATTTGTGCAATTTCCAAGTGTAGATTTGAAGCGCTTTAAGGTCAACGGCAGAAAAGGAAATATCTTCGTTTCAAAACTAGACAGAAATCATTCTCATAAACTGCTCTGCGATGTGTGCGTTCAACTCTCAGAGTTTAACTTTTCTTCTCATTCAGCAGTTTGGAAACACTCTGTTTGTAAAGTCTGCACGTGGATAATTTGACCACTTAGAGGCCTTCGTTGGAAACGGGTTTTTTTCATGTAAGGCTAGACAGAAGAATTCTCAGTAACTTCCTTGTGTTGTGTGTATTCAACTCACAGAGTTGAACGATCCTTTACACAGAGCAGACTTGTAACACTCTTTTTGTGGAATTTGCAAGTGGAGATTTCAGCCGCTTTGAAGTCTAAGGTAGAAAAGGAAATATCTTCCTATAAAAACTAGACAGAATGATTCTCAGAAACTCCTTTGTGATGTGTGCGTTCAACTCACAGAGTTTAACCTTTCTTTTCATAGAGCAGTTAGGAAACACTCTGTTTGTAAAGTCTCCAAGTGGATATTCAGACCTCTTTGAGGCCTTCGTTGGAAACGGGTTTTTTTCATATAAGGCTAGACAGAAGAATTCCCAGTAACTTCCTTGTGTTGTGTGTGTTCAACTCACAGAGTTGAACTTTCGTTTACACAGAGCAGATTTGAAACACTCTTTTTGTGGAATTTGCAAATGGAGATTTCAAGCGCTTTGAGGCCAAAGGCAGAAAAGGAAATATCTTCGTATAAAAACTAGACAGAATCATTCTCAGAAACTGCTGCGTGATGTGTGCGTTCAACTCTCAGAATTTAACTTTTCTTTTCATTCAGCGGTTTGGAAACACTCTGTTTGTAAAGTCTGCACGTGGAAATTTTGACCACTTAGAGGCCTTCGTTGGAAACGGGTTTTTTTCATGTAAGGCTAGACAGAAGAATTCCCAGTAACTTCCTTGTGTTGTGTGCATTCAACTCACAGAGTTGAACGTTCCCTTAGACAGAGCAGATTTGAAACACTCTATTTGTGCAATTTGCAAGTGTAGATTTCAAGCGCTTTAAGGTCAATGGCAGAAAAGGAAATATCTTCGTTTCAAAACTAGAGAGAATGATTCTCAGAAACTCCTTTGTGATGTGTGCGTTCAACTCACAGAGTTTAACCTTTCTTTTCATAGAGCAGTTAGGAAACACTCTGTTGGTAAAGTCTGCAAGTGGATATTCAGACCTCTTTGAGGCCTTCGTTGGAAGCGGGATTTCTTCATGTTCTGCTAGACAGAAGAATTCTCAGAAACTTCCTTGTGTTGTGTGTTTTCAACTCACAGAGTTGAACGATGCTTTACACAGAGTAGACTTGAAACACTCTTTTTGTGTAATTTGCAAGTGGAGATTTCATCCGCTTTGAGGTCAATGGTAGAAAAGGAAATATCTTCGTATAAAAACTAGACAGAATGATTCTCAGAAACTCCTTTGTGATGTGTGTGTTCAACTCACAGAGTTTAACGTTTCTTTTCATAGAGCAGTTAGTAAACACTCTGTTTATAAAGTCTGCAAGTGGATATTCAGACCCCTTTGAGGCCTTCGTTGGAAACGGGATTTCATCATATTATGCTAGACAGAAGAATTCTCAGTAACTTCCTTGTGTTGTGTGTATTCAACTGACAGAGTTGAACTTTCATTTAGAGAGAGCAGATTTGAAACACTGTTTTTGTGGAATTTGCAAGTGGAGATTTCAAGCGCTTTGGGGCCAAAGGCAGAAAAGGAGATATCTTCGTATAAAAACTAGACAGAATGATTCTCAGAAACTCCTTTGTGATGTGTGCGTTCAACTCTCAGAGTTTAACTTTTCTTTTCATTCAGCAGTTTGGAAACACTCTGTTTGTAAAGTCTGCACGTGGATATTTTGACCACTTAGAGGCCTTCGTTGGAAACGGGTTTTTTTACCTGTAAGGCTAGACAGAAGAATTCCCAGTAACTTCCTTGTGTTGTGTGCATTCAACTCACAGAGATGAACGTTCCCTTAGACAGAGCAGATTTGAAACACTCTATTTGTGTAATTTGCAAGTGTAGATTTCAAGCGCTTTAAGGTCAATGGCAGAAAAGGAAATATCTCCGTTTCAAAACTAGACAGAATCATTCCCACAAACTGCGTTGTGATGTGTTCGTTCAACTCACAGAGTTTAACCTTTCCGTTCATAGAGCAGTTAGGAAACACACTGTTTGTAAAGTCTGTAAGTGGATATTCTGACATCTTGTGGCCTTCGTTGGAAACGGGATTTCTTCATATTCTGCTAGACAGAAGAATTCTCAGTAACTTCCTTGTGTTGTGTGTATTCAACTCACAGAGTTGAACGATCCTTTACACAGAGCAGACTTGTAACACTCTTTTTGTGGAATTTGCAATTGGAGATTTCAGCCGCTTTGAAGTCAAAGGTAGAAAAGGAAATATCTTCCTATAAAAACTAGACAGAATGATTCTCAGAAACTCCTTTGTGATGTGTGCGTTCAACTCACAGAGTTTAACCTTTCTTTTCATAGAGCAGTTAGGAAACACTCTGTTTGTAAAGTCTGCAAGTGGATATTCAGACCTCTTTGAGGCCTTCGTTGGAAATGGGTTTTTTTCATATAAGGCTAGAGAGAAGAATTCTCAGTAACTTCCTTGTGTTGTGTGTATTCAACTGACAGAGTTGAACTTTCATTTAGAGAGAGCAGATTTGAAACACTGTTTTTGTGGAATTTGCAAGTGGAGATTTCAAGCGCTTTGGGGCCAAAGGCAGAAAACGAAATATCTTCGTATAAAAACTAGACAGAATCATTCTCAGAAACTGCTCTGCGATGTGTGCGTTCAACTCTCAGAGTTTAACTTTGCTTTTCATTCAGCAGTTTGGAAACACTCTGTTTGTAAAGTCTGCACGTGGATATTTTGACCACTTAGAGGCCTTCGTTGGAAACGTGTTTTTTTCCTGTAAGGCTAGACAGAAGAATTCCCAGTAACTTCCTTGTGTTGTGTACATTCAACTCACAGAGTTGAACGTTCCCTTAGACAGAGCAGATTTGAAACACTCTTTTTGTGCAATTGGCAAGTGGAGATTTCAAGCGCTTTAAGGTCAATGGCAGAAAAGGAAATATCTTCGTTTCAAACTAGACAGAATCATTCTCAGAAACTGCTCTGTGATGTGTGCGTTCAACTCTCAGAGTTTAAATTTTCTTCTCATTCAGCAGTTTGGAAACACTCTGTTTGTAAAGTCTGCACGTGGATAATTTGACCACTTAGAGGCCTTCGTTGGAAACGGGTTTTTTTCATGTAAGGCTAGACAGAAGAATTCTCAGTAACTTCCTTGTGTTGTGTGTATTCAACTCACAGAGTTGAAAGACCCTTTACACAGAGCAGACTTGAAACACTCTTTTTGTGGAATTTGCAAGTGGAGATTTCAGCCGCTTTGAAGTCAAAGGTAGAAAAGGAAATATCTTCGTATAAAAACTAGATAGAATGATTCTCATAAACTCCTTTGTGATGTGTGCGTTCAACTCACAGAGTTTAACCTTTCTTTTCATAGAGCAGTTAGGAAACACTCTGTTTGTAAAGTCTGCAAGTGGATATTCAGACCTCTTTGAGGCCTTCGTTGGAAACTGGATTTCTTCATATTCTGCTAGACAGAAGAATTCCCAGTAACTTCCTTGTGTTGTGTGTGTTCAACTCACAGAGTTGAACTTTCATTTACACAGAGCAGATTTGAAACACTCTTTTTGTGGAATTTGCAAATGGAGATTTCAAGCGCTTTGAGGCCAAAGGCAGAAAAGGAAATATCTTAGTATAAAAACTAGACAGAATGATTCTCAGAAACTGCTCTGTGATGTGTGCGTTCAACTCTCAGAGTTTAACTTTTCTTTTCATTCAGCAGTTTGGAAACACTCTGTTTGTAAAGTCTGCACGTGGATAATTTGACCACTTAGAGGCCTTCGTTGGAAACGGGTTTTTTTCAAGTAAGGCTAGACAGAAGAATTCCCAGTAACTTCCTTGTGTTGTGTGCATTCAACTCACAGAGTTGAACGTTCCCTTAGACAGAGCAGATTTGAAACACTCTATTTGTGCAATTTGCAAGTGTAGATTTCAAGCGCTTTAAGGTCAACGGCAGAAAAGGAAATATCTTCGTTTCAAAACTAGACAGAATCATTCCCACAAACTGCGTTGTGATGTGTTCGTTCAACTCACAGAGTTTAACCTTTCTTTTCATAGAGCAGTTAGGAAACAGTCTGTTTGTCAATTCTGTAAGTGGATATTCTGACATCTTGTGGCCTTTGTTGGAAACGGGATTTCTTCATATTCTGCTAGACAGAAGAATTCTCAGAATCTTCCTTGTGTTGTGTGTATTCAACTCACAGAGTTTAACGATCCTTTACACAGAGCAGACTTGAAACACTCTTTTTGTGGAATTTGCAAGTGGAGATTTCAGCCGCTTTGAGGTCCATGGTAGAAAAGGAAATATCTTCGTATAAAAACTAGACAGAATGATTCTCAGAAACTCCTTTGTGATGTGTGCGTTCAACTCACACAGTTTAACCTTTCTTTTCATAGAGCAGTTGGGAAACACTCTGTTTGTAAAATCTGCAAGTGGATATTCAGACCTCCTTGCGGCCTTCGTTGGAAACGGGATTTCTTCATATTATGCTAGACAGAATAATTCTCAGTAACTTCCTTGTGTTGTGTGTATTCAACTCACGGAGTTGAACGATCCTTTACACAGAGCAGACTTGAAACACTCTTTTTGTGGAATTTGCAAGTGGAGATTTCAGCCGCTTTGAAGTCAATGGTAGAATAGGAAATATCTTCCTATAGAAACTAGGCAGAATCATTCTCAGAAACTGCTGCGTGATGTGTGCGTTCAACTCTCAGAGTTTAACTTTTCTTTTCATTCAGCGGTTTGGAAACACTCTGTTTGTAAAGTCTGCACGTGGATATTTTGACCACTTAGAGGCCTTCGTTGGAAACGGGTTTTTTTCATGTAAGGCTAGACAGAAGAATTCCCAGTAACTTCCTTGTGTTGTGTGCATTCAACTCACAGAGTTGAACGTTCCCTGAGACAGAGCAGATTTGAAACACTCTATTTGTGCAATTTGCAAGTGTAGATTTCAAGCGCTTTAAGGTCAACGGCAGAAAAGGAAATATCTTCGTTTCAGAACTAGACAGAATCATTCCCACAAACTGCGTTGTGATGTGTTCGTTCAACTCACAGCAGTTTAACCTTTCTGTTCATAGAGCAGTTAGGAAACACTCTGTTTGTAATGTCTGTAAGTGGATATTCTGACATCTTGTGGCCTTCGTTGGAAACGGGATTTCTTCATATTCTGCTAGACAGAAGAATTCTCAGTAACTTCCTTGCGTTGTGTTTATTCAACTCACAGAGTTGAATGATCCTTTACACAGAGCAGACTTGAAACACTCTTTTTGTGGAATTTGCAAGTGGAGATTTCAGCCGCTTTGAGGTCAATGGTAGAAAAGTAAATATCTTCGTATAAGGACTAGACAGAATGATTCTCAGAAACTCCTTTGTGATGTGTGCGTTCAACTCACAGAGTTCAACCTTTCTTTTCATAGAGCAGTTGGGAAACACTCTGTTTGTAATGTCTGCAAGTGGATATTCAGACTTCTTTGAGGCCTTCGTTGGAAGCGGGATTTCTTCATATTCTGCTAGACAGAAGAATTCCCAGTAACTTCCTTGTGTTGTGTGTGTTCAACTCACAGAGTTGAACTTTCATTTACCCAGAGCAGATTTGAAACACTCTTTTTGTGGAATTTGCAAGTGGAGATTTCAAGCGCTTTGAGCCCAAAGGCAGAAAAGGAAATATCTTCGTTTCAAAACTAGACAGAATCATTCTCAGAAACTGCTGCGTGATGTGTGCGTTCAACTCTCAGAGTTTAACTTTTCTTTTCATTCAGCGGTTTGGAAACACTCTGTTTGTAAAGTCTGCACGTGGAAATTTTGACCACTTAGAGACCTTCATTGGAAACGGGTTTTTTTCATGTAAGGCTAGACAGAAGAATTCCCAGTAACTTCCTTGTGTTGTGTACATTCAACTCACAGAGTTGAACGTTCCCTTAGACAGAGCAGATTTGAAACACTCTTTTTGTGCAATTGGCAAGTGGAGATTTCAAGCGCTTTAAGGTCAATGGCAGAAAAGGAAATATCTTCGTTTCAAAACTAGACAGAATGATTCTCAGAAACTCCTTTGTGATGTGTGCGTTCAACTCACAGAGTTTAACCTTTCTTTTCATAGAGCAGTTAGGAAACACTCTGTTTGTAAAGTCTGCAAGTGGATATTCAGACCTCCTTGAGTCCTTCGTTGGAAACGGGATTTCTTCATATTATGCTAGACAGAAGAATTCTCAGTAACTTCCTTGTGTTGTGTGTATTCAACTCACAGAGTTGAACGATCCTTTACACAGAGCAGACTTGAAACACTCTTTTTGTGGAATTTGCAAGTGGAGATTTCAGCCGCTTTGAGGTCAATTGTAGAATAGGAAATATCTTCCTATAGAAACTAGACAGAATGATTCTCAGAAACTCCTTTGTGATGTGTGCGTTCAACTCACAGAGTTCAACCTTTCTTTTCATAGAGCAGTTGGGAAACACTCTGTTTGTAAAGTCTGCAAGTGGATATTCAGACTTCTTAGAGGCCTTCGTTGGAAGCGGGATTTCTTCATATTCTGCTAGACAGAAGAATTCCCAGTAACTTCCTTGTGTTGTGTGTGTTCAACTCACAGAGTTGAACTTTCATTTACACAGAGCAGATTTGAAACACTCTTTTTGTGGAATTTGCAAGTGGAGATTTCAAGCGCTTTGAGGCCAAAGGCAGGAAAGGAAATATCTTCGTATAAAAACTAGACAGAATCATTCTCAGAAACTGCTCTGCGATGTGTGCGTTGAACTCTCAGAGTTTAACTTTTCTTTTCATTCAGCAATTTGGAAACACTCTGTTTGTAAAGTCTGCACGTGGATATTTTGACCACTTAGAGGCCTTCGTTGGAAACGGGTTTTTTTCCTGTAAGGCTAGACAGAAGAATTCTCAGTAACTTCCTTGTGTTGTGTGTATTCAACTCACAGAGTTGAACGATCCTTTACACAGAGCAGACTTGTAACACTCTTTTTCTGGAATTTGCAAGTGGAGATTTCAGCCGCTTTGAAGTCAAAGGTAGAAAAGGAAATAACTTCCTATAAAAACTAGACAGAATGATTCTCAGAAACTTCTTTGTGATGTGTGCGTTCAACTCACAGAGTTTAACCTTTCTTTTCATAGAGCAGTTAGGAAACACTCTGTTTGTAAACTCTGCAAGTGGATATTCAGACCTCTTTGAGGCCTTCGTTGCAAACGGGATTTCTTCATGCTATGCTAGACAGAAGAATTCTCACTAACTTCCTTGTGTTTTGTGTATTCAACTCACAGAGTTGAACGATCCTTTACACAGAGCAGACTTGAAACACTCTTTTTGTGGAATTTGCAAGTGGAGATTTCAGCCGCTTTGAGGTCAATGGTAGAAAAGGAAATATCTTCGTATAAAGACTAGACAGATAGATTCTCAGAAACTCCTTTGTGATGTGTGCGTTCAACTCACAGAGTTTAACCTTTCTTTTCATAGAGCAGTTAGGAAACACTCTGTTTGTAAAGTCTGCAAGTGGATATTCAGACCTCTTTGAGGCCATCGTTGGAAACGGGTTTTTTTCATATAAGGCTAGACAGAAGAATTCCCAGTAACTTCCTTGTGTTGTGTGTGTTCAACTCACAGAGTTGAACTTTCATTTACACAGAGCAGATTGGAAACACTCTTTTTGTGGAATTTGCAAATGGAGATTTCAAGCGCTTTGAGGCCAAAGGCAGAAAAGGAAATATCTTCGTATAAAAACTAGACAGAATCATTCTCAGAAACTGCTCTGCGATGTGTGCGTTCAACTCTCAGAGTTTAACTTTTCTTTTCATTCAGCAGTTTGGAAACACTCTGTTTGTAAAGTCTGCACGTGGATATTTTGACCACTTAGAGGCCTTCGTTGGAAACGGGTTTTTTTCCTGTAAAGCTAGACAGAAGAATTCCCAGTAACTTCCTTGTGTTGTCTACATTCAACTCACAGAGTTGAACGTTCCCTTAGACAGAGCAGATTTGAAACACTCTTTTTGTGCAATTGGCAAGTGGTGATTTCAGCCGCTTTGGGGTCAATGGTAGAAAAGGAAATATCTTCGTATAAAAACTAGACAGAATGATTCTCAGAAACTTCATTGTGAAGTGTGCGTTCAACTCACAGAGTTTAACCTTTCTTTTCATAGAGCAGTTAGGAAACACTCTGTTTGTAAAGTCTGCAAGTGGATATTCAGACCTCTTTGAGGCCTTCGTTGGAAACGGGATTTCTTCATACTGTGCTATACAGAAGAATTCTCAGTAACTTCATTGTGTTGTGTGTATTCAACTCACAGAGTTGAACGATCCTTTACACAGAGCATACTTGAAACACTCTTGTTGTGGAATTTGCAAGTGGAGATTTCAGCCGCTTTGAGGTCAATGGTAGAATAGGAAACATCTTCCTATAGAAACTAGACAGAATGATTCTCAGAAACTCCTTAGTGATGTGTGTGTCCAACTCACAGGGTTTAACCTTTCTTTTCATAGAGCAGTTAGCAAACACTCTGTTTGTAAAGTCTGCAAGAGGATATTCAGACCTTTTTGAGGCCTTCGTTGGAAACGGGTTTTTTTCATATAAGGCTAGACAGAAGAATTCCCAGTAACTTCCTTGTGATGTGTGTGTTCAACTCACAGAGTTGAACTTTCATTTACATAGAGCAGATTTGAAACACTCTTTTTGTGGAATTTGCAAGTGGAGATTTCAAGCGCTTTGAGGCCAAAGGCAGAAAAGGAAATATCTTCGTATAAAAACTACACAGAATCATTCTCAGAAACTGCTGCGTGATGTGTGCGTTCAACTCTCAGAGTTTAACTTTTCTTTTCATTCAGCAGTTTGGAAACACTCTGTTTGTAAAGTCTGCACGTGGAAATTTTGACCACTTAGAGGCCTTCGTTGGAAACGGGTTTTTTTCATGTAAGGCTAGACAGAAGAATTCCCAGTAACTTCCTTGTGTTGTGTACATTCAACTCACAGAGTTGAACGTTCCCTTAGACAGAGCAGATTTGAAACACTCTTTTTGTACAATTGGCAAGTGGAGATTTCAAGCGCTTTAAGGTCAAAGGCAGAAAAGAAAATATCTTCGTTTCAAAACTAGACAGAATCATTCCCACAAACTGCGTTGTGACGTGTTCGTTCAACTCACAGAGTTTAACCTTTCTGTTCATAGAGCAGTTAGGAAAAACTCTGTTTGTAAAGTCTGTAAGTGGATATTCTGACATCTTGTGGCCTTCGTTGGAAACGGGATTTCTTCATATTCTGCTAGACAGAAGAATTCTCAGTAACTTCCTTGTGTTGTGTCTATTCAACTCACAGAGTTGAACGATCCTTTACACAGAGCAGACTTGAAACACTCTTTTTGTGGAATTTGCAAGTGGAGATTTCAGCCGCTTTGAGGTCAATGGTAGAAAAGGAAATATCTTCGTATAAAGACTAGACAGAATGATTCTCAGAAACTCCTTTGTGATGTGTGCGTTCAACTCACAGAGTTTAACGTTTCTGTTCATAGAGCTGTTAGGAAACACTCTGTTTGTAAAGTCTGCAAGTGGATATTCAGACCTCCTTGAGGCCTTCGTTGGAAACGGGATTTCTTCATATTCTGCTAGACAGAGTAATTCTCAGTAACTTCCTTGTGTTGTGTGTATTCAACTCACAGAGTTGAACGATCCTTTACACAGAGCAGATTTGTAACACTCTTTTTGTGGAATTTGCAAGTGGAGATTTCAAGCGCTTTGAGGCCAAAGGCAGAAAAGGAAATATCTTCGTTTCAAAACTAGACAGAATCATTCTCAGAAACTGCTCTGCGATGGGTGCGTTCAACTCTCAGAGTTTAACTTTTCTTTTCATTCAGCAGTTTGGAAACACTCTGTTTGTAAAGTCTGCACGTGGATAACTTGACCACTTAGAGGACTTCGTTGGAAACGGGTTTTTTTCCTGTAAGGCTAGACAGAAGAATTCCCAGTAACTTCCTTGTGTTGTGTACATTCAACTCACAGAGTTGAACGTTCCCTTAGACAGAGCAGATTTGAAACACTCTTTTTGTGCAATTGGCAAATGGAGATTTCAATCGCTTTAAGGTCAATGGCAGAAAAGGAAATATCTTCGTTTCAAAACTAGACAGAATCATTCCCACAAACTGCGTTGTGATGTGTTCGTTCAACTCACAGAGTTTAACCTTTCTTTTCTTAGAGCAGTTAGGAAACAGTCTGTTTGTCAATTCTGTAAGTGGATATTCTGACATCTTGTGGCCTTCGTTGGAAACGGGATTTCTTCATATTCTGCTAGACAGAATAATTCTCAGTAACTTCCCTTGTGTTGTGTGTATTCAACTCACAGAGTTGAACGATCCTTTACACAGAGCAGACTTGAAACACTCTTTTTGTGGAATTTGTAAGTGGAGATTTCAGCCGCTTTGAGGTCAATGGTAGAATAGGAAATATCTTCCTATAGAAACTAGACAGAATGATTCTCAGAAACTCCTTTGTGATGTGTGCGTTCAACTCACAGAGTTTAACCTTTCTTTTCATAGAGCAGTTAGGAAACACTCTGTTTGTAAAGTCTGTAAGTGGATATTCAGACCTCCTTGAGGCCTTCGTTGGAAACGGGATTTCTTCCTATTATGCTAGACAGAAGAATTCTCAGTAACTTCCTTGTGTTGTGTGTATTCAACTCACAGAGTTGAACGATCCTTTACACAGAGCAGACTTGAAACACACTTTTTGTGGAATTTGCAAGTGGAGATTTCAGCCGCTTTGGGTTCAATGGTAGAATAGGAAATATCTTCCTATAGAAACTAGACAGAATCATTCTCAGAAACTGCTCTGCGATGTGTGCGTTCAACTCTCAGAGTTTAACTTTTCTTTTCATTCAGCAGTTTGGAAACACTCTGTTTGTAAAGTCTGCACGTGGATACTTTGACCACTTAGAGGCCTTCGTTGGAAACGGGTTTTTTTCCTGTAAGGCTAGACAGAAGAATTCCCAGTAACTTCCTTGTGTTGTGTGCATTCAACTCACAGAGTTGAACGTTCCCTTAGACAGAGCAGATTTGAAACATCCTATTTGTGCAATTTGCAAGTGTAGATTTCAAGCGCTTTAAGGTCAACGGCAGAAAAGGAAATATCTTCCTTTCAAAACTAGACAGAATCATTCCCACAAACTGCGTTGTGATGTGTTCGTTCAACTCACAGAGTTTAACCTTTCTTTTCATAGAGCAGTTAGGAAACAGTCTGTTTGTAAATTTTGTAAGTGGATATTCTGACATCTTGTGGCCTTCGTTGGAAACGGGATTTCTTCATATTCTGCTAGACAGAAGAATTCTCAGTAACTTCCTTGTGTTGCGTGTATTCAACTCACAGAGTTGAACGATCCTTTACCCAGAGCGGACTTGAAACACTCTTTTTGTGGAATTTGCAAGTGGAGATTTCAGCCGCTTTGAGGTCAATGGTAGAAAAGGAAATATCTTCTTATACAGACTAGACAGAATGATTCTCAGAAACTCCTTTGTGATGTGTGCGTTCAACTCACAGAGTTCAACCTTTCTTTTCATAGAGCAGTTGGGAAACACTCTGTTTGTAAAGTCTGCAAGTGGATATTCAGACCTCCTTGAGGCCTTCGTTGGAAACGGGATTTCTTCATATTCTGCTAGACAGAAGAATTCCCAGTAACTTCCTTGTGTTGTGTGTGTTCAACTCACAGAGTTAAACTTTCATTTACCCAGAGCAGATTTGAAACACTCTTTTTGTGGAATTTGAAAGTGGAGATTTCAAGCGCTTTGAGGCCAAAGGCAGAAAAGGAAATATCTTCGTTTCAAAACTAGACAGAATCATTCTCAGAAAGTGCTCTGCGATGTGTGCGTTCAACTCTCAGAGTTTAACTTTGCTTTTCATTCAGCAGTTTGGAAACACTCTGTTTGTAAAGTCTGCACGTGGATAATTTGACCACTTAGAGGCCTTCGTTGGAAACGGGTTTTTTTCATGTAAGGCTAGACAGAAGAGTTCTCAGTAACTTCCTTGTGTTGTGTGTATTCAACTCACACAGTTGAACGATCCTTTACAGAGAGCAGACTTGTAACACTCTTTTTGTGGAATTTGCAAGTGGAGATTTCAGCCGCTTTGAAGTTAAAGTAGAAAAGGAAATATCTTCCTATAAAAACTAGACAGAATGATTCTCAGAAACTCCTTTGTGATGTGTGCGTTCAACTCACAGAGTTTAACCTTTCTTTTCATGGAGCAGTTAGGAAACACACTGTTTGTAAAGTCTGCAAGTGGATATTCAGACCTCCTTGAGGCCTTCTTTGGAAACGGGATTTCTTCATATTCTGCTAGACAGAATAATTCTCAGTAACTTCCTTGTGTTGTGTGTATTCAACTCACAGAGTTGAACGATCCTTTACACAGAGCAGACTTGAAACACTCTTTTTGTGGAATTTGCAAGTGGAGATTTCAGCCGCTTTGAGGTCAATGGTAGAAAAGGAAATATCTTCGTATAAAGACTAGACAGAATGATTCTCAGAAACTCCTTTTTGATGTGTGCGTTCAACTCACAGAGTTTAACCTTTCTTTTAATAGAGCAATTAGGAAACACTCTGTTTCTAAAGTCTGCAAGTGGATATTCAGACCTCTTAGCGGCCTTCGTTGGAAACGGGATTTCTTCATATTTTGCTAGACAGAAGAATTCTCAGTAACTTCCTTGTGTTGTGTGCATTCAACTCACAGAGTTGAACGATCCTTTACACAGAGCAGATTGGAAACACTCTTTTTGTGGAACTGCAAGAGGAGATTTCAGCCGCTTTGAGGTCAATGGTAGAAAAGGAAATATCTTCGTATAAAAACTAGACAGAATCATTCTCAGAAACTGCTCTGCGATGTGTGCGTTCAACTCTCAGAGTTTAACTTTTCTTTTCATTCAGCAGTTTGGAAACACTCTGTTTGTAAAGTCTGCACGTGGATATTTTGACCACTTAGAGGCCTTCGTTGGAAACGGGTTTTTTTCCTGTAAGGCTAGAGAGAAGAATTCCCAGGAACTTCCTTGTGTTGTGTACATTCAACTCACAGAGTTGAACGTTCCCTTAGACAGAGCAGATTTGAAACACTCTTTTTGTGCAATTGGCAAGTGGTGATTTCAGCAGCTTTGAGGTCAATGGTAGAAAAGGAAATATCTTCGTATAAAAACTAGACAGAATGATTCTCAGAAACTCCTTTGTGATGTGTGCGTTCAACTCACAGAGTTCAACCTTTCCTTTCATAGAGCAGTTGGGAAACACTCTGTTTGTAAAGTCTGCAAGTGGATATTCAGACTTTGAGGCCTTCGTTGGAAGCGGGATTTCTTCATATTCTGCTAGACAGAAGAATTCTCAGTAACTGCCTTGTGTTGTGTGTATTCAACTCACAGAGTTGCACGATCCTTTACACAGAGCAGACTTGAAACACTCTTTTTGTGGAATTTGCAAGTGGAGATTTCAGCCGCTTTGAGGTCAATGGTAGAATAGGAAATATCTTCCTATAGAAACTAGACAGAATGATTCTCAGAAACTTCTTTGTGATGTGTGCGTTCAACTCACAGAGTTTAACCTTTCTTTTCATAGAGCAGTTAGGAAACACTCTGTTTGTAAAGTCTGCAAGTGGATATTCAGACCTCCTTGAGGCCTTCGTTGGAAGCGGGATTTCTTCATGTTCTGCTAGACAGAAGAATTCTCAGAAACTTTCTTGTGTTGTGTGTTTTCAACTCACAGAGTTGAACGATCCTTTACACAGAGCAGACTTGAAACACTCCTTTTGTGGAATTTGCAAGTGGAGATTTCAGCCGCTTTGAGGTCAATGGTAGAATAGGAAATATCTTCCTATAGAAAGTAGACAGAATCATTCTCAGAAACTGCTGCGTGATGTGTGCGTTCAACTCTCAGAGTTTAACTTTTCTTTTCATTCAGCGGTTTGGAAACACTCTGTTTGTAAAGTCTGCACGTGGATATTTTGACCACTTAGACGCCTTCGTTGGAAACGGGTTTTTTTCATGTAAGGCTAGACAGAAGAATTCCCAGTAACTTTCCTTGTGTTGTGTGCATTCAACTCACAGAGTTGAACGTTCCCTTAGACAGAGCAGATTTGAAACACTCTATTTGTGCAATTTGCAATTGTAGATTTCAAGCGTTTTAAGGTCAATGGCAGAAAAGGAAATATCTTCGTTTCAAAACTAGACAGAATCATTCTCAGAAACTGCTCTGCGATGTGTGCGTTCAACTCTCAGAGTTTAACTTTTCTTTTCATTCAGCAGTTTGGAAACACTCTGTTTGTAAAGTCTGCACGTGGATAATTTGACCACTTAGAGGTCTTCGTTGGAAACGGGTTTTTTTCATGTAAGGATAGACAGAAGAATTCTCAGTAACTTCCTTGTGTTGTGTGTATTCAACTCACAGAGTTGAACGATCCTTTACACAGAGCAGACTTGTAACACTCTTTTTGTGGAATTTGCAAGTGGAGATTTCAGCCGCTTTGAAGTCAAAGGTAGAAAAGGAAATATCTTCCTATAAACACTAGACAGAATGATTCTCAGAAACTCCTTTGTGCTGTGTGCGTTCAACTCACAGAGTTTAACCTTTCTTTTCATAGAACAGTTAGTAAACACTCTGTTTGTAAAGTCTGCAAGTGGATATTCAGACACCTTTGAGGCTTTCGTTGGAAACGGGATTTCTTCATATTCTGCTAGACAGAAGAATTCTCAGTAACTTCCTTGTGTTGTGTGTATTCAACTGACAGAGTTGAACTTTCATTTAGAGAGAGCAGATTTGAAACACTGTTTTTGTGGAATTTGCCAGTGGAGATTTCAAGCGCATTGGGGCCAAAGGCAGAAAAGGAAATATCTTCGTATAAAAACTAGACAGAATCATTCTCAGAAACTGCTGCGTGATGTGTGCGTTCAACTCTCAGAGTTTAACTTTTCTTTTCATTCAGCGGTTTGGAAACACTCTGTTTGTAAAGTCTGCACGTGGATATTTTGACCACTTAGAGGCCTTCGTTGGAAACGGGTTTTTTTTCATGTAAGGCTAGACAGAAGAATTCCCAGTAACTTCCTTGTGTTGTGTGCATTCAACTCACAGAGTTGAACGTTCCCTTAGACAGAGCAGATTTGAAACACTCTATTTGTGCAATTTGCAAGTGTAGATTTCAAGTGCTTTAAGGTCAACGGCAGAAAAGGAAATATCTTCGTTTCAAAACTAGACAGAATCATTCCCACAAACTGCGTTGTGATGTGTTCGTTCAACTCACAGAGTTTAACCTTTCTTTTCATAGAGCAGTTAGGAAACAGTCTGTTTGTAAATTCTGTAAGTGGATATTCTGACATCCTGTGGCCTTCGTTGGAAACGGGATTTCTTCATATTCTGCTAGACAGAAGAATTCTCAGTAACTTCCTTGTGTTGTGTTTATTCAACTCACAGAGTTGAATGGTCCTTTACACAGAGCAGACTTGAAACACTCTTTTTGTGGAATTTGCAAGTGGAGATTTCAGCCGCTTTGAGGTCAATGGTAGAAAAGTAAATATCTTCCTATAAAGACTAGACAGAATGATTCTCAGAAACTCCTTTATGATGTGTGCATTCAACTCACAGAGTTTAACCTTTCTTTTCATAGAGCAGTTAGGAAACACTCTGCTTGTAAAGTCTGCAAGTGGATATTCAGCCCTCTTTGAGGCCTTCGTTGGAAACGGGTTTTTTTCATATAAGGCTAGACAGAAGAATTCCCAGTAACTTCCTTGTGTTGTGTGTGTTCAACTCACAGAGTTGAACTTTCATTTACACAGAGCAGATTTGAAACACTCTTTTTGTGGAATTTGCAAGTGGAGATTTCAAGCGCTTTGAGGCCAAAGGCAGAAAAGGAAATATCTTCGCATAAAAACTAGACAGAATCATTCTCAGAAACTGCTCTGCGATGTGTGCGTTAAACTCTCAGAGTTTAACTTTTCTTTCATTCAGCAGTTTGGAAACACTCTGTTTGTAAAGTCTGCACGTGGA
Source organism: Homo sapiens (assembly GCF_000001405.40). Classification (NCBI taxonomy): domain Eukaryota; kingdom Metazoa; phylum Chordata; class Mammalia; order Primates; family Hominidae; genus Homo; species Homo sapiens. The sequence goes on from NC_000019.10 coordinate 26,477,136, forward strand.
TATTTTGACCACTTAGAGGCCTTCGTTGGAAACGGTTTTTTTTCCTGTAAGGCTAGACAGAAGAATTCCCAGTAACTTCCTTGTATTGTGTACATTCAACTCACAGAGTTGAACGTTCCCTTAGACAGAGCAGATTTGAAACACTCTTTTTGTGCAATTGGCAAATGGAGATTTCAAGCGCTTTAAGGTCAATGGCAGAAAAGGAAATATCTTCGTTTCAAAACTAGACAGAATCATTCCCACAAACTGCGTTGTGATGTGTTCGTTCAACTCACAGAGTTTAACCTTTCTGTTCATAGAGCAGTTAGGAAACACTCTGTTTGTAAAGTCTGCAAGTGGATATTCAGACCTCCTAGAGGCCTTCGTTGGAAACGGGATTTCTCCATATTCTGCTAGACAGAAGAATTCTCAGTAACTTCCTTGTGTTGTGTGTATTCAACTCACAGAGTTGAACGATCCCTTTACACAGAGCAGACTTGTAACACTCTTTTTGTGGAATTTGCAAGTGGAGATTTCAGCCGCTTTGAAGTCAAAGGTAGAAAAGGAAATATCTTCCTATAAAAACTAGACAGAATGATTCTCAGAAAATCCTTTGTGATGTGTGCGTTCAACTCACAGAGTTTAACTTTTCTTTTCATAGAGCAGTTAGGAAACACTCTGTTTGTAAAGTCTGCAAGTGGATATTCAGACCTCTTTGAGGCCTTCGTTGGAAACGGGATTTCTTCATATTCTGCTAGACAGAAGAATTCTCAGTAACTTCCTTGTGTTGTGTGTATTCAACTGACAGAGTTGAACTTTCATTTAGAGAGAGCAGATTGAAACACTGTTTTTGTGGAATTTGCAAGTGGAGATTTCAAGCGCTTTGTGGCCAAAGGCAGAAAACGAAATATCTTCGTATAAAAACTAGACAGAATCATTCTCAGAAACTGCTGCGTGATGTGTGCGTTCAACTCTCAGAGTTTAACTTTTCTTTTCATTCAGCGGTTTGGAAACACTCTGTTTGTAAAGTCTGCACGTGGATATTTTGACCACTTAGAGGCCTTCGTTGGAAACGGGTTTTTTTCATGTAAGGTTAGACAGAAGAATTCTCAGTAACTTCCTTGTGTGGTGTGTATTCAACTCACAGAGGTGTACGATCCTTTACACAAAGCAGACTTGAAACACTCTTTTTGTGGAATTTGCAAGTGGAGATTTCAGCCGCTTTGAGGTCAATGGTAGAAAAGGAAATATCTTCGCATAAAGAATAGACAGAATGATTCTCAGAAACTCCTTTGTGATGTGTGCGTTCAACTCACAGAGTTTAACCTTTCTGTTCATAGAGCAGTTAGGAAACACTCTGTTTGTAAAGTCTGCAAGTGGATATTCAGACCTCCTTGAGGCCTTCGGTGGAAACGGGATTTCTTCATATTATGCTAGACAAAAGAATTCTCAGTAACTTCCTTGTGTTGTGTGTATTCAACTCACAGAGTTGAACGATCCTTTACACAGAGCAGACTTGAAACACTGTTTTTGTGGAATTTGCAAGTGGAGATTTCAGCCGCTTTGAGGTCAATGGTAGAATAGGAAATATCTTCCTATAGAAACTAGACAGAATGATTCTCAGAAACTCCTTTGTGATGTGTGCGTTCAACTCACAGAGTTTAACCTTTCTTTTCATAGAGCAGTTAGGAAACACTCTGTTTGTACAGTCTGCAAGTGGATATTCAGACATCCTTGAGGCTTTTGTTGGAAACGGGATTTCTTCATATTCTGCTAGAAAGAAGAATTCTCAGTAACTTCCTTGTGTTGTGTGTATTCAACTGACAGAATTGAACTTTCATTTAGAGAGAGCAGATTTGAAACACTGTTTTTGTGGAAATTGCAAGTGGAGATTTCAAGCGCTTTGGGGCCAAAGGCAGAAAAGGAAATATCTTCGTATAAAAAGTAGACAGAATCATTCTCAGAAACTGCTGCGTGATGTGTGCGTTCAACTCTCAGAGTTTAACTTTTCTTTTCATTCAGCGGTTTGGAAACACTCTGTTTGTAAAGTCTGCACGTGGATATTTTGACCACTTAGAGGCCTTCGTTGGAAACGGGTTTTTTTCATGTAAGGCTAGACAGAAGAATTCCCAGTAACTTCCTTGTGTTGTGTGCATTCAACTCACAGAGTTGAACGTTACCTTAGACAGAGCAGATTTGAAACACTCTATTTGTGCAATTTGCAAGTGTAGATTTCAAGCGCTTTAAGGTCAATGGCAGAAAAGGAAATATCTTCGTTTCAAAACTAGACAGAATCATTCCCACAAACTGCGTTGTGATGTGTTCGTTCAACTCACAGAGTTTAACCTTTCTTTTCATAGAGCAGTTAGGAAACAGTCTGTTTGTCAATTCTGTAAGTGGATATTCTGACATCTTGTGGCCTTCGTTGGAAACGGGATTTCTTCATATTCTGCTAGAAAGAAGAATTCTCAGTAACTTCCTTGTGTTGTGTGTATTCAACTCACAGAGTTGAACGATCTTTTACACAGAGCAGACTTGAAACACTCTTTTTGTGGAATTTGCAAGTGGAGATTTCAGCCCTTTTGAGGTCAATGGTAGAAAAGGAAATATCTTCGTATAAAGACTAGACAGAATGATTCTCAGAAACTCCTTTGTGATGTGTGCGTTCAACTCACAGAGTTTAACCTTTCTTTTCATAGAGCAGTTGGGAAACACTCTGTTTGTAAAGTCTGCAAGTGGATATTCAGACATCCTTGAGGCTTTCGTTGGAAACAGGATTTCTTCATATTCTGCTAGAAAGAAGAATTCCCAGTACCTTCCTTGTGTTGTGTGTGTTCAACTCACAGAGTTGAACTTTCATTTACACAGAGCAGATTTGAAACACTCTTTTTGTGGAATTTGCAAGTGGAGATTTCAAGCGCTTTGAGGCCAAAGGCAGAAAAGGAAATATCTTCGTTTCAAAACTAGACAGAATCATTCTCAGAAACTGCAGCGTGATGTGTGTGTTCAACTCTCAGAGTTTAACTTTTCTTTTCATTCAGCGGTTTGGAAACACTCTGTTTGTAAAGTCTGCACGTGGAAATTTTGACCACTTAGAGGCCTTCGTTGGAAACGGGTTTTTTTCATGTAAGGCTAGACAGAAGAATTCCCAGTAACTTCCTTGTGTTGTGTGCATTCAACTCACAGAGTTGAACGTTCCCTTAGACAGAGCAGATTTGAAACACTCTATTTGTGCAATTTGCAAGTGTAGATTTCAAGCGCTTTAAGGTCAATGGCAGAAAAGGAAATACCTTCGTTTCAAAACTAGACAGAATCATTCCCACAAACTGCGTTGTGATGTGTTCGTTCATCTCACAGAGTTTAACCTTTCTTTTCATAGAGCAGTTAGGAAACATTCTGTTTGTAAATTCTGTAAGTGGATATTCTGACATCTTGTGGCCTTCGTTGGAAACGGGATTTCTTCATATTCTGCTAGACAGAAGAATTCTCAGAATCTTCCTTGTGTTGTGTGTATTCAACTCACACAGTTGAACGATGGTTTACACAGAGCAGATTTGAAACACTCTTTTTGTGGAATTTGCAAGTGGAGATTTCAGCCGCTTTGAGGTCAATGGTAGAAAAGGAAATATCTTCGTATAAAAACTAGAGAGAATGATTCTGAGAAACTCCTTTGTGATGTGTGCGTTCAACTCACACACTTTAACCTTTCTTTTCATAGAGCAATTAGGAAACACTCTGTTTGTAAAGTCTGCAAGTGGATATTCAGACCTCCTTGAGGCCTTCTTTGGAAACGGGATTTCTTCATATTCTGCTAGACAGAAAAATTCTCAGAATCTTCCTTGTGTTGTGTGTATTCAACTCACAGAGTTGAACGATCCTTTACACAGAGCAGATTTGAAACACTCTTTTTGTGGAATTTGCAAGTGGAGATTTCAAGCGCTTTGAGGCTAAAGGCAGAAAAGGAAAATATCTTCGTATAACAACTAGACAGAATCATTCTCAGAAACTGCTGCGTGATGTGTGCGTTCAACTCTCAGAGTTTAACTTTTCTTTTCATTCAGCGGTTTGGAAACACTCTGTTTGTAAAGTCTGCACATGGATATTTTGCCCACTTAGAGGCCTTCGTTGGAAACGGGTTTTTTTCATGTAAGGCTAGACAGAAGAATTCCCAGTAACTTCCTTGTGTTGTGTGCATTCAACTCACAGAGTTGAACGTTCCCTTAGACAGAGCAGATTTGAAACACTCTATTTGTGCAATTTGCAAGTGTAGTTTTCAAGCTCTTTAAGGTCAACGGCAGAAAAGGAAATATCTTGGTTTCAAAACTAGACAGAATCATTCCCACAAACTGCGTTGTGATGTATTCGTTCAACTCACAGAGTTTAACCTTTCTGTTCATAGAGCAGTTAGGAAACACTCTGTTTGTAAAGTCTGTAAGTGGATATTCTGACATCTTGTGGCCCTTCGTTGGAAACGGGATTTCTTCATATTCTGCTAGACAGAAGAATTCTCAGTAACTTCCTTGTGTTGTGTGTATTCAACTCACAGAGTTGAACGATCCTTTACACAGAGCAGACTTGAAACACTCTTTTTGTGGAATTTGCAAGTGGAGATTTCAGCCGCTTTGAGGTCAATGGTAGAATAGGAAATATCTTCCTATAGAAACTAGACAAACGATTCTCAGAAACTCCTTTGTGATGTGTGCGTTCAACTCACAGAGTTTAACCTTTCTGTTCATAGAGCAGTTAGGAAACACTCTATTTGTAAAGTCTGCAAGTGGATATTCAGACCTCTTTGAGGCCTTCGTTGGAAACGGGATTTCTTCATATTCTGCTAGACAGAAGAATTCCCAGTAACTTCCTTGTGTTGTGTGTGTTCAACTCACAGAGTTGAACTTTCATTTACAAAGAGCATATTTGAAACACTCTTTTTGTGGAATTTGCAAGTGGAGATTTCAAGCGCTTTGAGGCCAAAGGCAGAAAAGGAAATATCTTCGTATAAAAACTAGACAGAATCATTCTCAGAAACTGCTCTGCGATGTGTGCGTTCAACTCTCAGAGTTTAACTTTTCTTTTCATTCAGCAGTTTGGAAACACTCTGTTTGTAAAGTCTGCACGTGGATATTTTGACCACTTACAGGCCTTCGTTGGAAACGGGTTTTTTTCCTGTAAGGCTAGACAGAAGAATTCCCAGTAACTTCCTTGTGTTGTGTGCTTTCAACTCACAGAGTTGAACGTTCCCTTAGACAGAGCAGATTTGAAACACTCTATTTGTGCAATTTGCAAGTGTAGATTTCAAGCGCTTTAAGGTCAATGGCAGAAAAGGAAATATCTTCGTTTCAAAACTAGACAGAATCATTCCCACAAACAGCGTTGTGATGTGTTCGTTCAACTCACAGAGTTTAACCTTTCTTTTCATAGAGCAGTTAGGAAAGAGTCTGTTTGTCAATTCTGTAAGTGGATATTCTGACATCTTGTGGCATTCGTTGGAAACGGGATTTCTTCATATTCTGCTAGACAGAAGAATTCTCAGTAACTTCCTTGTGTTGTGTGTATTCAACTCACAGAGTTGAACGATCCTTTACACAGAGCAGACTTGAAACATTCTTTTTGTGGAATTTGCAAGTGGAGATTTCAGCCGCTTTGTGGTCAATGGTAGAATAGGAAATATCTTCCTATAGAAACTAGACAGAATGATTCTCAGAAACTTCTTTGTGATGTGTGCGTTCAACTCACAGAGTTTAACCTTTCTTTTCATAGAGCAGTTAGGAAACACTCTGTTTGTAAACTCTGCAAGTGGACATTCAGACCTCTTTGAGGCCTTCGTTGGAAACGGGATTTCTTCATACTGTGCTAGACAGAAGAATTCTCAGAATCTTCCTTGTGTTGTGTGTATTCAACTCACACAGTTGAACGATCCTTTACACAGAGCAGACTTGGAACACTCTTTTTGTGGAATTTGCAAGTGGAGATTTCAGCCGCTTTGAAGTCAAATGTAGAAAAGGAAATATCTTCCTATAAAAACTAGACAGAATCATTCTCAGAAAATCCTCTGTGATGTGTGCGTTCAACTCTCAGAGTTTAACTTTTCTTTTCATTCAGCAGTTCAGAAACACTCTGTTTGTAAAGTCTGCACGTGGATATTTTGACCACTTAGAGGCCTTCGTTGGAAACGGGTTTTTTTCATATAAGGGTAGACAGGAGAATTCCCAGTAACTTCCTTGTGTTGTGTGCATTCAACTCACAGAGTTGAACGTTCCCTTAGACAGAGCAGATTTGAAACACTCTATTTGTGCAATTTGCAAGTGTAGATTTCAAGCGCTTTAAGGTCAACGGCAGAAAAGGAAATATCTTCGTTTCAAAACTAGACAGAATCATTCCCACAAACTGCGTTGTGATGTGTTCGTTCAACTCACAGAGTTTAACCTTTCTGTTCATAGAGCAGTTAGGAAACACTCTGTTTGTAAAGTCTGTAAGTGGATATTCAGACATCTTGTGGCCTTCGTTGGAAACGGGATTTCTTCATATTCTGCTAGACAGAAGAATTGTCAGAAACTTCCTTGTGTTGTGTGTCTTCAACTCACAGAGTTAAACGATGCTTTACACAGAGTAGACTTGAAACACTCTTTTTCTGGAATTTGCAAGTGGAGATTTCAGCCGCTTTGAGGTCAATGGTAGAAAAGGAAATATCTTCGTATAAAAACTAGACAGAATGATTCTCAGAAACTCCTTTGTGATGTGTGCGTTCAACTCACAGAGTTTAACTTTTCTTCTCATAGAGCAGTTAGGAAACACTCTGTTTGTAAAGTCTGCAAGTGGATATTCAGACCTCTTTGAGGTCTTCGTTGGAAACGGGATTTCTTCATATTATGCTAGACAGAAGAATTCTCAGTAACTTCCTTGTGTTGTGTGTATTCAACTGACAGAGTTGAACTTTCATTTAGACAGAGCAGATTTGAAACACTCTTTTTCCGGAATTTGCAAGTGGAGATTTCAAGCGCTTTGAGGCCAAAGGCAGAAAAGGAAATATCTTCGTATAAAAACTAGACAGAATCATTCTCAGAAACTGCTCTGTGATGTGTGCGTTCAACTCTCAGAGTTTAACTTTTCTTTTCATTCAGCAGTTTGGAAACACTCTGTTTGTAAAGTCTGCACGTGGATATTTTGACCACTTAGAGGCCTTCGTTGGAAACGGGTTTTTTTCATGTAAGGCTAGACAGAAGAATTCCCAGTAATTTCCTTGTATTGTGTGCATTCAACTCACAGAGTTGAACGTTCCCTTAGACAGAGCAGATTTGAAACACTCTATTTGTGCAATTTGCAAGTGTAGATTTCAAGCGCTTTAAGGTCAATGGCAGAAAAGGAAATATCTTCGTTTCAAAACTAGACAGAATCATTCCCACAAACTGCGTTGTGATGTGTGCGTTCAACTCACAGAGTTTAACCTTTCTTTTCATAGAGCAGTTAGGAAACAGTCTGTTTGTCAATTCTGTAAGTGGATATTCTGACATCTTGTGGCCTTCGTTGGAAACGGGATTTCTTCATATTCTCCTAGACAGAAGAATTCTCAGTAACTTCCTTGTGTTGTGTGTATTCAACTCACAGAGTTGAACGATCCTTTACACAGAGCAGACTTGAAACACTCTTTTTCTGGAATTTGCAAGTGGAGATTTCAGCCGCTTTGAGGTCAATGGTAGAATAGGAAATATCTTTCTATAGAAACTAGACAGAATGATTCTGAGAAACTCCTTTGTGATGTGTGCGTACAACTCACAGAGTTTAACCTTTCTTTTCATAGAGCAGTTGGGAAACACTCCGTTTGTAAACTCTGCAAGTGGATATTCAGACCTCCTTGAGGCCTTCGTTGGAAACGGGATTTCTTCATATTATGCTAGACAGAAGAATTCTCAGTAACTTCCTTGTGTTGTGTGTATTCAACTGACAGCAGTTGAACTTTCATTTAGAGAGAGCAGATTTGAAACACTGTTTTTGTGGAATTTGCAATTGGAGATTTCAAGCGCTTTGGGGCCAAAGGCAGAAAAGGAAATATCTTCGTATAAAAACTACACAGAATCATTCTCCGAAACTGCTCTGCGATGTGTGCGTTCAACTCTCAGAGTTTAACTTCTCTTTTCATTCAGCAGTTTGGAAACACTCTGTTTGTAAAGTCTGCACGTGGATAACTTGACCACTTAGAGGCCTTCGTTGGAAACGGGTTTTTTTCATGTAAGGCTAGACAGAAGAATTCTCAGTAACTTCCTTCTGTTGTGTGTATTCATCTCACAGAGTTGAACGATCCTTTACACAGAGCAGACTTGTAACACTCTTTTTGTGCAATTGGCAAATGGAGATGTCAAGCGCTTTAAGGTCAATTGCAGAAAAGAAAATATCTTCGTTTCAAAACTAGACAGAATGATTCTCAGAAACTTCTTTGTGATGTGTGCGTTCAACTCACAGAGTTTAACCTTATTTTTCATAGAGCAGTTAGGAAACACTCTGTTTGTAAACTCTGCAAGTGGATATTCAGACCTCTTTGGGGCCTTCGTTGGAAACGGGATTTCTTCATACTATGCTAGACAGAAGAATTCTCAGTAACTTCCTTGTGTTGTGTGTATTCAACTCACAGAGTTGAACGATCCTTTACACAGAGCAGACTTGAAACACTCTTTTTGTGGAATTTGCAAGTGGAGATTTCAAGCGCTTTGAGGCCAAAGGCAGAAAAGGAAATATCTTCGTATAAAAACTAGACAGAATGATTCTCAGAAACTTCTTTGTGATGTGTGTGTTCAACTCACAGAGTTTAACCTTTCTTTTCATAGAGCAGTTAGGAAACACTGTGTTTTTAAACTCTGCAAGTGGATATTCAGACCTCTTTGAGGCCTTTCCTTGGAAACGGGTTTCTTCATACTGTGCTAGACAGAAGAATTCTCAGTAACTTCCTTGTGTTGTGTGTATTCAACTGACAGAGTTGAACTTTCATTTAGAGAGAGCAGATTTGAAACACTGTTTTTGTGGAATTTGCAAGTGGAGATTTCAAGCGCTTTGGGGCCAAAGGCAGAAAAGGAAATATCTTCGTATAAAAATTAGACAGAATCATTCTCAGAAACTGCTGCGTGATGTGTGCGTTCAACTCTCAGAGTTTAACTTTTCTTTTCATTCAGCGGTTTGGAAACACTCTGTTTGTAAAGTCTGCACGTGGATATTTTGCCCACTTAGAGGCCTTCGTTGGAAACGGGTTTTTTTCATGTAAGGCTAGACAGAAGAATTCCCAGTAACTTCCTTGTGTTGTGTACATTCAACTCACAGAGTTGAACGTTCCCTTAGACAGAGCAGATTTGAAACACTCTTTTTGTGCAATTGGCAAATGGAGATTTCAAGCGCTTTAAGGTCAATGGCAGAAAAGGGAATATCTTCGTTTCAAAACTAGACAGAATCATTCCCACAAACTGCGTTGTGATGTGTTCGTTCAACTCACAGAGTTTAACCTTTCTGTTCATAGAGCAGTTAGGAAACACTCTGTTTGTAAAGTCTGTAAGTGGATATCCTGACATCTTGTGGCCTTCGTTGGAAAAGGGATTTCTTCATATTCTGCTAGACAGAAGAATTCTCAGAAACTTCCTGGTGTTGCGTGTTTTCAACTCACAGAGTTCTACGATCCTTTACACAGAGTAGACTTGAAAAACTCTTTTTGTTGAATTGGCCAGTGGAGATTTCAGCCGCTTTGAGGTCAATGGTAGAAAAGGAAATATCTTCGTATAAAAACTAGACAGAATGATTCTCAGAAACTCCTTTGTGATGTGTGCGTTCAACTCACAGAGTTTAACCTTTCTTTTCATAGAGCAGTTAGGAAACACTCTGTTTGTAAAGTCTGCAAGTGGATATTCAGACATCTTTGAGGCTTTCGTTGGAAACGGGATTTCATCATATTCTGCTAGACAGAAGAATTCCCAGTAACTTCCTTGTGTTGTGTGTGTTCAACTCACAGAGTTGAACTTTCATTTACACAGAGCAGATTTGAAACACTCTTTTTGTGGAATTTGCAAGTGGAGATTTCAAGCGCTTTGAGGCCAAAGCAGAAAAGGAAATATCTTCGTTTCAAAACTAGACAGAATCATTCTCAGAAACTGCTGCGTGATGTGTGCGTTCAACTCTCAGAGTTTAACTTTTCTTTTCATTCAGCGGTTTGGAAACACTCTGTTTGTAAAGACTGCACGTGGATATTTTGACCCCTTAGAGGTCTTCGTTGGAAACGGGTTTTTTTCATGTAAGGCTAGACAGAAGAATTCCCAGTAACTTCCTTGTGTTGTGTGCATTCAACTCACAGAGTTGAACGTTCCCTTAGACAGAGCAGATTTGAAACACTCTATTTGTGCAATTTGCAAGTGTAGTTTTCAAGCTCTTTAAGGTCAACGGCAGAAAAGGAAATATCTTCGTTTCAAAACTAGACAGAATCATTCCCACAAACTGCGTTGTGATGTGTTCGTTCAACTCACAGAGTTTAACCTTTGTTTTCATAGAGGAGTTAGGAAACAGTCTGTTTGTAAATTCTGTAAGTGGATATTCTGACATCTTGTGGCCTTCGTTGGAAACGGGATTTCTTCATATTCTGCTAGACAGAAGAATTCTCAGTTACTTCCTTGTGTTGTGTGTATTCAACTCAAAGAGTTCAACGATCCTTTCTACAGGGCAGACTTGAAACACTCTTTTTGTGGAATTTGCAAGTGGAGATCTCAGCCGCTTTGTGGTCAATAGTAGAAAAGGAAATATCTTCGTATAAAAACTAGACAGAATGATTCTCAGAAACTCCCTTGTGATGTGTGCGTTCAACTCACAGAGTTTAACCTTTCTTTTCATAGAGCAGTTAGGAAACACTCTGTTTGTAAAGTCTGCAAGTGGATATTCAGACTTCTTTGAGGCCTTCGTTGGAAACGGGATTTCTTCATATTCTGCTAGACAGAAGAATTCTCAGTAACTTCCTTGTGTTGTGTGTATTCAACTGACAGAGTTGAACTTTCATTTAGAGACAGCAGATTTGAAACACTGTTTTTGTGGAAGTTGCAAGTGGAGATTTCAAGCGCTTTGGGGCCAAAGGCAGAAAAGGAAATATCTTCGTATAAAAACTAGACAGAATCATTCTCAGAAAATGCTCTGTGATGTGTGCGTTCAACTCTCAGAGTTTAACTTTTCTTTTCATTCAGCAGTTTGGAAACACTCTGTTTGTAAAGTCTGCACGTGGATATTTTGACCACTTAGAGGCCTTCGTTGGAAACGGGTTTTTTTCATGTAAGGGTAGAAAGAAGAATTCCCAGTAACTTCCTTGTGTTGTGTGCATTCAACTCACAGAGTTGAACGTTCCTTTAGACAGAGCAGATTTGAAACACTCTATTTGTGCAATTTGCAAGTGTAGTTTTCAAGCTCTTTAAGGTCAACGGCAGAAAAGGAAATATCTTGGTTTCAAAACTAGACAGAATCATTCCCACAAACTGCGTTGTGATGTGTTCGTTCAACTCACAGAGTTTAACCTTTCTTTTCATAGACCAGTTAGGAAACAGTCTGTGTGTAAATTCTGTAAGTGGATATTCTGACATCTTGTGGCCTTCGTTGGAAACGGGATTTCTTCATATTCTGCTAGACAGAAGAATTCTCAGAATCTTCCTTGTGTTCTGTGTATTCAACTCACAGAGTTGAACGATCCTTTACACAGAGCAGACTTGAAACACTCTTTTTGTGGAATTTGCAAGTGGAGATTTCAGCCGCTTTGAGGTCCATGGTAGAAAAGGAAATATCTTCGTATAAAAACTAGACAGAATGATTCTCAGAAACTTCATTGTGATGTGTGCGTTCAACTCACAGAGTTTAACCTTTCTTTTCATAGAGCAGTTAGGAAGCACTCTGTTTGTCAACTCTGCAAGTGGATATTCAGACCTCTTTGAGGCCTTCGTTGGAAACGGGATTTCTTCATACTGTGCTAGACAGAAGAAATCTCACTAACTTCCTTGTGTTGTGTGTATTCAACTCACAGAGTTGAACGATCCTTTACACAGAGCGGACTTGAAACACTCATTTTGTGGAATTTGCAAGTGGAGATTTCAGCCGCGTTGAGGTCAATGGTAGAAAAGGAAATATCTTCGTATAAAAACTAGACAGAATCATTCTCAGAAACTGCTGCGTGATGTGTGCGTTCAACTCTCAGAGTTTAACTTTTCTTTTCATTCAGCGGTTTGGAAACACTCTGTTTGTAAAGTCTGCACGTGGATATTTTGACCACTTAGAGGCCTTCGTTGGAAACGGGTTTTTTTCATGTAAGGCTAGACAGAAGAATTCCCAGTAACTTCCTTGTGTTGCGTGCATTCAACTCACAGAGTTGAACGTTCCCTTAGACAGAGCAGATTTGAAACACTCTATTTGTGCAATTTGCAAGTGTAGATTTCAAGCGCTTTAAGGTCAACGGCAGAAAAGGAAATATCTTCGTTTCAAAACTAGACAGAATCATTCCCACAAACTGCGTTGTGATGTGTTCGTTCAACTCACAGAGTTTAACCTTTCTTTTCATAGTGCAGTTAGGAAACAGTCTGTTTGTAAATTCTGTAAGTGGATATTCTGACATCTTGTGGCCTTCGTTGGAAACGGGATTTCTTCATATTCTGCTAGACAGAAGAGTTCTCAGTAACTTCCTTGTGTTGTGTGTATTCAACTCACAGAGTTGAACGATCCTTTACACAGAGCAGACTTGTAACACTCTTTTTGTGGAATTTGCAAGTGGAGATTTCAGCCGCTTTGAAGTCAAAGGTAGAAAAGGAAATATCTTCCTATAAAAACTAGACAGAATGATTCTCAGAAACTCCTTTGTGATGTGTGCGTTCAACTCACAGAGTTTAACCTTTCTTTTCATAGAGCAGTTAGGAAACACTCTGTTTGTAAAGTCTGCAAGTGGATATTCAGACCTCTTTGAGGCCTCCGTTGGAAACGGGTTTTTTTCATATAAGGCTAGACAGAAGAATTCCCCAGTAACTTCCCTTGTGTTGTGTGTGTTCAACTCACAGAGTTGAACTTTCATTTACACAGAGCAGATTTGAAACACTCTTTTTGTGGAATTTGCAGGTGGAGATTTCAAGCGCTTTGAGGCCAAAGGCAGAAAAGGAAATATCTTCGTATAAAAACTAGACAGAATCATTCTCAGAAACTGCTCTGCGATGTGTGCGTTCAACTCTCAGAGTTTAACTTTTCTTTTCATTCAACAGTTTGAAAACACTCTCTTTGTAAAGTCTGCACGTGGATATTTTGACCACTTAGAGGCCTTCGTTGGAAACGGGTTTTTTTCTTGTAAGGCTAGACAGAAGAATTCCCAGTAACTTCCTTGTGTTGTGTGCATTCAACTCACAGAGTTGAACCTTCCCTTAGACAGAGCAGATTTGAAACACTCTATTTGTGCAATTTGCAAGTGTAGATTTCAAGCGCTTTAAGGTCAATGGCAGAAAAGGAAATATCTTAGTTTCAAAACTAGACAGAATGATTCTCAGAAACTCTTTTGTGATGTGTGCGTTCAACTCACAGAGTTTAACCTTTCTGTTCATAGAGCTGGTAGGAAACACTCTGTTTGTAAAGTTTGCAAGTGGATATTCAGACCTCCTTGAGGCCTTCGTTGGAAACGGGATTTCTTCATATTCTGCTAGACAGAAGAATTCTCAGTAACTTCCTTGTGTTGTGTGTTTTCAACTCACAGAGTTGAACGATCCTTTACACAGAGCAGACTTGAAACACTCTTTTTGTGGAATTTGCAAGTGGAGATTTCAGCCGCTTTGAGGTCAATGGTAGAATAGGAAATATCTTCCTGTAGAAACTAGACAGAATGATTCTCAGAAACTCCTTTGAGATGTGTGCGTTCAACTCACAGAGTTTAACCTTTCTTTTCATAGAGCAGTTAGGAAACACTCTGTTTGTAAAGTCTCCAAGTGGATATTCAGACCTCTTTGAGGCCTTCGTTGGAAACGGGTTTTTTTCATATAAGGCTAGACAGAAGAATTCTCAGTAACTTCCTTCTGTTGTATGTATTCAACTGACAGAGTTGAACTTTCATTTAGAGAGAGCAGATTTGAAACACTGTTTTTGTGGAATTTGCAAGTGGAGATTTCAAGCGCTTCGGGGCCAAAGGCAGAAAAGGAAATATCTTCGTATAAAAACTAGACAGAATCATTCTCAGAAACTGCTGCGTGATGTGTGGGATTACCTCTCAGAGTTTTACTTTTCTTTTCATTCAGCGGTTTGGAAACACTCTGTTTGTAAAGTCTGCACGTGGATATTTTGACCACTTAGAGGCCTTCGTTGGAAACGGGTTTTTTTCATGTAAGGCTAAACAGAAGAATTCCCAGTAACTTCCTTGTGTTGTGTACATTCACCTCACAGAGTTGAACGTTCCCTTAGACAGAGCAGATTTGAAACACTCTTTTTGTGCAATTGGCAAATGGAGATTTCAAGCGCTTTAAGGTCAATGGCAGAAAAGGAAATATCTTCGTTTCAAAACTAGACAGAATCATTCCCACAAACTGCGTTGTGATGTGTTCGTTCAACTCACAGAGTTTAACCTTTCTTTTCATAGAGCAGTTAGGAAACAGTCTGTTTGTCAATTCTGTAAGTGGATATTCTGACATCTTGTGGCCTTCGTTGGAAACGGGATTTCCTCATATTCTGCTAGACAGAAGAATTCCCAGTAACTTCCTTGTGTTGTGTACATTCAACTCACAGAGTTGAACGTTCCCTTAGACAGAGCAGACTTGTAACACTCTTTTTGTGGAATTTGCAAGTGGAGATTTCAGCCGCTTTGAAGTCAAATGTAGAAAAGGAAATATCTTCCTATAAAAACTAGACAGAATGATTCTCAGAAACTCCTTTGTGATGTGTGTGTTCAACTCACAGAGTTTAACGTTTCTTTTCATAGAGCAGTTAGTAAACACTCAGTTTATAAAGTCTGCAAGTGGATATTCAGACCCCTTTGAGGCCTTCGTTGGAAACGGGATTTCTTCATATTATGCTACACAGAAGAATTCCCAGTAACTTCCTTGTGATGTGTGTGTTCAACTCACAGAGTTGAACTTTCATTTACACAGAGCAGATTGGAAACACTCTTTTTGTGGAATTTGCAAGTGGAGATTTCAAGCGCTTTGAGGCCAAAGGCAGAAAAGGATATATCTTCGTATAAAAACTACACAGAATCATTCTCAGAAACTGCTCTGCGATGTGTGCGTACAACTCTCAGAGCTTAACTTTTCTTTTCATTCAGCAGTTTGGAAACACTCTGTTTGTAAAGTCTGCACGTGGATAATTTGACCACTTAGAGACCTTCGTTGGAAACGGGTTTTTTTCATGTAAGGCTAGACAGAAGAATTCCCAGTAACTTCCTTGTGTTGTGTACATTCAACTCACAGAGTTGAAGGTTCCCTTAGACAGAGCAGATTTGAAACACTCTTTTTGTGCAATTGGCAAGTGGAGATTTCAAGCGCTTTAAGGTCAATGGCAGAAAAGGAAATATCTTCGTTTCAAAACTAGACAGAATAATTCTCAGAAACTCCTTTGTGATGTGTGCGTTCAACTCACAGAGTTTAACCTTTCTTTTCATAGAGCAGTTCGGAAACACTCTGTTTGTAAAGTCTGCAAGTGGATATTCAGACCTCCCTGAGGCCTTCTTTGGAAACGGGATTTCTTCATATTATGCTAGACAGAAGAATTCTCAGTAACTTCCTTGTGTTGTGTGTATTCAACTCACAGAGTTGAACAATCCTTTACACAGAGCAGACTTGAAACACTCTTTTTGTGGAATTTGCAAGTGGAGATTTCAGCCGCTTTGAGGTCAATGTTAGAATAGGAAATATCTTCCTATAGAAACTAGACAGAACGATTCTCAGAAACTCCTTTGTGATGTGTGCGTTCAACTCACAGAGTTTAACCTTTCTTTTCATAGAGCAGTTAGGAAACACTCTGTTTGTAACGTCTGCAAGTGGATATTCAGACCTCCTTGAGGCCTTCGTTGGAAACGGGATTTCTTCATATTCTGCTAGACAGAAGAATTCCCAGTAACTTCCTTGTGTTGTGTGTGTTCAACTCACAGAGTTGAACTTTCATTTACACAGAGCAGATTTGAAACACTCTTTTTGTGGAATTTGCAAATGGAGATTTCAAGCGCTTTGAGGCCAAAGGCAGGAAAGGAAATATCTTCGTATAAAAACTAGACAGAATCATTCTCAGAAACTGCTCTGCGATGTGTGCGTTCAACTCTCAGAGTTTAACTTTGCTTTTCATTCAGCAGTTTGGAAACACTCTGTTTGTAAAGTCTGCACCTGGATAATTTGACCACTTAGAGGCCTTCGTTGGAAACGGGTTTTTTTCATGTAAGGCTAGACAGAAGAATTCCCAGTAACTTCCTTGTTTTGCGTGTGTTCAACTCACAGAGTTGAACTTTCATTTACACAGAGCAGATTTGAAACACTCTTTTTGTGGAATTTGCAAGTGGAGATTTCAAGCGCTTTGAGGGCAAAGGCAGAAAAGGAAATATCTTCGTTTCAAAACTAGACAGAATCATTCCCACAAACTGCGTTGTGATGTGTTCGTTCAACTCACAGAGTTTAACCTTTCTTTTCATAGAGCAGTTAGGAAACACTCTGTTGGTAAATTCTGTAAGTGGATATTCTGACATCTTGTGGCCTTCGTTGGAAACGGGATTTCTTCATCTTCTGCTAGACAGAACAATTCTCAGTAACTTCCTTGTGTTGTGTGTATTCAACTCACAGAGTTGAATGATCCTTTACACAGAACAGTCTTGAAACACTCTTTTTGTGGAATTTGCAAGTGGAGATTTCAGCCGCTTTGAGGTCCATGGTAGAATAGGAAATATCTTCCTATAGAAACTAGACAGAATGATTCTCAGAAACTCCTTTGTGATGTGTGCGTTCAACTCAGAGAGTTTAACTTTTCTTTTCATAGAGCAGTTAGGAAACACTCTGTTTGTAAAGTCTGCAAGTGGATATTCCGACCTCTTTGAGGCCTTCGTTGGAAACGGGATTTCTTCATATTATGCTAGACAGAAGAATTCCCAGTAACTTCCTTGTGTTGTGTGTGTTCAACTCACAGAGTTGAACTCTCATTTACACAGAGCAGATTTGAAACACTCTTTTTGTGGAATTTGCAAGTGGAGATTTCAAGCGCTTTGAGGTCAAAGGCAGAAAAGGAAATATCTTCGTATAAAAACTAGACAGAATCATTCTCAGCAACTGCTGCGTGATGTGTGCGTTCAACTCTCAGAGTTTACCTTTTCTTTTCATTCAGCGGTTTGGAAACACTATGTTTGTAAAGTCTGCACGTGGATATTTTGACCACTTAGAGGCCTTCGTTGGAAACGGGATTTTTTCATGTAAGGCTAGACAGAAGAATTCCCAGTAACTTCCTTGCGTTGTGTACATTCAACTCACAGAGTTGAACGTTCCCTTAGACAGAGCAGATTTGAAACACTCTTTTTGTGCAATTGGCAAGTGGAGATTTCAAGCGCTTTAAGGTCAATGGCAGAAAAGGAAATATCTTCGTTTCAAAACTAGACAGAATCATTCCCACAAACTGCGTTGTGATGTGTTCGTTCAACTCACAGAGTTTAACCTTTCTTTTCATAGAGCAGTTAGGAACCAGTCTGTTTGTAAATTCTGTAAGTGGATATTCTGACATCTTGTGACCTTCGTTGGAAACGGGATTTCTTCATATTCTGCTAGACAGAAGAATTCTCAGTAACTTCCTTGTGTTGTGTGTATTGAACTCACAGAGTTGAACGATCCTTTACACAGAGCAGACTTGAAACATTCTTTTTGTGGAATTTGCAAGTGGAGATTTCAGCCGCTTTGAGGTCAATGGTAGAATAGGAAATATCTTTCTATAGAAACTAGACAGAATGATTCTGAGAAACTCCTTTGTGATGTGTGCGTTCAACTCACAGAGTTTAACCTTTCTTTTCATAGAGCAGTTAGGAAACACTCTGTTTGTAAAGTCTGCAAGTGGATATTCAGACCTCTTTGAGGCCTTCGTTGGAAACGGGATTTCTTCATATTCTGCTAGACAGAAGAATTCTCAGTAACTTCCTTGTGTTGTGTGTATTCAACTGACAGAGTTGAACTTTCATTTAGAGAGAGCAGATTTGAAACACTGTTTTTGTGGAATTTGCAAGTGTATATTTCAAGCGCTTTGGGGCCAAAGGCAGAAAAGGAAATATCTTCGTATAAAAACTAGACAGAATCATTCTCAGAAACTGCTCTGCGATGTGTGCGTTCAACTCTCAGAGTTTAACTTTTCTTTTCATTCAGCAGTTTGGAAACACTCTGTTTGTAAAGTCTGCACCTGGATAACTTGACCACTTAGAGGCCTCCGTTGGAAACGGGTTTTTTTCCTGTAAGGCTAGACAGAAGAATTCCCAGTAACTTCCTTGTGTTGTGTACATTCAACTCACAGAGTTGAACGTTCCCTTATACAGAGCAGATTTGAAAAACTCTTTTTATGCAATTGGCAAGTGGTGATTTCAGCCGCTTTGAGGTCAATGGTAGAAAAGGAAATAACTTCGTATAAAAATTAGACAGAATCATTCCCAAAAACTGCGTTGTGATGTGTTCGTTCATCTCACAGAGTTTAACCTTTCTTTTCATAGAGCAGTTAGGAAACAGTCTGTTTGTAAATTCTGTAAGTGGATATTCTGACATCTTGTGGCCTTCGTTGGAAACGGGATTTCTTCATATTCTGCTAGACAGAAGAATTCTCAGGAACTTCCTTGTGTTGTGTGAATTCAACTCACAGAGTTCAACGATCCTTTACACAGAGCAGACTTGAAACACTCTTTTTGTGGAATTTGCAAGTGGAGATTTCAGCCGCTTTTAGGTCAATGGTAGAATAGGAAATATCTTCCTATAGAAACTAGACAGATGATTCTCAGAAACTCCTTTGTGATGTGTGCGTTCAACTCACAGAGTTTAACCTTTCTTTTCTTAGAGCAGTTAGGAAACACTCTGTTTATAATGTCTGCAAGTGGATATTCAGACCCCTTTGAGGCCTTCGTTGGAAACGGGATTTCTTCATATTATGCTAGACAGAAGAATTCTCAGTAACTTCCTTGTGTTGTGTGTATTCAACTGACAGAGTTGAACTTTCATTTAGAGAGAGCAGATTTGAAACACTGTTGTTGTGGAATTTGCAAGTGGAGATTTCAAGCGCTTTGGGACCAAAGGCAGAAAAGGAAATATCTTCGTATAAAAACTAGACAGAATCATTCTCAGAAACTGCTGCGTGATGTTTGCGTTCAACTCTCAGAGTTTAACTTTTCTTTTCATTCAGCGGTTTGGAAACACTCTGTTTGTAAAGTCTGCACGTGGAAATTTTGACCACTTAGAGGCCTTCGTTGGAAAAGGGTTTTTTTCATGTAAGGCTAGACAGAAGAATTCCCAGTAACTTCCTTGTGTTGTGTACATTCAACTCACAGAGTTGAACGTTCCCTTAGACAGAGCAGATTTGAAACACTCTTTTTGTGCAATTGGCAAATGGAGATTTCAAGCGCTTTAAGTTCAATGGCAGAAAAGGAAATATCTTCGTTTCAAAACTAGACAGAATCATTCCCACAAACTGCGTTGTGATGTGTTCGTTCAACTCACAGAGTTTAAACTTTCTGTTCATAGAGCAGTTAGGAAACACTCTGTTTGTAAAGTCTGTAAGTGGATATTCCGACATCTTTTGGCCTTCGTTGGAAACGGGATTTCTTCATATTCTACTAGACAGAAGAATTCTCAGTAACTCCTTTGTGTTGTGTGTATTCAACTCACAGAGTTGAACGATCCTTTACACAGAGCAGACTTGAAACACTCTTTTTGTGGAATTTGCAAGTGGAGATTTCAGCCGCTTTGAGGTCAATGGTAGAATAGGAAATATCTTCCTATAGAAACTAGACAGAATGATTCTCAGAAACTTCTTTGTGATGTGTGCGCTCAACTCACAGAGTTTAACCTTTCTTTTCATAGAGCAGTTAGGAAACACTCTGTTTGTAAACTCTGCAAGTGGATATTCAGACCTCTTTGAGGCCTTCGTTGGAAACGGGATTTCTTCATATTATGCCTGAGAGAAGAATTCTCAGTAACTTCCTTGTGTTGTGTGTATTCAACTCACAGAGTTGAACGATCCTTTACACAGAGCAGACTTGGAACACTCTTTTTGTGGAATTTGCAAGTGGAGATTTCAGCCGCGTTGAGATCAATGGTAGAAAAGGAAATATCTTCGTATAAAAACTAGACAGAATGATTCTCAGAAACTCCTTTGAGATGTGTGTGTTCAACTCACAGAGTTTAACCTTTCTTTTCATAGAGCAGTTAGGAATCACTCTGTTTGTAAAGTCTGCAAGTGGATATTCAGACCTCTTTGAGGCCTTCGTTGGAAACGGGTTTTTTTCATATAAGGCTAGACAGAAGAATTCTCAGTAACTTCCTTGTGTTGTGTGTATTCAACTGACAGAGTTGAACTTTCATTTAGAGAGAGCAGATTTGAAACACTGTTTTTGTGGAATTTGCAAGTGGAGATTTCAAGCGCTTTGTGGCCAAAGGCAGAAAACGAAATATCTTCGTATAAAAACTAGACAGAATCATTCTCAGAAACTGCTGCGTGATGTGTGCGTTCAACTCTCAGAGTTTAACTTTTCTTTTCATTCAGCGGTTTGGAAACACTCTGTTTGTAAAGTCTGCACGTGGACATTTTGACCACTTAGAGGCCTTAGTTGGAAACGGGTTTTTTTCATGTAAGGCTAGACAGAAGAATTCCCAGTAACTTCCTTGTGTTGTGTACATTCAACTCACAGAGTTGAACGTTCCCTTAGACAGAGCAGATTTGAAACACTCTTTTTGTGCAATTGGCAAGTGGAGATTTCAAGCGCTTTGAGGTCAATGGCAGAAAAGGAAATATCTTCGTTTCAAAACTAGACAGATTCATTCCCACAAACTGCGTTGTGATGTGTTCGTTCAACTCACAGAGTTTA
This sequence comes from Homo sapiens, assembly GCF_000001405.40. Lineage (NCBI taxonomy): Eukaryota > Metazoa > Chordata > Mammalia > Primates > Hominidae > Homo > Homo sapiens. The sequence goes on from NC_000019.10 coordinate 26,498,146, forward strand.
ACCTTTCTGTTCATAGAGCAGTTAGGAAACACTCTGTTTGTAAAGTCTGCCAGTGGATATTCAGACCTCCTTGAGGCCTTCGTTGGAAACGGGATTTCTTCATATTCTGCTAGACAGAAGAATTCTCAGTAACTTCCTTGTGTTGTGTGTATTCAACTCACAGAGTTGAACGATCCTTTACAGAGAGCAGACTTGAAACACTCTTTTTGTGGAAATTGCAAGTGGAGATTTCAGCTGCTTTGAGGTCAATGGTAGAATAGGAAATATCTTCCTATAGAAACTAGACAGAATGATTCTCAGAAACTCCTTTGTGATGTGTGCGTTCAACTCACAGAGTTTAACCTTTCTTTTCATAGAGCAGTTAGGAAACACTCTGTTTGTAAAGTCTGCAAGTGGATATTCAGACCTCCTTGAGGGTTCGTTGGAAACGGGATTTCTTCATATTATGCTAGACAGAAGAATTCCCAGTAACTTCCTTGTGTTGTGTGTGTTCAACTCACAGAGTTGAACTTTCATTTACACAGAGCAGATTTGAAACACTCTTTTTGTGGAATATGCAAGTGGAGATTTCAAGCGCTTTGAGGCCAAAGGCAGAAAAGGAAATATCTTCGTTTGAAAACTAGACAGATATCATTCTCAGAAACTGCTGCGTGATGTGTGCGTTCAACTCTCAGAGTTTAACTTTTCTTTTCATTCAGCGGTTTGGAAACACTCTGTTTGTAAAGTCTGCACGTGGATATTTTGACCACTTAGAGGCCTTCGTTGGATACGGGTTTTTTTTCATGTAAGGCTAGACAGAAGAATTCCCAGTAACTTCCTTGTGTTGTGTGCATTCAACTCACAGAGTTGAACGTTCCCTTAGACAGAGCAGATTTGAAACACTCTATTTGTGCAATTTGCAAGTGTAGATTTCAAGCGCTTTAAGGTCAACGGCAGAAAAGGAAATATCTTCGTTTCAAAACTAGACAGAATCATACCCACAAACTGCGTTGTGATGTGTTCGTTCAACTCACAGAGTTTAACCTTTCTGTTCATAGAGCAGTTAGGAAACACTCTGTTTGTAAAGTCTGTAAGTGGATATTCTGACATCTTGTGGCCTTCGTTGGAAACGGGATTTCTTCATATTCTGCTAGACAGAAGAATTCTCAGAATCTTCCTTGTGTTGTGTGTATTCAACTCACAGAGTTGAACGATCCTTTACACAGAGCAGACTTGAAACACTCTTTTTGTGGAATTTGCAAGTGGAGATTTCAGCCGCTTTGAGGTCCATGGTAGAAAAGGAAATATCTTCGGTATAAAAACTAGACAGAATGATTCTCAGAAACTCCTTTGAGATGTGTGTGTTCAACTCACAGAGTTTAACCTTTCTTTTCATAGAGCAGTTAGGAATCACTCTGTTTGTAAAGTCTGCAAGTGGATATTCAGACCTCTTTGAGGCCTTCGTTGGAAACGGGTTTTTTTCATATAAGGCTAGAGAGAAGAATTCCCAGTAACTTCCTTGTGTTGTGTGTGTTCAACCCACAGAGTTGAACTTCCATTTACACAGAGCAGATTTGAAACACTCTTTTTGTGGAATTTGCAAGTGGAGATTTCAAGCGCTTTGAGGCCAAAGGCAGAAAAGGAAATATCTTCGTTTCAAAACTAGACAGAATCATTCTCAGAAACTGCTCTGCGATGTGTGCGTTCAACTCTCAGAGTTTAACTTTTCTTTTCATTCAGCAGTTTGGAAACACTCTGTTTGTAAAGTCTGCACGTGGATAATTTGACCACTTAGAGGCCTTCTTTGGAAACGGGTTTTTTTCATATAAGGCTAGACAGAAGAATTCCCAGTAACTTCCTTGTGTTGTGTACATTCAACTCACAGAGTTGAACGTTCCCTTAGACAGAGCAGATTTGAAACACTCTTTTTGTGCAATTAGCAAGTGGAGATTTCAAGCGCTTTAAGGTCAATGGCAGAAAAGGAAATATCTTACTTTCAAAACTAGACAGAATGATTCTCAGAAACTTCTTTGTGATGTGTGCGTTCAACTCACAGAGTTTAACCTTTCTTTTCATAGAGCAGTTAGGAAACACTCTGTTTATAAACTCTGCAAGTGGATATTCAGACCTCTTTGAGGCCTTCGTTGGAAACGGGATTTCTTCATACTGTGCTAGACAGAAGAATTCTCAGTAACTTCCTTGTGTTGCGTGTATTCAACTCACAGAGTTGAACGATCCTTTACACAGAGCGGGCTTGAAACACTCTTTTTGTGGAATTTGCAAGTGGAGATTTCAGCCGCGTTGAGGTCAATGGTAGAAAAGGAAATATCTTCGTATAAAAACTAGACAGAATGATTCTCATAAACTCCTTTGTGATGTGTGAATTCAACTCACAGAGTTTCACCTTTCTTTTCATAGAGCAGTTAGGAAACACTCTGTTTGTAAAGTCTGCAAGTGGATATTCAGACCTCCTTGAGGCCTTCGTTGGAAACGGGATTTCTTCATATTCTGCTAGACAGAAGCAATTCCCACTAACTTCCTTGTGTTGTGTGTGTTCAACTCACAGGAGTTGAACTTTCATTTACACAGAGCAGATTTGAAACACTCTTTTTGTGGAATTTGAAAGTGGAGATTTCAAGCGCTTTGAGGCCAAAGGCAGAAAAGGAAATATCTTCGTTTCAAAACTAGACAGAATCATTCTCTGAAACTGCTGCGTGATGTGTGCGTTCAACTCTCAAAGTTTAACTTTTCTTTTCATTCAGCTGTTTGGAAACACTCTGTTTGTAAAGTCTGTACGTGGAAATTTTGACCACTTAGAGGCCTTCGTTGGAAACGGGTTTTTTTCATGTAAGGCTAGACAGAAGAATTCCCAGTAACTTCCTTGTGTTGTGTACATTCAACTCACAGAGTTGAACGTTCCCTTAGACAGAGCAGATTTGAAACACTCTTTTTGTGCAATTGGCAAGTGGAGATTTCAAGCGCTTTAAGGTCAATGGCAGAAAAGGAAATATCTTCGTTTCAAAACTACACAGAATGATTCTCAGAAACTCCTTTGTGATGTGTGCATTCAACTCACAGAGTTTAACCTTTCTTTTCATAGAGCAGTTAGGAAACACTCTGTTTGTAAAGTCTGCAAGTGGATATTCAGACATCTTTGAGGCTTTCGTTGGAAACGGGATTTCTTCATATTCTGCTAGAAAGAAGAATTCTCAGTAACTTCCTTGTGTTGTGTGTATTCAACTCACAGACTTGAATGATCCTTTACACAGAACAGTCTTGAAAGACTCTTTTTGTGGAATTTGCAAGTGGAGATTTCAGCCGCTTTGAGGTCAATGGTAGAATAGGAAATATCTTCCAATAGAAACTAGACAGAATGACTCTCAGAAACTCCTTTGTGATGTGTGTGTTCAACTCACAGAGTTTAACCTTTCTTTTCATAGAGCAGTTAGTAAACACTCTGTTTATAAAGTCTGCAAGTGGATATTCAGACCCCTTTGAGGCCTTCGTTGGAAACGGGATTTCTTCATATTCTGCTAGACAGAAGAATTCCCAGTAACTTCCTTGTGTTGTGTGTGTTCAACTCACAGAGTTGAACTTTCATTTACACAGAGCAGATTTGAAACAGTCTTTTTGTGGAATTTGCAAGTGGAGATTTCAAGCGCTTTGAGGCCAAAGGCAGAAAAGGAAATATCTTCGTATAAAAACTAGACAGAATCATTCTCAGAAACTGCTGCGTGATGTGTGCGTTCAACTCTCAGAGTTTAACTTTTCTTTTCATTCAGCGGTTTGGAAACACTCTGTTTGTAAAGTCTGCACGTGGATATTTTGACCACTCAGAGGCCTTCGTTGGAAACGGGTTTTTTTCATGTAAGGCTAGACAGAAGAATTCCCAGTAACTTCCTTGTGTTGTGTACATTCAACTCACAGAGTTGAACGTTCCCTTAGACAGAACAGATTTGAAACACTCTTTTTGTGCAATTGGCAAGTGGTGATTTCAGCCGCTTTGGGGTCAATGGTAGAAAAGGAAATATCTTCGTATAAAAACTAGACAGAATGATTCTCAGAAACTCCTTTGTGATGTGTGCGTTCAACTCACAGAGTTTAACCTTTCTTTTCATAGAGCAGTTAGGAAACACTCTGTTTGTAAAGTCTGCAAGTGGATATTCAGACCTCTTTGAGGCCTTCTTTGGAAACGGCATTTCTTCATATTATGCTAGACAGAAGAATTCTCAGTAACTTCCTTGTGTTGTGTGTATGCAACTCACAGAGTTGAACGATCCTTTACACAGAGCAGACTTGAAACACTCTTTTTGTGGAATTTGCAAGTGGAGATTTCAGCCGCTTTGAGGTCAATGGTAGAATAGGAAATATCTTCCTATAGAAACTAGACAGAATGATTCTCATAAACTCCTTTGTGATGTGTGCGTTCAACTCACAGAGTTTAACCTTTCTTTTCATAGAGCAGTTAGGAAACACTCTGTTTGTAAAGTCTGCAAGTGGATATTCAGACCTCCTTGAGACCTTCGTTGGAAACGGGATTTCTTCATATTATGCTAGACAGAGGAATTCTCAGTAACTTCCTTGTGTTGTGTGTATTCAACTGACAGAGTTGAACTTTCATTTAGAGAGAGCAGATTTGAAACACTGTTTTTGTGGAATTTGCAAGTGGAGATTTCAAGCGCTTTGGGGCCAAAGGCAGAAAAGGAAATATCTTCGTATAAAAACTAGACAGAATGATTCTCAGAAACTGCTCTGCGATGTGTGCGTTCAACTCTCAGAGTTTAACTTTTCTTTTCATTCAGCAGTTTGGAAACACTCTGTTTGTAAAGTCTGCACGTGGATATTTTGACCACTTGGAGGCCTTCGTTGGAAACGGGTTTTTTTCCTGTAAGGCTAGACAGAATAATTCCCAGTAACTTCCTTGTGTTGAGTACATTCAACTCACAGAGTTGAACGTTCCCTTAGACAGAGCAGATTTGAAACACTCTTTTTGTGCAATTGACAAGTGGAGATTTCAAGCGCTTTAAGGTCACTGGCAGAAAAGGAAATATCTTCGTTTCAAAAGTAGACAGAATGATTCCCACAAACTGCGTTGTGATGTGTTCGTTCAACTCACAGAGTTTAACCTTTCTTTTCATAGAGCAGTTAGGAAACACTCTGTTTGTAAATTCTGTAAGTGGATATTCTGAAATCTTGTGGCCTTCGTTGGAAACGGGATTTCTTCATATTCTGCTAGACAGAAGAATTCCCAGTAACTTCCTTGTGTTGTGTACATTCAACTCACAGAGTTGAACGTTCCCTTAGACAGAGCAGACTTGTAACACTCTTTTTGTGCAATTTGCAAGTGGAGATTTCAGCCGCTTTGAAGTCAAAGGTAGAAAAGGAAATATCTTCCTATAAAAACTAGACAGAATGATTCTCATAAACTCATTTGTGATGTGTGCATTCAACTCACAGAGTTTCACCTTTCTTTTCATAGAGCAGTTAGGAAACACTCTGTTTGTAAAGTCTGCAAGTGGATATTCAGACCTCCTTGAGGCCTTCGTTGGAAACGGGATTTCTTCATATTCTGCTAGACAGAAGAATTCTCAGTAACTTCCTTGTGTTGTGTGTATTCAACTGACAGAGTTGAACTTTCATTTAGAGAGAGCAGATTTGAAACACTGTTTTTTTGGAATTTGCAAGTGGAGATTTCAAGCGCTTTTGGGCCAAAGGCAGAAAAGGAAATATCTTCGTATAAAAACTAGACAGAATGATTCTCAGAAACTCCTTTGTGATGTGTGCATTCAACTCACAGAGTTTAACCATTCCTTTCATAGAGCAGTTAGGAAACACTCTGTTTGTAAAGTCTGCAAGTGGATATTCAGACCTCTTTGAGGCCTTCGTTGGAAACGGGATTTCTTCATATTCTGCTAGACAGAAGAATTCTCAGTAACTTCCTTGTGTTGTGTGTATTCAACTCACAGAGTTGAACGATCCTTTACACAGAGCAGACTTGAAACACTCTTTTTGTGGAATTTGAAAGTGGAGATTTCAGCCGCTTTGAGGTCAATGGTAGAAAAGGAAATATCTTCGTATAAAAACTAGACAGAATGATTCTCAGAAACTCCTTTGTGATGTGTGCGTTCAACTCACAGAGTTTAACCTTTCTTTTCATAGAGCAGTTAGGAAACACTCTGTTTGTAAAGTCTGCAAGTGGATATTCAGACCTCCTTGAGGCTTTCGTTGGAAACGGGATTTCTTCATATTCTGCTATACAGAAGAATTCTCAGAAACTTCCTTGTGTTGTGTGTTTTCAACTCACAGAGTTGAACGATGCTTTACACAGAGTAGACTTGAAACACTCTTGTTGTGGAATTTGCAAGTGGAGATTTCAGCCGCTTTGAGGTCAATGGTAGAATAGGAAATATCTTCCTATAGAAACTAGACAGAATGATTCTCAGAAACTCCTTTGTGATGTGTGTGTTCAACTCACAGAGTTTAACCTTTCTTTTCATAGAGCAGTTAGTAAACACTCTGTTTATAAAGTCTGAAAGTGGATATTCAGACCCCTTTGAGGCCTTCGTTGGAAAAGGGATTTCTTCATATTATGCTAGACAGAAGAATTCCCAGTAACTTCCTTGTGTTGTGTGTGTTCAACTCACAGAGTTGAACTTTCATTTACACAGAGCAGATTTGAAACACTCTTTTTGTGGAATTTGCAAGAGGAGATTTCAAGCGCTTTGAGGCCAAAGGCAGAAAAGGAAATATCTTCGTATAAAAACTAGACAGAATCATTCTCAGAAACTGCTCTGCGATGTGTGCGTTCAACTCTCAGAGTTTAACTTTTCTTTTCATTCAGAAGTTTGGAAACACTCTGTTTGTAAAGTCTGCACGTGGATAACTTGACCACTTAGAGGCCTTCGTTGGAAACGGTTTTTTTTCATGTAAGGCTAGACAGAAGAATTCCCAGTAACTTCCTTGTGTTGTGTACATTCAACACACAGAGTTGAACGTTTCCTTAGAGAGAGCAGATTTGAAACACTCTTTTTGTGCAATTGGCAAGTGGTGATTTCAGCCGCTTTGAGGTCAATGGTAGAAAAGGAAATATCTTCGTATAAAAACTAGACAGAATCATTCCCACAAACTGCGTTGTGATGTGTTCGTTCATCTCACAGAGTTTAACCTTTCTTTTCGTAGAGCAGTTAGGAAACAGTCTGTTTGTAAATTCTGTAAGTGGATATTCTGACATCTTGTGGCCTTCGTTGGAAACGGGATTTCTTCATATTCTGCTAGACAGAGGAATTCTCAGAATCTTCCTTGTGTTGTGTGTATTCAACTCACAGAGTTGAACGATCCTTTACACAGAGCAGACTTGAAACACTCTTTTTGTGGAATTTGCAAGTGGAGATTTCAGCCGCTTTGAGGTCCATGGTAGAAAAGGAAATATCTTCGTATAAAAACTAGACAGAATGATTCTCAGAAACTCCTTTGTGATGTGTGCGTTCAACTCACAGAGTTTAACCTTTCTTTTCATAGAGCAGTTAGGAAACACTCTGTTTGTAAAGTCTGCAAGTGGATATTCAGACCTCTTTGAGGCCTTCGTTGGAAACGGGTTTTTTTCCTGTAAGGCTAGACAGAAGAATTCCCAGTAACTTCCTTGTGTTGTGTACATTCAACTCACAGATTTGAACGTTCCCTTAGACAGAGCAGATTTGAAACACTCTTTTTGTGCAATTGGCAAGTGGAGATTTCAAGCGCTTTAAGGTCAATGGCAGAAAAGGAAATATCTTCGTTTCAAAACTAGACAGAATCATTCCCACAAACTGCGTTGTGCTGTGTTCGTTCAACTCACAGAGTTTAACCTTTGTTTTCATAGAGCAGTTAGGAAACAGTCTGTTTGTAAATTCTGTAAGTGGATATTCTGACATCTTGTGGCCTTCGTTGGAAACGGGTTTTCTTCATATTCTGCTAGACAGAAGAATTCCCAGTAACTTCCTTGTGTTGTGTACATTCAACTCACAGAGTTGAACGTTCCCTTAGACAGAGCAGATTTGAAACACTCTTTTTGTGCAATTGGCAAATGGAGATTTCAAGCGCTTTAAGTTCAATGGCAGAAAAGGAAATATCTTCGTTTCAAAACTAGACAGAATCATTCCCACAAACTGCGTTGTGATGTGTTCGTTCAACTCACAGAGTTTAACCTTTCCGTTCATAGAGCAGTTAGGAAACACACTGTTTGTAAAGTCTGTAAGTGGATATTCTGACATCTTGTGGCCTTCGTTGGAAACGGGATTTCTTCATATTCTGCTAGACGGAAGGAATTCTCAGTAACTTCCTTGTGTTGTGTGTATTCAACTTACAGAGTTGAACGATTTCTTACACAGAGCAGAGTTGAAACACTCTTTTTCTGGAATTTGCAAGTGGAGATTACAGCCGCTTTGAGGTCAATGGTAGAATAGGAAATATGTTCCTATAGAAACTAGACAGAACGATTCTCAGAAACTCCTTTGTGATGTGTGCGTTCAACTCACAGAGTTTAACCTTTCTTTTCATAGAGCAGTTAGGAAACACTCTGTTTGTAAAGTCTGCAAGTGGATATTCTGACCTCTTTGAGGCCTTCGTTGGAAACGGGATTTCTTCATATTCTGCTAGACAGAAGAATTCCCAGTAACTTCCTTGTGTTGTGTGTGTTCAACTCACAGAGTTGAACTTTCATTTACACAGAGCAGATTTGAAACACTCTTTTTGTGGAATTTGCAAGTGGAGATTTCAAGCGCTTTGAGACCAAAGGCAGAAAAGGAAATATCTTCGTTTCAAAACTAGACAGAATCATTCTCAGAAACTGCTCTGTGATGTGTGCGTTCAACTCTCAGAGTTTAACTTTTCTTTTCATTCAGCAGTTTGGAAACACTCAGTTTGTAAAGTCTGCACGTGGATATTTTGACCACTTAGAGGTCTTCGTTGGAAACGGGTTTTTTTCATGTAAGGCTAGACAGAAGAATTCACAGTAACTTCCTTGTGTTGTGTACATTCAACTCACAGAGTTGAACGTTCCCTTAGACAGAGCAGATTTGAAACACTCTTTTTGTGCAATTGGCAAGTGGAGATTTCAAGCGCTTTAAGGTCAATGGCAGAAAAGGAAATATCTTCCTTTCAAAACTAGACAGAATGATTCTCAGAAACTCCTTTGTGATGTGTGCGTTCAACTCACAGAGTTTAACCTTTCTTTTCATAGAGCAGTTAGGAAACACTCTGTTTGTAAAGTCTGCAAGTGGATATGCAGACATCCTTGAGGCTTTCGTTGGAAACGGGATTTCTTCATATTCTGCTAGAAAGAAGAATTCTCAGTAACTTCCTCGTGTTGTGTGTATTCAACTCACAGAGTTGAACGATCCTTTACACAGAGCAGACTTGAAACACTCTTTTTGTGGAATTTGCAAGTGGAGATTTCAGCCGCTTTGAGGTCAATGGTAGAATAGGAAATATCTTCCTATAGAAACTAGACAGAATGATTCTCAGAAACTCCTTTGTGATGTGTGCGTTCAACTCACAGAGTTTAACCTTTCTGTTCATAGAGCAGTTAGGAAACACTCTGTTTGTAAAGTCTGCAAGTGGATATTCAGACCCCTTTGAGGCCTTCGTTGGAAACGGGATTTCTTCATATTCTGCTAGACAGAAGAATTCGCAGTAACTTCCTTGTGTTGTGTGTATTCAACTCACAGAGTTTAACGATCCTTTACACAGAGCGGACTTGAAACACTCTTTTTGTGGAATTTGCAAGTGGAGATTTCAGCCGCTTTGAGGTCAATGGTAGAAAAGGAAATATCTTCGTATAAAGACTAGACAGAATGATTCTCATAAACTCCTTTGTGATGTGTGCGTTCAACTCACAGAGTTTAACTTTTCATTTCATAGAGCAGTTAGGAAACACTCTGTTTGTAATGTCTGCAAGTGGATATTCAGACCTCTTTGAGGCCTTCATTGGAAACGGGATTTCTTCATATTATGCTAGACAGAAGAATTCTCAGTAACTTCCTTGTGTTGTGTGTATTCAACTCACAGAGTTGAACGATCCTTTACACAGAGCAGACTTGGAACACTCTTTTTGTGGAATTTGCAAGTGGAGATTTCTGCCGCGTTGAGGTCAATGGTAGAAAAGGAAATATCTTCGTATAAAAACTAGACAGAATGATTCTCAGAAACTCCTTTGAGATGTGTGTGTTCAACTCACAGTTTAACCTTTCTTTTCATAGAGCAGTTAGGAATCACTCTGTTTGTAAAGTCTGCAAGTGGATATACAGACCTCTTTGAGGCCTTCGTTGGAAACGGGTTTTTTTCATATAAGGCTAGACAGAAGAATTCCCAGTAACTTCCTTGTGTTGTGTGTGTTCAACTCACAGAGTTGAACTTTCATTTACACAGAGCAGATTTGAAACACTCTTTTTGTGGAATTTGCAAGTGGAGATTTCAGCCGCTTTGAAGTCAAATGTAGAAAAGGAAATATCTTCCTATAAAAACTAGACAGAATGATTCTCAGAAACTCCTTTGTGATGTGTGCGTTCAACTCACAGAGTTTAACCTTTCTTTTCATAGAGCAGTTAGGGAACACTCTGTTTGTAAAGTCTGCAAGTGGATATTCAGACCTCTTTGAGGCCTTCGTTGGAAACGGGATTTCTTCATATTATGCTAGACAGAAGAATTCCCAGTAACTTGCCTTGTGTTGTGTGTGTTCAACTCACAGAGTTGAACTTTCATTTACACAGAGCAGATTTGAAACACTAATTTTGTGGAATTTGCAAGTGGAGATTTCAAGCGCTTTGAGGCCAAAGGCAGAAAAGGAAATATCTTCGTATAAAAACTAGACAGAATCATTCTCAGAAACTGCTGCGTGATGTGTGCGTTCAACTCTCAGAGTTTAACTTTTCTTTTCATTCAGCGGTTTGGAAACACTCTGTTTGTAAAGTCTGCACGTGGATATTTTGACCACTTAGAGGCCTTCGTTGGAAACGGGTTTTTTTCATGTTAGGCTAGACAGAAGAATTCCCAGGAACTTCCTTGTGTTGTGTACATTCAACTCACAGAGTTGAACGTTCCCTTAGACAGAGCAGATTTGAAACACTCTTTTTGTGCAATTGGCAAGTGGTGATTTCAGCAGCTTTGAGGTCAATGGTAGAAAAGGAAATATCTTCGTATAAAAACTAGACAGAATCATTCCCACAAACTGCGTTGTGATGTGTTCGTTCAACTCACAGAGTTTAACCTTTCTTTTCATAGAGCAGTTAGGAAACAGTCTGTTTGTCAATTCTGTAAGTGGATATTCTGACATCTTGTGGCCTTAGTTGGAAACGGGATTTCTTCATATTCTGCTAGACAGAAGAATTCTCAGTAACTTCCTTGTGTTGTGTGTATTCAACTCACAGAGTTGAACGATCCTTTACACAGAGCAGACTTGAAACACTCTTTTTGTGGAATTTGCAAGTGGAGATTTCAGCCGCTTTGGGTTCAATGGTAGAATAGGAAATATCTTCCTATAGAAACTGGACAGAATGATTCTCAGAAACTCCTTTGTGAAGTGTGCGTTCAACTCACAGAGTTTAACCTTTCTTTCCATAGAGCAGTTAGGAAACACTCTGTTTGTAAAGTCTGCAAGTGGATATTCAGACCTCTTTGAGGCCTTCGTTGGAAACGGGATTTCTTCATATTCTGCTAGACAGAAGAATTCTCAGTAACTTCCTTGTGTTGTGTGTATTCAACTGACAGAGTTGAACTTTCATTTAGAGAGAGCAGATTTGAAACACTGTTTTTGTGGAATTTGTAAGTGGAGATTTCAAGCGCTTTGGGGCCAAAGGCAGAAAAGGAAATATCTTCGTATAAAAACTAGACAGAATCGTTCTCAGAAACTGCTCTGCGATGTGTGCGTTCAACTCTCAGAGTTTAACTTTTCTTTTCATTCAGCAGTTTGGAAACACTCTGTTTCTAAAGTCTGCACGTGGATAATTTGACCACTTAGAGGCCTTCGTTGGAAACGGGTTTTTTTCATGTAAGGCTAGACAGAAGAATTCTCAGTAACTTCCTTGTGTTGTGTGTATTCAACTCACAGAGTTGAACGATCCTTTACAAAGAGCAGATTTGTAACACTCTTTTTGTGGAATTTGCAAGTGGAGATTTCAAGCGCTTTAAGGTCAATGGCAGAAAAGGAAATATCTTCGTTTCAAAACTAGATAGAATCATTCCCACAAACTGCGTTGTGATGTGTTCGTTCAACTAACAGAGTTTAACCTTTCTTTTCATAGAGCAGTTAGGAAACAGTCTGTTTGTAAATTCTGTAAGTGGATAATCTGACATATTGTGGCCTTTGTTGGAAACAGGATTTCTTCTTATTCTGCTAGACAGAAGAATTCTCAGTAACTTCCTTGTGTTGTGTGTATTCAACTCACAGAGTTGAACGATCCTTTACACAGAGCAGACTTGAAACACTCTTTTTGTGGAATTTGCAAATGGAGATTTCAGCCGCTTTGAGGTCAATGGTAGAATAGGAAATATCTTCCTATAGAAACTAGACAGAATGATTCTCATAAACTCCTTTGTGATGTGTGCGTTCAACTCACAGAGTTTAACCTTTCTTTTCATAGAGCAGTTAGGAAACACTCTGTTTGTAAAGTCTGCAAGTGGATATTCAGACCCTCTTGAGGCCTTCGTTGGAAACGGGATTTCTTCATATTCTGCTAGACAGAAGAATTCTCAGTAACTTCCCTTGTGTTGTGTGTGTTCAACTCACAGAGTTGAACTTTCATTTACACAGAGCAGATTGGAAACACTCTTTTTGTGGAATTTGCAAGTGGAGATTTCAAGCGCTTTGAGGCCAAAGGCAGAAAAGGAAATATCTTCGTATAAAAACTAGACAGAATCATTCTCAGAAACTGCTCTGCGATGTGTGCGTTCAACTCTCAGAGTTTTACTTTGCTTTTCATTCAGCAGTTTGGAAACACTCTGTTTGTAAAGTCTGCACGTGGATAATTTGACCACTTAGAGGCCTTCGTTGGAAACGGGTTTTTTTCATGTAAGGCTAGACAGAAGAATTCCCAGTAACTTCCTTGTGTTGTGTACATTCAACTCACAGAGTTGAACGTTCCCTTAGACAGAGCAGATTTGAAACACTATTTTTGTGCAATTGGCAAATGGAGATTTCAAGGGCTTTAAGGTCAATGGCAGAAAAGGAAATATCTTCGTTTCAAAACTAGACAGAATGATTCTCATAAACTCCTTTGTGATGTGTGCGTTCAACTCACAGAGTTTAACCTTTCTGTTCATAGAGCAGTTAGGAAACACTCTGTTTGTAAAGTCTGCAAGTGGATATTCAGACCTCCTTGAGGCCTTCGTTGGAAAAGGGATTTCTTCATATTCTGCTAGACAGAAGAATTCTCAGTAACTTCCTTGTGTTGTGTGTATTCAACTCACAGAGTTGAACGATCCTTTACACAGAGCAGACTTCAAACACTCTTTTTGTGGAATTTGCAAGTGGAGATTTCAGCCGCTTTGAGGTCAATAGTAGAAAAGGAAATATCTTCGTAGAAAAACTAGGCAGAATGATTCCCAGAAACTCCTTTGTGATGTGTGCATTCAACTCACAGAGTTTAACTTTTCTTTTCATAGAGCAGTTAGGAAACACTCTGTTTGTAAAGTCTGCAAGTGGATATTCAGACCTCTTTGAGGCCTTCGTTGGAAACGGGATTTCTTCATATTATGCTAGACAGAAGAATTCCCAGTAACTTCCTTGTGTTGTGTGTGTTCAACTCACAGAGTTGAACTTTCATTTAGACAGAGCAGATTTGAAGCACTCTTTTTGTGGAATTTGCAAGTGGAGATTTCAAGCGCTTTGAGGCCAAAGGCAGAAAAGGTAATATCTTCGTTTCAAAACTAGCCAGAATCATTCTCAGAAACTGCTCTGCGATGTGTGCGTTCAACTCTCAGAGTTTAACTTTTCTTTTCATTCAGCAGTTTGGAAACACTCTGTTTGTAAAGTCTGCACGTGGATAATTTGACCACTTAGAGGCCTTCGTTGGAAACGGGTTTTTTTCATGCAAGGCTAGACAGAAGAATTCCCAGTAACTTCCTTGTGTTGTGTACATTCAACTCACAGAGTTGAACGTTCCCTTAGACAGAGCAGATTTGAAACACTCTTTTTGTGCAATTGGCAAGTGGAGATTTCAAGAGTTTTAAGGTCAATGGCAGAAAAGGAAATATCTTCGTTTCAAAACTAGACAGAATCATTCCCACAAACTGCGTTGTGATGTGTTCGTTCAAATCACAGAGTTTAACCTTTCTTTTCATAGAGCAGTTAGGAAACAGTCTGTTTGTAAATTCTGTAAGTGGATATTCTGACATCTTGTGGCCTTCGTTGGAAGCGGGATTTCTTCATATTCTGCTAGACAGAAGAATTCTCAGTAACTTCCTTGTGTTGTGTGTATTCAACTCACAGAGGTGAACGATCCTTTACAGAGAGCAGACTTGAAACACTCTTTTTGTGGAATTTGCAAGTGGAGATTTCAGCCGCTTTGAGGTCAATGGTAGAATAGGAAATATCTTCCTATAGAAACTAGACAGAATGATTCTCAGAAACTCCTTTGTGATGTGTGCGTTCAACTCACAGAGTTTAACCTTCCTTTTCATAGAGCAGTTAGGAAACACTCTGTTTGTAAAGTCTGCAAGTGGATATTCAGACCTCTTTGAGGCCTTCGTTGGAAACGGGTTTTTTTCATATAAGGCTAGACAGAAGAATTCCCAGTAACTTCCTTGTGTTGTGTGTGTTCAACTCACAAAGTTGAACTTTCATTTACACAGAGCAGATTTGAAACACTCTTTTTGTGGAATTTGCAAGTGGAGATTTCAAGCGCTTTGAGGCCAAAGGCAGAAAAGGAAATATCTCCGTTTCAAAACTAGACAGAATCATTCTCAGAAACTGCTCTGTGATGTGTGCGTTCATCTCACAGGGTTTAACTTTTCTTTTCTTTCAGCAGTTTGGCAACACTCTGTTTGTAAAATCTGCACGTGGATATTTTGACCACTTAGAGGCCTTCGTTGGAAACGAGTTTTTTTCATGTAAGGCAATACAGAAGAATTCCCAGTAACTTCCCTTGTGTTGTGTGCATTCAACTCACACAGATGAACGTTCCCTTAGACAGAGCAGATTTGAAACACTCTATTTGTGCAATTTGCAAGTGTAGATTTCAAGCGCTTTAAGGTCAATGGCAGAAAAGGAAATATCTTCGTTTCAAAACTAGACAGAATCATTCCCACAAACTGCGTTGTGATGTGTTCGTTCAACTCACAGAGTTTAACCTTTCTGTTCATAGACCAGTTAGGAACCACTCTGCTTGTAAAGTCTGTAAGTGGATATTCTGACGTCTTGTGGCCTTAATTGGAAATGGGATTTCTTCGTATTCTGCTAGACAGAGAATTCTCAGTAACTGCCTTGTGTTGTGTGTATTCAACTCACAGAGTTGAACGATCCTTTACACAGAGCAGACTTGAAACACTCTTTTTGTGGAATTTGCAAGTGGAGATTTCAGCCGCTTTGAGGTCAATGGTAGAATAGGAAATATCTTCCTATAGAAACTAGACAGAATGATTCTCAGTAAGTTCTTTGTGATGTGTGCGTTCAACTCACAGGGTTCAACCTTTCTTTTCATAGAGCAGTTAAGAAACACTCTGTTTGTAAAGTCTTCAAGTGGATATTCATACCTCTTTGAGGCCCTCGTTGGAAACGGGATTTCTTCATATTATGCTAGACAGAAGAATTCTCAGTAACTTCCTTGTGTTGTGTGTATTCAACTGACAGAGTTGAACTTTCATTTAGAGAGAGCAGATTTGAAACTCTGTTTTTGTGGAATTTGCAAGTGGAGATTTCAAGCGCTTTGGGGCCAAAGGCAGAAAAGGAAATATCTTCGTATAAAAACTAGACAGAATCATTCTCAGAAACTGCTCTGCGATGTGTGCGTTCAACTCTCAGAGTTTAACTTTTCTTTTCATTCAGCAGTTTGGAAACACTCTGTTTGTAAAGTCTGCACGTGGATATTTTGACCATTTAGAGGCCTTCGTTGGAAACGGGTTTTTTTCTTGTAAGGCTAGACAGAAGAATTCCCAGTAACTTTCCTTGTGTTGTGTACATTCAACTCACAGAGTTGAACGTTCCCTTAGACAGAGCAGATTTGAAACACTCTTTTTGTGCAATTGGCAAATGGAGATTTCAAGCGCTTTAAGTTCAATGGCAGAAAAGGAAATATCTTCGTTTCAAAACTAGACAGAATGATTCTCAGAAACTCCTTTGAGATGTGTGCGTTCAACTCACAGAGTTTAACCTTTCTTTTCATAGAGCAGTTAGGAAACACTCTGTTTGTAAACTCTGCAAGTGGATATTCAGACCTCTTTGAGGCTTTCGTTGGAAACGGGATTTCTTCATACTATGCTAGACAGAAGAATTCTCAGTAACTTCCGCGTGTACAGAGCAGACTTGAAACACTCTTTTTGTGGAATTTGCAAGTGGAGATTTCAGCCGCTTTGAGGTCAATGGTAGAAAAGGAAATATCTTCCTATAAAAACTAGACAGAATGATTCTCAGAAACTCCTTTGTGATGTGTGCGTTCAACTCACAGAGTTCAACCTTTCTTTTCATAGAGCAGTTGGGAAACACTCTGTTTGTAAAGTCTGCAAGTGGATATTCAGACTTCTTTGAGGCCTCCGTTGGAAGAGGGATTTCTTCATATTCTGCTAGACAGAAGAATTCCCAGTAACTTCCTTGTGTTGTGTGTGTTCAACTCACAGAGTTGAACTTTCATTTACCCAGAGCAGATTTGAAACCCTCTTTTTGTGGAATTTGCAAGTGGAGATTTCAAGCACTTTGAGGCCAAAGGCAGAAAAGGAAATATCTTCGTTTCAAAACTAGACAGAATCATTCTCAGAAACTGCTCTGCGATGTGTGCGTTCAACTCTCAGAGTTTAACTTTTCTTTTCATTCAGCAGTTTGGAAACACTCTGTTTGTAAAGTCTGCACGTGGATATTTTGACCACTTATAGGCCTTCGTTGGAAACGGGTTTTTTTCCTGTAAGGCTAGACAGAAGAATTCTCAGTAACTTCCTTGTGTTGTGTACATTCAACTCACAGAGTTGAACGTTCCCTTAGACAGAGCATATTTGAAACACTCTTTTTGTGCAATTGGCAAGTGGAGATTTCAAGCGCTTTAAGGTCAATGGCAGAAAAGGAAATATCTTCGTTTCAAAACTAGACAGAATCATTCCCACAAACTGCGTTGTGATGTGTTCGTTCAACTCACAGAGTTTAACTTTTCTGTTCATAGAGCAGTTAGGAAACACTCTGTTTGTAAAGTCTGTAAGTGGATATTCTGACATCTTGTGGCCTTCGTTGGAAACGGGATTTCTTCCTATTCTGCTAGACAGAAGAACTCTCAGTAACTTCCTTGTGTTGTGTGTATTCAACTCACAGAGTTGAACGATCCTTTACACAGAGCAGACTTGAAACATTCTTTTCGTGGAATTTGCAACTGGTGATTTCAGCCGCTTTGAGGTCAATGGTAGAATAGGAAATATCTTCCTATAGAAACTAGACAGAATGATTCTCAGAAACTCCTTTGTGATGTGTGCGTTCAACTCACAGAGTTTAACCTTTTTTTTCATAGAGCAGTTAGGAAACACTCTGTTTGTAAAGTCTGCAAGTGGATATTCAGACGTCTTTGAGGCCTTCGTTGGAAACGGGATTTCTTCATACTATGCTAGACAGAAGAATTCCCAGTAACTTCCTTGTGTTGTGTGTGTTCGACTCACAGAGTTGAACTTTCATTTACACAGAGCAGATTTGAAACACTCTTTTTGTGGAATTTGCAAGTGGAGATTTCAAGCGCTTTGAGGCCAAAGGCAGAAAAAGAAATATCTTCGTTTCAAAACTAGACAGAATCATTCTCAGAAACTGTTCTGCGATGTGTGCGTTCAACTCTCAGAGTTTAACTTTTCTTTTCATTCAGCAGTTTGGAAACACTCTGTAAACTCTGCATGTGGATATTTTGACCACTTAGAGGCCTTCGTTGGAAACGGGTTTTTTTCCTGTAAGGCTAGACAGAAGAATTCCCAGTAACTTCCTTGTGTTGTGTACATTCAACTCACAGAGTTGAACGTTCCCTTAGACAGAGCAGATTTGAAACACTCTTTTTGTGCAATTGGCAAGTGGTGATTTCAGCCGCTTTGAGGTCAATGGTAGAAAAGGACATATCTTCGTATAAAAACTAGACAGAATCATTCCCACAAACTGCGTTGTGATGTGTTCGTTCAACTCACAGAGTTTAACCTTTCTTTTCATAGAGCAGTTAGGAAACAAGTCTGTTTGTCAATTCTGTAAGTGGATATTCTGACATCTTGTGGCCTTCGTTGGAAACGGGATTTCTTCATATTCTGCTAGACAGAAGAATTCTCAGAATCTTCCTTGTGTTGTGTGTATTCAACTCACACAGTTGAACGATGGTTTACACAGAGCAGATTTGAAACACTCTTTTTGTGGAGTTTGGAAGTGGAGATTTCAGCCGCTTTGAGGTCAATGGTAGAAAAGGAAATATCTTCGTATAAAAACTAGACAGAATGATTCTCACAAACTCCTTTGTGATGTGTGCGTTCAACTCACAGAGTTTAAGCTTTCTTTTCATAGAGCAGTTGGGAAACACTCTGTAAAGTCTGCAAGTGGATATTCAGACCTCTTTGAGGCTTTCGTTGGAAACGGGATTTCTTCATATTCTGCTAGACAGAAGAATTCTCAGTAACTTCCTTGTGTTGTGTGTATTCAACTCACAGAGTTGACCGATCCTTTACACAGAGTAGACTTGTAACACTCTTTTTGTGGAATTTGCAAGTGGAGATTTCAGCCGCTTTGAAGTCAAAGGTAGAAAAGGGAATATCTTCCTATAAAAACTAGACAGAATCATTCTCATAAACTGCTGCGTGATGTGTGCGTTCAACTCTCAGAGTTTAACTTTTCTTTTCATTCAGCGGTTTGGAAACACTCTGTTTGTAAAGTCTGCACGTGGATATTTTGACCACTTAGACGCCTTCGTTGGAAACGGGTTTTTTTCATGTAAGGCTAGACAGAAGAATTCCCAGTAACTTCCTTGTGTTGTGTACATTCAACTCACAGAGTTGAACGTTCCCTTAGACAGAGCAGATTTGAAACACTCTTTTTGTGCAATTGGCAAGTGGAGATTTCAAGCGCTTTGAGGTCAATGGCAGAAAAGGAAATATCTTCGTTTCAAAACTAGACAGAATCATTGCCACAAACTGCGTTGTGATGTGTTCGTTCAACTCACAGAGTTTAACCTTTCTTTTCATAGAGCAGTTAGGAAACAGTCTGTTTGTAAATTCTGTAAGTGGATATTCTGACAGCTTGTGGCCTTCGTTGGAAACGGGATTTCTTCATACTATGCTAGACAGAAGAATTCTCAGAATCTTCCTTGTGTTGTGTGTATTCAACTCACCGAGTTGAACGATCCTTTACACAGAGCAGACTTGAAACACTCTTTTTGTGGAATTTGCAAGTGGAGATTTCAGCCGCTTTGAGGTCCATGTTAGAAAAGGAAATATCTTCGTACAAAAACTAGACAGAATGATTCTCAGAAACTTCTTTGTGATGTGTGCCTTCAACTCACAGAGTTTAACCTTTCTTTTCATAGAGCAGTTAGGAAACACTCTGCTTGTAAACTCTGCAAGTGGATATTCAGACCTCTTTGAGGCCTTCGTTGGAAACGGGATTTCTCCATACTATGCTAGACAGAAGAATTCCCAGTAACTTCCTTGTGTTGTGTGTGTTCAACTCACAGAGTTGAACTTTCATTTACACAGAGCAGATTTGAAACACTCTTTTTGTGGAATTTGCAAATGGAGATTTCAAGCGCTTTGAGGCCGAAGGCAGAAAAGGAAATATCTTCGTATAAAAACTAGACAGAATCATTCTCAGAAACTGCTCTGCGATGTGTGCGTTCAACTCTCTGAGTTTAACTT
Organism: Homo sapiens; assembly: GCF_000001405.40. Lineage (NCBI taxonomy): Eukaryota > Metazoa > Chordata > Mammalia > Primates > Hominidae > Homo > Homo sapiens. The sequence continues at coordinate 26,518,159 of NC_000019.10, forward strand.
TTCTTTTCATTCAGCAGTTTGGAAACACTCTGTTTGTAAAGTCTGCACGTGGATAACTTGACCACTTAGAGGCCTTCATTGGAAACGGGTTTTTTTCATGTAAGGCTAGACAGAAGAATTCCCAGTAACTTCCTTGTGTTGTGTGCATTCAACTCACAGAGTTGAACGTTCCTTAGACAGAGCAGATTTGAAACACTCTATTTGTGCAATTTGCAAGTGTAGGTTTCAAGCGCTTTAAGGTCAATGGCAGAAAAGGAAATATCTTCGTTTCAAAACTAGACAGAATCATTCCCACAAACTGCGTTGTGATGTGTTCGTTCAACTCACAGACTTTAACCTTTCTTTTCATAGAGCAGTTAGGAAACACTCTGTTTGTAAAGTCTGTAAGTGGATATTCTGACATCTTGTGGCCTTCGTTGGAAACGGGATTTCTTCATATTCTGCTAGACAGAAGAATTCTCAGTAACTTCCTTGTGTTGTGTGTATTCAACTCACAGAGTTGAACGATCCTTTACACAGAGCAGACTTGAAACACTCTTTTTGTGGAATTTGCAAGTGGAGATTTCAGCCGCTTTGAGGTCAATGATAGAAAAGGAAATATCTTCGTATAAAGACTAGACAGAATGATTCTCAGAAACTCCTTTGTGATGTGTGCGTTGAATTCACAAAATTTAACATTTCTTTTCATAGAGCAGTTAGGAAACACCCTGTTTGTAAAGTCTGCAAGTGGATATTCAGACCTCTTTGAGGCCTTCGTTGGAAACGGGATTTCTTCATATTCTGCTAGACAGAAGAATTCCCAGTAACTTCCTTGTGTTGTGTGTGTTCAACTCACAGAGTTGAACTTTCATTTACACAGAGCAGATTTGAAACACTCTTTTTGTGGAATTTGCAAGTGGAGATTTCAAGCGCTTTGGGGCCAAAGGCAGAAAAGGAAATATCTTCGTATAAAAACTAGACAGAATCATTCTCAGAAACTGCTCTGCGATGTGTGCGTTCAACTCTCAGAGTTTAACTTTTCTTTTCATTCAGCAGTTTGGAAACACTCTGTTTGTTAAGTCTGCACGTGGATATTTTGACCACTTAGAGGCCTTCGTTGGAAACGGGTTTTTTTCCTGTAAGGCTTGACAGAAGAATTCCCAGTAACTTCCTTGTGTTGTGTACATTCAACTCACAGAGTTGAACGTTCCCTTAGACAGAGCAGATTTGAAACACTCTTTTTGTGCAATTGGCAAGTGGTGATTTCAGCCGCTTTGAGGTCAATGGTAGAAAAGGAAATATCTTCGTATAAAAACTAGACAGAATGATTCTCAGAAACTTCATTGTGATGTGTGCGTTCAACTCACAGAGTTTAACCTTTCTTTTCATAGAGCAGTTAGGAAACACTCTGTTTGTGAACTCTGCAAGTGGATATTCAGACGTCTTTGAGGCCTTCGTTGGAAATGGGATTTCTTCATACTGTGCTAGACAGAAGAATTCTCAGTAACTTCCTTGTGTTGTGTGTATTGAACTCGCAGAGTTGAACGATCCTTTACACAGAGCAGACTTGAAACACTCTTTTTGTGGAATTTGCAAGTGGAGATTTCAGCCGCTTTGAGGTCAATAGTAGAAAATGAAATATCTTCGTAGAAAAACTAGACAGAATGATTCTCATAAACTCCTTTGTGATGTGTGCGTTCAACTCACAGAGTTTAACTTTTCTTTTCATAGCAGCAGTTAGGAAACACTCTGTTTGTAAAGTCTGCAAGTGGATATTCAGACCTCTTTGAGGCCTTCGTTGGAAACGGGATTTCTTCATATTCTGCTAGACAGAAGAATTCTCAGTAACTTCCTTGTGTTGTGTGTATTCAACTCACAGACTTGAACGATCCTTTACACAGAGCAGACTTGAAACACTCTTTTTGTGGAATTTGCAAATGGAGATTTCAGCCGCTTTGAGGTCAATAGTAGAAAAGGAAATATCTTCGTAGAAAAACTAGACAGAATGATTCTCAGAAAATCTTTTGTGATCTGTGCGTTCAACTCACAGAGTTTAACTTTTCTTCTCATAGAGCAGTTAGGAAACACTCTGTTTGTAAAGTCTGCAAGTGGATATTCAGACCTCTTTGAGGCCTTCGTTGGAAACGGGATTTCTTCATATTCTGCTAGACAGAAGAATTCCCAGTAACTTCCTTGTGTTGTGTGCATTCAACTCACAGAGTTGAACGTTCACTTAGACAGAGCAGATTTGAAACACTCTATTTGTGCAATTTGCAAGTGTAGATTTCAAGCGCTTTAAGGTCAACGGCAGAAAAGGAAATATCTTCGTTTCAAAACTAGACAGAATCATTCCCACAAACTGCGTTGTGATGTGTTCGTTCAACTCACAGAGTTTAACCTTTCTTTTCATAGAGCAGTTAGGAAACAGTCTGTTTGTCAATTCTGTAAGTGGATATTCTGACATCTTGTGTCCTTAGTTGGAAACGGGATTTCTTCATATTCTGCTAGACAGAAGAATTCTCAGTAACTTCCTTGTGTTTTGTGTATTCAACTCACAGAGTTGAACGATCCTTTTCACAGAGCAGACTTGAAACACTCTTTTTGTGGAATTTGCAAGTGGAGATTTCAGCCGCTTTGAGGTCAATAGTAGAAAAGGAAATATCTTCGTAGAAAAACTAGACAGAATGATTCTCAGAAACTCCTTTGTGATGTGTGCGTTCAACTCACAGAGTTTAACCTTTCTTTTCATAGAGCAGTTAGGAAACACTCTGTTTGTAAAGTCTGCAAGTGGATATTCAGACCTCTTTGAGGCCTTCGTTGGAAACGGGATTTTTTCATATAAGGCTAGACAGAAGAATTCTCAGTAACTTCCTTGTGTTGTGTGTATTCAACTGACAGAGTTGAACTTTCATTTAGAGAGAGCAGATTTGTAAGACTGTTTTTGTGGAATTTGCAAGTGGAGATTTCAAGCGCTTTGCGGCCAAAGGCAGAAATGGAAATATCTTCGTATAAAAACTAGACAGAATCATTCTCAGAAAATCCTCTATGATGTGTGCGTTCAACTCTCAGAGTTTAACTTTTCTTTTCATTCAGCAGTTTGAAAACACTCTGTTTGTAAAGTCTGCACGTGGATATTTTGACCACTTAGAGGCCTTCGTTGGAAACGGGTTTTTTTCATGTAAGGGTAGACAGAAGAATTCCCAGTAACTTCCTTGTGTTGTGTGCATTCAACTCACAGAGTTGAAAGTTCCCTTAGACAGAGCAGATTTGAAACACTCTATTTGTGCAATTTGCAAGTGTAGACTTCAAGCGCTTTAAGGTCAACGGCAGAAAAGGAAATATCTTCGTTTCAAAACTAGACAGAATGATTCTCAGAAACTCCTTTGTGATGTGTGCGTTCAACTCACAGAGTTTAACCTTTCTTTTCATAGAGCAGTTAGGAAACACTCTGTTTGTAAAGTCTGCAAGTGGATATTCAGACCTCTTTGAGGCCTTCGTTGGAAACGGGTTTTCTTCATATTCTGCTAGACAGAAGAATTCTCAGTAACTTCCTTGTGTTGTGTGTATTCAACTCACAGAGTTGAACGATCCTTTACACAGAGCAGTCTTGAAACACTCTTTTTGTGGAATTTGCAAGTGGAGATTTCAGCCGCTTTGAGGTCAATAGAAGAAAAGGAAATATCTTCGTAGAAAAACTAGGCAGAATGATTCTCAGAAACTCCTTTGTGATGTGTGCGTTCAACTCACAGAGTTTAACCTTTCTTTTCATAGAGCAGTTAGGAAACACTCTGTTTGTAAAGTCTGCAAGTGGATATTCAGACATCCTTGAGGCTTTCGTTGGAAACGGGATTTCTTCATATTCTGCTAGAAAAAAGAATTCTCAGTAACTTCCTTGTGTTGTGTGTATTCAACTCATAGAGTTGAACGATCCTTTACACAGAGCAGACTTGTAACACTCTTTTTGTGGAATTTGCAAGTGGAGATTTCAAGCGCTTTGAGGCCAAAGGCAGAAAAGGAAATATCTTCGTTTCAAAACTAGACAGAATCATTCTCAGAAACTGCTCTGCGATGTGTGCGTTCAACTCTCAGAGTTTAACTTTTCTTTAGCATTCAGCAGTTTGGAAACACTCTGTTTGTAAAGTCTGCACGTGGATATTTTGACCACTTAGAGGCCTTCGTTGGAAACGGGTTTTTTTCCTGTAAGGCTAGACAGAAGAATTCCCAGTAACTTCCTTGTGTTGTGTGCATTCAACTCACAGAGTTGAACGTTCCCTTGGACAGAGCAGATTTGAAACACTCTATTTGTGCAATTTGCAAGTGTAGATTTCAAGCGCTTTAAGGTCAACGGCAGAAAAGGAAATATCTTCGTTTCAAAACTAGACAGAATCATTCCCACAAACTCGCGTTGTGATGTGTTCGTTCAACTCACAGAGTTTAACCTTTCTGTTCATAGAGCAGTTAGGAAACACTCAGTTTGTAAAGTCTGTAAGTGGATATTCTGACATCTTGTGGCCTTCGTTGGAAACGGGATTTCTTCATATTCTGCTAGACAGAAGAATTCTCAGAATCTTCCTTGTGTTGTGTGTATTCAACTCACACAGTTGAACGATGGTTTACACAGAGCAGATTTGAAACACTCTTTTTGTGGAATTTGCAAGTGGAGATTTCAGCCGCTTTGAGGTCAATGGTAGAAAATGAAATATCTTCGTATAAAAACTAGACAGAATGATTCTCATAACTCCTTTGTGATGTGTGCGTTCAACTCACAGAGTTCAACCTTTCTTTTCATAGAGCAGTTGGGAAACACTCTGTTTGTAAAGTCTGCAAGTGGATATTCAGACTTCTTTGAGGCCTTCGTTGGAAGCGGGATTTCTTCATATTCTGCTAGACAGAAGAATTCTCAGTAACTGCCTTGTGTTGTGTGTATTCAACTCACAGAGTTGAACGATCCTTTACACAGAGAAGACTTGAAACACTCTTTTTGTGGAATTTGCAAGTGGAGATTTCAGCCGCTGTGAGGTCAATGGTAGAATAGGAAATATCTTCCTATAGAAACTAGACAGAATCATTCTCAGAAACTGCTGCGTGATGTGTGCGTTCAACTCTCAGAGTTTAACTTTTCTTTTCATTCAGCGGTTTGGAAACACTCTGTTTGTAAAGTCTGCACGTGGATATTTTGACCACTTAGAGGCCTTCGTTGGAAACGGGTTTTTTTCATGTAAGGCTAGACAGAAGAATTCCCAGTAACTTTCCTTGTGTTGTGTGCATTCAACTCACAGAGCTGAACGTTCCCTTAGACAGAGCAGATTTGAAACACTCTATTTGTGCAATTTGCAAGTGTAGATTTCAAGCGCTTTAAGGTCAATGGCAGAAAAGGAAATATCTTCGTTTCAAAACTAGACAGAATCATTCCCAGAAACTGCGTTGTGATGTGTTCGTTCAACTCACAGAGTTTAACCTTTCTGTTCATAGAGCAGTTAGGAAACACTCTGTTTGTAAAGTCTGTAAGTGGATATTCTGACATCTTGTGGCCTTCGTTGGAAACGGGATTTCATAATATTCTCCTAGACAGAAGAATTCTCAGAATCTTCCTTGTGTTGTGTGTATTCAACTCACAGAGTTGAACGATGGTTTACACAGAGCAGATTTGAAACACTCTTTTGGTGGAATTTGCAAGTGGAGATTTCAGCCGCTTTGAGGTCAATGGTAGAAAAGGAAATATCTTCGTATAAAAACTAGACAGAATGATTCTCAGAAACTCCTTTGTGATGTGTGCGTTCAACTCACAAAGTTTAACCTTTCTTTTCATAGAGCAGTTAGGAAACACTCTGTTTGTAAAGTCTGCAAGTGGATATTCAGACCTCTTTGAGGCCTTCGTTGGAAACGGGATTTCTTCATATTCTGCTAGACAGAAGAATTCTCAGTAACTTCCTTGTGTTGTGTGTATTCAACTGACAGAGTTGAACTTTCATTTAGAGAGAGCAGATTTGAAACACTGTTTTTGTGGAATTTGCAAGTGGAGATTTCAAGCGCTTTGGGGCCAAAGGCAGAAAAGGAAATATCTTCGTATAAAAACTAGACGGAATCATTCTCAGAAACTGCTGCGTGATGTGTGCGTTCAACTCTCAGAGTTTAACTTTTCTTTTAATTCAGCGGTTTGGAAACACTCTGTTTGTAAAGTCTGCACGTGGATATTTTGACCACTTAGAGGCCTTCGTTGGAAACTGGTTTTTTGCATGTAAGGCTAGACAGAATAATTCCCAGTAACTTCCTTGTGTTGTGTGCATTCAACTCACAGAGTTGAACGTTCCCTTAGACAGAGCAGATTTGAAACACTCTATTTGTGCAATTTGCAAGTGTAGATTTCAAGCGCTTTAAGGTCAATGGCAGAAAAGGAAATATCTTCGTTTCAAAAGTAGACAGAATGATTCTGAGAAACTCCTTTGTGATGTGTGCGTTCAACACACAGAGTTTAACCTTTCTTTTCATAGAGCAGTTAGGAAACACTCTGTTTGTAAAGTCTGCAAGTGGATATTCAGACCTCCTTGAGGCCTTCGTTGGAAACGGGATTTCTTCATATTCTGCTAGACAGAAGAATTCTCAGTAACTTCCTTGTGTTTTGTGTATTCAACTCACAGAGTTGAATGATCCTTTACACAGAACAGACTTGAAACACTCTTGTTGTGGAATTTTCAAGTGGAGATTTCAGCCGCTTTGAGGTCAACGGTAGAATAGGAAATATCTTCCTATAGAAACTAGACAGAATGATTCTCAGAAACTCCTTTGTGATGTGTGCGTTCAACTCACAGAGTTTAACTTTTCTTTTCATAGAGCAGTTAGGAAACACTCTGTTTGTAAAGTCTGCAAGTGGATATTCAGACCTCTTTGTGGCCTTCGTTGGAAACGGGATTTCTTCATATTATGCTAGACAGAATAATTCTCAGTAACTTCCTTGTGTTGTGTGTATTCAACTCTCAGAGTTGAACGATCCTTTACAGAGAGCAGACTTGAAACACTCTTTTTCTGGAATTTGCAAGTGGAGATTTCAGCCGCTTTGAGGTCAATGGTAGAATAGGAAATATCTTCCTATAGAAACTAGACAGAATCATTCTCAGAAACTGCTCTGCGATGTGTGCGTTCATCTCTCAGAGTTTAACTTTTCTTTTCATTCAGCAGTTTGGAAACACTCTGTTTGTAAAGTCTGCACGTGGATATTTTGACCACTTAGAGGCCTTCGTTGGAAACGGGTTTTTTTCCTGTAAGGCTAGACAGAAGAATTCCCAGTAACTTCCCTTGTGTTGTGTACATTCAACTCACAGAGTTGAACGTTCCCTTAGACAGAGCAGAGTTGAAACACTCTTTTTGTGCAATTGGCAAGTGGAGATTTCAAGCGCTTTAAGGTCAATGGCAGAAAAGGAAATATCTTCGTTTCAAAACTAGAGAGAATCATTCCCACAAACTGTGTTGTGATGTGTTCGTTCAACTCACAGAGTTTAACCTTTCTTTTCATAGAGCAGTTAGGAAACAGTCTGTTTGTAAATTCTGTAAGTGGATATTCTGACATCTTGTGGCCTTCGTTGGAAACGGGATTTCTTCATATTCTGCTAGACAGAAGAATTCTCAGTAACTGCCTTGTGTTGTGTGTATTCAACTCACAGAGTTGAACGATCCTTTACACAGAGCAGACTTGAAACACTCCTTTTGTGGAATTTGCAAGTGGAGATTTCAGCCGCTTTGAGGTCAATGGTAGAATAGGAAATATCTTCCTATAGAAACTAGACAGAATGATTCTCAGAAACTTCTTTGTGCGTTCAACTCACAGAGTTTAACCTTTCTTTTCATAGAGCAGTTAGGAAACACTCTGTTTGTAAAGTCTGCAAGTGGATATTCAGACCTGTTTGAGGCCTTCGTTGGAAACGGGATTTCTTCATACTATGCTAGACAGAAGAATTCCCAGTAACTTCCTTGTGTTGTGTGTGTTCAACTCACAGAGTTGAACTTTCATTTAAACAGAGCAGATTTGAAACACTCTTTTTGTGGAATTTGCAAGTGGAGATTTCAAGCGCTTTGAGGCCAAAGGCAGAAAAGGAAATATCTTCGTAAAAAAATAGACAGAATCATTCTCAGAAACTGCTCTGCGATGTGTGCGTTCAACTCTCAGAGTTTAACTTTTCTTTTCATTCAGCAGTTTGAAAACCCTCTGTTTGTAAAGTCTGCACGTTGATAATTTGACCACATAGAGGCCTTCGTTGGAAACGGGTTTTTCTCATGTAAGGCTAGACAGAAGAATTCCCAGTAACTTCCTTGTGTTGTGTGCATTCAACTCACAGAGTTGAACGTTCCCTTTGACAGAGCAGATTTGAAACACTGTATTTGTGCAATTTGCAAGTGTAGATTTCAAGCGCTTTAAGGTCAATGGCAGAAAAGGAAATTTCTTCGTTTCAAAACTAGACAGAATCATTCCCACAAACTGCGTTGTGATGTGTTCGTTCAACTCACAGAGTTTAACCTTTCTGTTCATAGAGCAGTTAGGAAACACTCTGTTTGTAAAGTCTGTAAGTGGATATTCTGACATCTTGTGGCCTTCGTTGGAAACGGGATTTCTTCGTATTCTGCTAGACAGAAGAATTCTCAGTAACTTCCTTGTGTTGTGTGTATTCAACTCACAGAGTTGAACGATCCTTTACACAGAGCAGACTTGAAACACTCTTTTTGTGGAATTTGCAAGTGTAGATTTCAGCCGCTTTGAGGTCAATGGTAGAATAGGAAATATCTTCCTATAGAAACTAGACAGAATGATTCTCATAAACTCCTTTGTGATGTGTGCGTTCAAATCACAGAGTTTAACTTTTCTTTTCATAGAGCAGTTAGGAAACACTCTGTTTGTAAAGTCTGCAAGTGGATATTCAGACCTCTTTGAGGCCTTCGTTGGAAACGGGATTTCTTCATATTATGCTAGACAGAAGAATTCCCAGTAACTTCCTTGTGTTGTGTGTGTTCAACTCACAGAGTTGAACTTTCATTTACACAGAGCAGATTTCAAACACTCTTTTTGTGGAATTTGCAAGTGGAGATTTCAAGCGCTTTGAGGCCAAAGGCAGAAAAGGAAATATCTTCGTATAAAAACTAGACAGAATCATTCTCAGAAACTGCTCTGCGATGTGTGCATTCAACTCTCAGAGTTTAACTTTTCTTTTCATTCAGCAGTTTGGAAACACTCTGTTTGTAAAGTCTGCACGTGGATATTTTGACCACTTAGAGGCCTTCGTTGGAAACGGGTTTTTTTCCTGTAAGGCTAGACAGAAGAATTCCCAGTAACTTCCTTGTGTTGTGTATATTCAACTCACAGAGTTGAACGTTCCCTTAGACAGAGCAGATTTGAAACACTCTTTTTGTGCAATTGGCAAGTGGACATTTCAAGCGCTTTGAGGTCAATGGCAGAAAAGGAAATATCTTCGTTTCAAAACTAGACAGAATCATTCCCACAAACTGCGTTGTGATGTGTTCGTTCAACTCACAGAGTTTAACCTTTCTGTTCATAGAGCAGTTAGGAAACACTCTGTTTGTAAAGTCTGTAAGTGGATATTCTGACATCTTGTGGCCTACGTTGGAAACGGGATTTCTCCATATTCTGCTAGACAGAAGAATTCTCAGTAACTTCCTTGTGTTGTGTGTATTCAACTCACAGAAGTTGAGCGATCCTTTACACAGAGCAGACTTGAAACACTCTTTTTGTGGAATTTGCAAGTGGAGATTTCAGCCGCTTTGAGGTCAATGGTAGAATAGGAAATATCTTCGTATAGAAACTAGACAGAATGATTCTCAGAAAATCCTTTGTGATGTGTGCGTTCAACTCACAGAGTTTAACTTTTCTTTTCATATAGCAGTTAGGAAACACTTTGTTTGTAAAGTCTGCAAGTGGATATTCAGACCTCTTTGAGGCATTCGTTGGAAACGGGATTTCTCCATATTATGCTAGAGTGAAGAATTCTCAGTAACTTCCTTGTGTTGTGTGTATTCAACTGACAGAGTTGAACTTTCATTTAGAGAGAGCAGATTTGAAACACTGTTTTTGTGGAATTTGCAATTGGAGATTTCAAGCGCTTTGGGGCCAAAGGCAGAAAAGGAAATATCTTCGTATAAAAACTAGACGGAATCATTCTCAGAAACTGCTCTGCGATGTGTGCGTTCAACTCTCAGAGTTTAACTTTTCTTTTCATTCAGCAGTTTGGAAACACTCTGTTTGTAAAGTCTGCACGTGGATATTTTGACCACTTAGAGGCCTTCGTTGGAAACGGGTTTTTTTCCCGTAAGGCTAGACAGAAGAATTCTCAGTAACTTCCTTGTGTTGTGTGTATTCAACTCACAGAGTTGAACGTTCCCTTAGACAGAGCAGATTTGAAACACTCTATTTGTGCAATTTGCAAGTGTAGTTTTCAAGCTCTTTAAGGTCAACGGCAGAAAAGGAAATATCTTCGTTTCAAAACTAGACAGAATCATTCCCACAAACTGCGTTGTGATGTGTTCGTTCAACTCACAGAGTTTAACCTTTCTGTTCATAGAGCAGTTAGGAAACACTCTGTTTGAAAAGTCTGCACGTGGATATTCAGACCTCTTTGAGGCCTTCGTTGGAAACGGGATTTCTTCCTATTCTGCTAGACAGAAGAATTCTCAGTAACTTCCCTTGTGTTGTGTGTATTCAACTCACAGAGTTGAACGATCCTTTACACAGAGCAGACTTGAAACACTCCTTTTGTGGAATTTGCAAGTGGAGATTTCAGCCGCTTTGAGGTCAATGGTAGAATAGGAAATATCTTCCTATAGAAACTAGACAGAATGATTCTCAGAAACTCCTTTGTGATGTGTGCGTTCAACTCACAGAGTTCAACCTTTCTTTTCATAGAGCAGTTAGGAAACACTCTGTTTGTAAAGTCTGCAAGTGGATATTCAGACTTCTTTGAGGCTTTCGTTGGAAACGGGATTTCTTCATATTCTGCTAGACAGAAGAATTCTCAGTAACTTCCTTGTGTTGTGTGTATTCAACTGACAGAGTTGAACTTTCATTTAGAGAGAGCAGATTTGAAACACTGTTCTTGTGGAATTTGCAAGTGGAGATTTCAAGCGCTTTGGGGCCAAAGGCAGAAAAGGAAATATCTTCGTATAAAAACTAGACAGAATCATTCTCCGAAACTGCTCTGCGATGTGTGCGTTCAACTCTCAGAGTTTAACTTTTCTTTTCATTCAGCAGTTTGGAAACACTCTGTTTGTAAAGTCTGCACGTGGATAACTTGACCACTTAGAGGCCTTCGTTGGAAACGGGTTTTTTTCCTGTAAGGCTAGACAGAAGAATTCCCAGTAACTTCCTTGTGTTGTGTACATTCAACTCACAGAGTTGAACGTTCCCTTAGACAGAGCAGATTTGAAACACTCTTTTTGTGCAATTGGCAAATGGAGATTTCAAGCGCTTTAAGTTCAATGGCAGAAAAGGAAATATCTTCGTTTCAAAACTAGACAGAATGATTCTCAGAAACTCCGTTGTGATGTGTGCGTTCAACTCACAGAGTTTAACCTTTCTTTTCATAGAGCAGTTAGGAAACACTCTGTTTGTAAAGTCTGCAAGTGGATATTCAGACCTCTTTGAGGCCTTCGTTGGAAACGGGATTTCTTCATATTCTGCTACAGAGAAGAATTCTCAGTAACTTCCTTGTGTTGTGTGTATTCAACTCACAGAGTTCAACGATCCTTTACACAGAGCAGACTTGAAACACTGTTTTTGTGGAATTTGCAAGTGGAGATTTCAGCCGCTTTGAGGTCAATGGTAGAAAAGGAAATATCTTCCTATAAAAACTAGACCGAATGATTCTCAGAAACTCCTTTGTGATGTGTGTGTGTTCAACTCACAGAGTTTAACATTTCTTTTCATAGAGCAGTTAGGAAACACTCTGTTTCTAAAGTCTGCAAGTGGATATTCAGACCTCTTTGAGGCCTTCGTTGGAAACGGGTTTTTTTCATATAAGGCTAGACAGAAGAATTCCCAGTAACTTTCCTTGTGTTGTGTGTGTTCAACTCACAGAGTTGAACTTTCATTTACACAGAGCAGATTTGAAACACTCTTTTTGTGGAATTTGCAAATGGAGATTTCAAGCGCTTTGAGGCCAAAGGCAGAAAAGGAAGTATCTTCGTATAAAAACTAGACAGAATCATTCTCAGAAACTGCTCTGCGATGTGTGCGTTCAACTCTCAGAGTTTAACTTTTCTTTTCATTCAGCAGTTTGGAAACACTCTGTTTGTAAAGTCTGCACGTGGATAACTTGACCACTTAGAGGCCTTCGTTGGAAACGGGTTTTTTTCATGTAAGGCTAGACAGAAGTATTCTCAGTAACTTCCTTGTGTTGTGTGTATTCAACTCACAGAGTTGAACGATCCTTTACACAGAGCAGACTTGTAACACTCTTTTTGTGGAATTTGCAAGTGGAGATTTCAGCCGCTTTGAAGTCAAAGGTAGAAAAGGAAATAACTTCCTATAAAAACTAGACAGAGTGATTCTCAGAAACTCCTTTGTGATGTCTGCGTTCAACTCACAGAGTTTAACCTTTCTTTTCATAGAGCAGTTAGGACACACTCTGTTTGTAAAGTCTGCAAGTGGATATTCAGACATCTTTGAGGCCTTCGTTGGAAACGGGATTTCTTCATGTTCTGCTAGACAGAATTCTCAGTAACTTCCTTGTGTTGTGTGTATTCAACTCACAGAGTTGAACGATCCTTTACACAGAGCATACTTGGAACACTCTTTTTGTGGAATTTGCAAGTGGAGATTTCAGCCGCTTTGAAGTCAAAGGTAGAAAAGGAAATATCTTCCTATAAAAACTAGACAGAATGATTCTCAGAAACTCCTTTGTGATGTGTGCATTCAACTCACAGAGTTTAACCTTTCTTTTCATAGAGCAGTTAGGAAACACTCTGTTTGTAAAGTCTGCAAGTGGATATTCAGACCTCTTTGAGGCCTTCGTTGGAAACGGGTTTTTTTCATATAAGGCTAGACAGAAGAATTCTCAGTAACTTCCTTCTGTTGTGTGTATTCAACTGACAGAGTTGAACTTTCATTTAGAGAGAGCAGATTTGAAACACTGTTTTTGTGGAATTTGCAAGTGGAGATTTCAAGCGCTTTGGGGCCAAAGGCAGAAAAGGAAATATCTTCGTATAAAAACTAGACAGAATCATTCTCAGAAACTGCTGCGTGATGTGTGCGTCCAACTCTCAGAGTTTAACTTTTCTTTTCATTCAGCGGTTTGGAAACACTCTGTTTGTAAAGTCTGCACGTGGATATTTTGACCACTTAGAGGTCTTCATTGGAAACGGGTTTTTTTCATGTAAGGCTAGACAGAAGAATTCCCAGTAACTTCCTTGTGTTGTGTACATTCAACTCACAGAGTTGAACGTTCCCTTAGACAGAGCAGATTTGAAACACTCTTTTTGTGCAATTGGCAAGTGGTGATTTCAGCCTCTTTGAGGTCAATGGTAGAAAAGGAAATATCTTCGTATAAAAACTAGACAGAATCATTCCCACAAACTACGTTGTGATGTGTTCGTTCAACTCACAGAGTTTAACCTTTCTGTTCATAGAGCAGTTAGGAAACACTCTGTTTGTAAAGTCTGTAAGTGGATATTCTGACATCTTGTGGCCTTCGTTGGAAACGGGATTTCTTCATATTCTGCTAGACAGAAGAATTCTCAGAATCTTCCTTGTGTTGTGTGTATTCAACTCACAGAGTTGAACGATCCTTTACACAGAGCAGACTTGAAACACTCTTTTTGTGGAATTTGCAAGTGGAGATTTCAGCCGCTTTGAGGTCCATGGGAGAAAAGGAAATATCTTCGTATAAAAACTAGACAGAATGATTCTCAGAAACTCCTTTGTGATGTGTGCGTTCAACTCACAGAGTTTAACCTTTCTTTTCATAGAGCAGTTAGGAAACACTCTGTTTGTAAAGTCTGCAAGTGGATATTCAGACCTCTTTGAGGCCTTCGTTGGAAACGGGTTTTTTTCATACTATGCTAGACAGAAGAATTCCCAGTAACTTCCTTGTGTTGTGTGTGTTCAACTCACAGAGTTGAACTTTCATTTACACAGAGCAGATTTGAAACACTCTTTTTTTGGAATTTGCAAGTGGAGATTTCAAGCGATTTGAGGCCAAAGGCAGAAAAGGAAATATCTTCGTTTCAAAACTAGACAGAATCATTCTCAGAACTGCTCTGCGATGTGTGCGTTCAACTCTCAGAGTTTAACTTTTCTTTTCATTCAGCAGTTTGGAAACACTCTGTTTGTAAAGTCTGCACGTGGATATTTTGACCATTTAGAGGCTTTCGTTGGAAACGGGTTTTTTTCTTGTAAGGCTAGACAGAAGAATTCCCAGTAACTTCCTTGTGTTGTGTGCATTCAACTCACAGAGTTGAACGTTCCCTTAGACAGAGCAGATTTGAAACACTCTATTTGTGCAATTTGCAAGTGTAGATTTCAAGCGCTTTAAGGTCAACGGCAGAAAAGGAAATATCTTCGTTTCAAAACTAGACAGAATCATTCCCACAAACTGCGTTGTGATGGTTCGTTCAACTCACAGAGTTTAACCTTTCTTTTCATAGAGCAGTTAGGAAACAGTCTGTTTGTCAATTCTGTAAGTGGATATTCTGACATCTTGTGGCCTTCGTTGGAAACGGGATTTCTTCATATTCTCCTAGACAGAAGAGTTCTCAGAAACTTCCTTGTGTTGTGTGTATTCAACTCACAGAGTTGAACGATCCTTTACGCAGAGCAGACTTGAAACACTCTTTTTGTGGAATTTGCAAGTGGAGATTTCAGCCGCTTTGAGGTCAATGGTAGAATAGGAAATATCTTCCTATAGAAACTAGACAGAATGATTCTCAGAAACTCCTTTGTGATGTGTGCGTTCAACTCACAGAGTATAACCTTTCTTTTCATAGAGCAGTTAGGAAACACTCTGTTTGTAAAGTGTGCAAGTGGATATTCAGACCTCTTTGAGGCCTTCGTTGGAAACGGCATTTCTTCATAATATGCTAGACAGAAGAATTCTCAGTAACTTCCTTGTGTTGTGTGTATTCAACTCACAGAGTTGAACGATCCTTTACACAGAGCAGACTTGAAACACTCTTTTTGTGGAATTTGCAAGTGTAGATTTCAGCCGCTTTGAGTTCAATGGTAGAATAGGAAATATCTTCCTATAGAAACTAGAGAGAATCATTCTCCGAAGCTGCTGCGTGATGTGTGCGTTCAACTCTCAGAGTTTAACTTTTCTTTTCATTCAGCGGTTTGGAAACACTCTGTTTGTGAAGTCTGCACGTGGATATTTTGACCACTTAGAGGCCTTCGTTGGAAACGGGTTTTTTTCATGTAAGGCTAGACAGAAGATTTCCCAGTAACTTCCTTGTGTTGTGTGCATTCAACTCACAGAGTTGAACGTTCCCTTAGACAGAGCAGATTTGAAACACTCTATTTGTGCAATTTGCAAGTGTAGATTTCAAGCGCTTTAAGGTCAATGGCAGAAAAGGAAATATCTTCGTCTTCAAAACTAGACAGAATGATTCTGTGAAACTCCTTTGTGATGTGTGCGTTCAACTCACACAGTTTAACCTTTCTTTTCATAGAGCAGTTAGGAAACACTCTGTTTGTAAAGTCTGCAAGTGGATATTCAGACCTCCTTGAGGCCTTCGTTGGAAACGGGATTTCTTCATATTATGCTAGAAAGAAGAATTCCCAGTAACTTCCTTGTGTTGTGTGTATACAACTCACAGAGTTGAACGATCCTTTACACAGAGCAGACTTGAAACACTCTTTTTGTGGAATTTGCAAGTGGAGATTTCAGCCGCTTTGAGTTCAATGGTAGAATAGGAAATATCTTCCTATAGAAACTAGACAGAAATGATTCTCAGGAAACTCCTTTGTGATGTGTGCGTTCAACTCACAGAGTTTAACCTTTCTTTTCATAGAGCAGTTAGGAAACACTCTGTTTGTAAAGTCTGCAAGTGGATATTCAGACCTCTTTGAGGCCTTCGTTGGAAACGGGTTTTTTTCATATAAGGCTAGACAGAAGAATTCCCTGTAACTTCCTTGTGTTGTGTGTGTTCAACTCACAGAGTTGAACTTTCATTTACACAGAGCAGATTTGAAACTCTCCTTTTGTGGAATTTGCAAGTGGAGATTTCAAGCGCTTTGAGGCCAAAGGCAGAAAAGGAAATATCTTCGTTTCAAAACTAGACAGAATCATTCTCAGAAACTGCTCTGCGATGTGTGCGTTCAACTCTCAGAGTTTAACTTTTCTTTTCATTCAGCAGTTTGGAAACACTCTGTTTGTAAAGTCTGCACGTGGATATTTTGACCATTTAGAGGCCTTCGTTGGAAACGGGTTTTTTTCTTGTAAGGCTAGACAGAAGAATTCCCAGTAACTTCCATGTGTTGTGTGCATTCAACTCACAGAGTTGAACGTTCCCTTGAACAGAGCAGATTTGAAACTCTCTATTTGTGCAATTTGCAAGTGTAGATTTCAAGCGCTTTAAGGTCAATGGCAGAAAAGGAAATATCTTCGTTTCAAAACTAGACAGAATGATTCTGAGAAACTCCTTTGTGATGTGTGCGTTCAACTCACAGAGTTTAACCTTTCTTTTCATAGAGCAGTTAGGAAACACTCTGTTTGTAAAGTCTGCAAGTGGATATTCAGACATCTTTGAGGCTTTCTTTGGAAACGGGATTTCTTCATATTCTGCTAGACAGAAGAATTCTCAGAAACTTCGTTGTGTTGTGTGTTTTCAACTCACAGAGTTCAACGATCCTTTACACAGAGTAGACTTGAAACACTCTTTTTGTGGAATTGGCAGGGTGGAGATTTCAGCCGCTTTGAGGTCAATGGTAGAAAAGTAAATATCTTCGTATAAAAACTAGACAGAATGATTGTCAGAAACTCCTTTGTGATGTGTGTGTTCAACTCACAGAGTTTAACCTTTCTTTTCATAGAGCAGTTAGTAAACACTCTGTTTATAAAGTCTGCAAGTGGATATTCAGACCCCTTTGAGGCCTTCGTTGGAAACGGGATTTCTTCATATTATGCTAGACAGAAGAATTCCCAGTAACTTCCTTGTGTTGTGTGTGTTCAACTCACAGAGTTGAACTTTCATTTACCCAGAGCAGATTTGAAACACTGTTTTTGTGGAATTTGCAAGTGGAGATTTCAAGCGCTTTGAGGCCAAAGGCAGAAAAGGAAATATCTTCGTTTCAAAACTAGACAGAATCATTCTTTGAAACTGCTGCGTGATGTGTGCGTTCAACTCTCAGAGTTTAACTTTTCTTTTCATTCAGCGGTTTGGAAACACTCTGTTTGTAAAGTCTGCACGTGGAAATTTTGACCACTTAGAGGCCTTCGTTGGAAACGGGTTTTTTTCATGTAAGGCTAGACAGAAGAATTCCCAGTAACTTCCTTGTGTTGTGTGCATTCAACTCACAGAGTTGAACGTTCCCTTAGACAGAGCAGATTTGAAACACTCTATTTGTGCAATTTGCAAGTGTAGTTTTCAAGCTCTTTAAGGTCAACGGCAGAAAAGGAAATATCTTCGTTTCAAAACTAGACAGAATCATTCCCACAAACTGCGTTGTGATGTGTTCGTTCAACTCACAGAGTTTAACCTTTCTGTTCATAGAGCAGTTAGGAAACACTCTGTTTGTAAAGTCTGCAAGTGGATATTCAGACCTCTTTGAGGCCTTCGTTGGAAACGGGATTTCTTCATATTATGCTACACAGAAGAATTCTCAGTAACTTCCTTGTGTTGTTTGTATTCAACTCACAGAGTTGAACGATCCTTTACACAGAGCAGACTTGAAACACTCTTTTTGTGGAATTTGCAAGTGGAGATTTCAGCCGCTTTGAGGTCAATGGTAGAAAAGGAAACTATCTTCATATAAAGACTAGACAGAATGATTCTGAGAAATCCTTTGTGATGTGTGCGTACAACTCACAGAGTTTAACCTTTCTTTTCATAGAGCAGTTAGGAAACACTCTGTTTGTAAAGTCTGCAAGTGGATATTCAGACCTCCTTGAGGCCTTCGTTGGAAACGGGATTTCTTCATATTATGCTAGACAGAAGAATTCCCAGTAACTTCCTTGTGTTGTGTGTGTTCAACTCACAGAGTTGAACTTTCATTTACACAGAGCAGATTTGAAACACTCTTTTTGTGGAATTTGCAAATGGAGATTTCAAGCGCTTTGAGGCCAAAGGCAGAAAAGGAAATATCTTCATATAAAAACTAGACAGAATCATTCTCAGAAACTGCTCTGTGATGTGTACGTTCAACTCTCAGAGTTTAACTTTTCTTTTCATTCAGCAGTTTGGAAACACTCTGTTCGTAAAGTCTGCACGTGGATAATTTGACCACTTAGAGGCCTTCGTTGGAAACGGGTTTTTTTCATGTAAGGCTAGACAGAAGAATTCCCAGTAACTTCCTTGTGTTGTGTGCTTTCAACTCACAGAGTTGAACGTTCCCTTAGACAGAGCAGATTTGAAACACTCTATTTGTGCAATTTGCAAGTGTAGATTTCAAGCGCTTTAAGGTCAATGGCAGAAAAGGAAATATCTTCGTTTCAAAACTAGACAGAATCATTCCCACAAACTGCGTTGTGATGTGTTCGTTCAACTCACAGAGTTTTACCTTTCTGTTCATAGAGCAGTTAGGAAACACTCTGTTTGTAAAGTCTGCAAGTGGATATTCAGACCTCCTTGAGGCCTTCGTTGGAAACGGGATTTCTTCATATTCTGCTAGACAGAAGAATTCTGAGTAACTTCCTTGTGTTGTGTGTATTCAACTCACAGAGTTGAACGATCCTTTACAGAGAGCAGACTTTAAACACTCTTTTTGTGGAATTTGCAAGTGGAGATTTCAGCCGCTTTGAGGTCAATGGTAGAAAAGGAAATATCTTCGTATAAAGACTAGACAGAATGATTCTCAGAAACTCCTTTGTGATGTGTGCGTTCAACTCACAGAGTTTAACTTTTCTTTTCATAGAGCAGTTAGGAAACACTCTGTTTGTAAAGTCTGCAAGTGGATATTCAGACCTCTTTGAGGCCTTCGTTGGAAACGGCATTTCTTCATATTATGCTAGACAGAAGAATTCTCAGTAACTTCCTCGTGTTGTGTGTATTCAACTGACAGAGTTGAACTTTCATTTAGAGAGAGCAGATTTGAAACACTCTTTTTGTGGAATTTGCAAGTGGAGATTTCAAGCGCTTTGGGGCCAAAGGCAGAAAAGGAAATATCTTCGTATAAA
Organism: Homo sapiens; assembly: GCF_000001405.40. Taxonomy (NCBI): domain Eukaryota; kingdom Metazoa; phylum Chordata; class Mammalia; order Primates; family Hominidae; genus Homo; species Homo sapiens. The sequence goes on from NC_000019.10 coordinate 26,537,463, forward strand.
AACTAGACAGAATCATTCTCAGAAACTGCTGTGTGATGTGTGCGTTCAACTCTCAGAGTTTAACTTTTCTTTTCATTCAGCGGTTTGGAAACACTCTGTTTGTAAAGTCTGCACGTGGATATTTTGACCACTTAGAGGCCTTCGTTGGAAACGGGTTTTTTTCATGTAAGGCTAGACAGAAGAATTCCCAGTAACTTCCTTGTGTTGTGTACATTCAACTCACAGAGTTGAACGTTCCCTTAGACAGAGCAGATTTGAAACACTCTTTTTGTGCAATTGGCAAATGGAGATTTCAAGCGCTTTAAGGTCAATGGCAGGAAAGGAAATATCTTCGTTTCAAAACTAGACAGAATCATTCCCACAAACTGCGTTGTGATGTGTTCGTTCATCTCACAGAGTTTAACCTTTCTTTTCATAGAGCAGTTAGGAAACACTCTGTTTGTAAATTCTGTAAGTGGATATTCTGACATCTTGTGGCCTTCGTTGGAAACGGGATTTCTTCATATTCTGCTAGACAGAAGAATTCTCAGCAACTTCCTTGTGTTGTGTGTATTCAACTCACAAAGTTGAACGATCCTTTGAGCAGACTTGAAACACTCTTTTTGTGGAATTTGCAAGTGGAGATTTCAGCCGCTTTGAGGTCAATGGTAGAAAAGGAAATATCTTCGAATAAAAACTAGACAGAATGATTCTAAGAAACTCCTTTGAGATGTGTGCGTTCAACTCACAGAGTTTAACCTTTCTTTTCATAGAGCAGTTAGGAAACACTCTGTTTGTAAAGTCTGCAAGTGGATATTCAGACCTCTTTGAGGCCTTCGTTGGAAACGGGATTTCTTCATATTCTGCTAGAAAGAAGAATTCTCATTAACTTCATTGTGTTGTGTGTATTCAACTCACAGAGTTCAACGATCCTTTACACAGAGCAGACTTGAAACACTCTTTTTCTGGAATTTGCAAGTGGAGATTTCAGCCGCTTTGAGGTCAATGGTAGAAAAAGAAATATCTTCCTATAAAAACTAGACAGAATCATTCTCAGAAACTGCTCTGCGAGGTGTGCGTTCAACTCTCAGAGTTTAACTTTTCTTTTCATTCAGCAGTTTGGAAACACTCTGTTTGTAAAGTCTGCACGTGGATATTTTGACCACTTAGAGGCCTTCGTTGGAAACGGGTTTTTTTCCTGTAAGGCTAGACAGAAGAATTCCCAGTAACTTCCTTGTGTTGTGTACATTCAACTCACAGAGTTGAACGTTCCCTTAGACAGAGCAGATTTGAAACACTCTTTTTGTGCAATTGGCAAGTGGAGATTTCAAGCGCTTTAAGGTCAATGGCAGAAAAGGAAATATCTTCGTTTCAAAACTA